>NC_000011.10:125960303-126263333 GCF_000001405.40 Homo sapiens | reverse complement strand
TACAAATGAGCAAAAGATGAGTCCTTGCTTCCCTCAGAAATAAAAGGAGCTCAGCTGCAGCGTTGCATTGGGCTTCTTGGCCTCCCAACTCTTCCCACTCCCAGAATCCAGAAGTAAGCTCTGCATGTTCCCCTTCCTGGGAGGAAACCAATTGTCAGAAGGATGTATGATGACCCCCTCCCCTCCCATCCTTCACCTCCTAAGCAGTCCTGGCTTTTCCTCATCACTCCCCTCTACAGTGCCTGGTAGACAAGTGCTACATTGAAGAACACAAACCTCTTGTTAAGACTTGTCCTGTAGCTTGATATTACAGATGTGCTATTAGTGCAATAAGGTGAAGGCTGTCTGCCCAGAGAAATAAGTAATTTATATAAGAAAATAAATTTCATAAATAAATTGCCTTTTAGGTCTTGGAGTTCTTTTATACAGGATTCAAAACTAAAATTCCACAACACACTTAACTGTAGTTCTAGGACATATGTATGGTCAGGACAACAGAGCAGAAGTTGATAATGCTCCGAGGAATCAGGTAAGTAAACGGTTGTCCTGAGAATGAGATCACTCCACCCCAAGGAGAAAGATCGGAACCTTTAAACTTTGGGTTATTAAAATTAAGCTTATTAGTACCTTGATGCAAGTTAGAGTTTCTTACAATGACTCTAAAAGTAGAGCCAGGGTCCTGGCAAGTAAATGAACAAGCTTTTAATACAGCTTAGTTATGTAAAATACTGTACACTGTAAAAGATCTAGAAAACTAGAGCTTCAAGTCATGTTTTAAAAAAGCCATTAAGCTTAATTGAAAAACCAAGTATAGAGTACAAAACTGCAACAAGAGCCACAGTGATTCCATGGCATCCAGACCCCGAGTCCTTCATGCAGAGCTGCAGCCGGTCAGTGGAAGTATCACATTGGTGTGCTGTGTGGACACAAGCATGTCTAGCCTGGGGAGTGGGTTGGGAGCTGCATTTGGGTCCTGCTGTCGCTTTTATTCTTGAACTTGAACAGGCGGCAGAATATCAAGAACCAGGTGGTATGAAGGATTACGCTGCAACATTCCCCCCTCTTCTACCCCGCCCTTCAACCTCTGGCTATTGTTACTTTCTGGGAATTGTGTTGGGTTCTTGTAAGTTTACTTGTTAAACACTGTCTGTAGTAGGGCCTTACAGCTTGGTCTAAACGGTGGTGATTTCTCTAGCTCGCTCATGTACTACAGCCTGTAGGGAGAAAGAAAAGAGAACAAAATGAAGTTTCACAAAACAGGTTTATACATTGGAAGCTGCAGATACTTAAGTCAATCCTAACCCTTCAGAAGGCAAGACAGGAGATTCTAGGAATCTTGTAATTTATTTAAAATTTTATTTACTTTTTAGAGACAAGGTCTTTGTCACCCAGGCTCAAATGCAGTGGCACAATCAGCTCACTGGGCTCAAGCAATCCTCCTACCTCAGCCAGTAGCCGGGACTATAGGCACACAGCACCAGACCTAGCAATTTAAAAAAATTTTTTTTGTAGAAACAGCATCTTGCTATGTTGCTCAGGCTGGTCTCAAACTCCTGGGCTCAAGCAATCCTCCTGCCTCAGCCTCCCAAAGTGCTGGGATTACAGGCCTGAGCCACCACACCCAGCAGTACTTTTTTCAAAAAATTAACTGATCACTGCACTAGATTGTAATAGACTTGATAGGAAAAGATAGAATCCTTAATGGGTAGGAGAGGAAAATCATTCTCTACAGTGTTTTTTAAAATTTGGCAATGTGAGGTCCAAAGTAACATTCTCTATATTCTTAACCAAGGACCTAGAAAGACTTTCTGCTACAGAGTGATAAATAGTAGAATAGGAAACAGTATACCTCTTATTTCACTGTGTGCTGCAGATGAGCCATTTAGCTGACCTTCTCTCACCATCCCTGCTAAATAGAGGACATCAGCATCAGACATTAGACTGAAAAGCTAAAACTATTAATAGCAAAAAGAAAACTAAAGGGAGATGAGGACATATGGTACGACTGAAAAGGAATGGGCATTTAGAAATGAAACAATCATTGAGAAGATAAGGAGGCAGAGAGGATAAACTGGAGTAGTCTTTAGACTTGCATTACCTAACAGGGAAGCAGTGAGTTTCCACAGTGCACTACGATTGCTTGTAGACAAAACATTTTACATTTTACATTTTACATTTCACATACAGGCAACATGTGTCTGCTGTCCCTAAACAGTCTAGAGGGCCAAGTTTCGGTAAAAATTCAATCTCACCAGGGATGGGCAAATGGCATGTGAGTGAGCAACTTCAAATAGAAGAGTGAAAAGCAGCAGAATACTCCCACAAAATAAAATACGGTAGCACTAGCCATATGCAGCTACTTGGTTTCAAATTAAAAATTCCATTCCTCAGTCACACTGGCCACATTTCAACGGTGCACCAGCCACATGTGGCTCCTAACTATGATACTAGACAGTGAAGATTATACAGTATTTTTATGACTGCAGGAAATTCTACTGGATAACACTTGGCATAGATAATAGTTCAGAAAAAGTAAAAAGCTGAACACATGGAAGAAAATAGTCATTAGAAATATGGTCAATTACAGTATAAACAGGCATGGTACTCAAATATACAAATTGATATTACCCTCGTAGAAAACAATTTAGCAGTATTTATAAATTACTGAAATGTTCCTGATCTTTGACCTGATTACAGTGAGAACTCATCAAGGAAATTACTGGAAAAACTGAAGAGATACAGATGTTATTTTCACAACATGACTTACAAAAAACTGGCAAAAAAAATATCAGACGTTGCCTAACAGGAATAATTAGGTAAACTGTAACACCCCTACTGGAATATAAAAGTCAATTAAAATAGTGGTTATGAAGATAGGGATGTGGGAAAATGTACAATCCACTACTGAATTTTCAAAGGACCAAAAAAAAAAAAAAATCACTATATTTTGTTTACAACTATGAAAAAAAGCACAGGGAAAACTTCATCAGAAATGTGCCAAGGCCAGGTGCTGTGGCTCACACCTATAATCCCAGAACTTTGGGAAGCTGAGGTGGGAGGATTGCTTGCACTTAGGAGACTGAGAACAGCCTGGGCAACATGGCGAAACCCCATCTCTACAAAAAATACAAAAATTAGCTGGGCATTGTGGTATGTGCCTTTAGTCTCAGCTACTCGGGAGGCTGAGGTGGGAGGATCGCCTGAGCCCGGGGAGGTCAAGGCTGTGGTGAGCCATGACTGTGCCATTGTACTGCAGCCTGGGTGAAAAAGCAAGACCCTGTATCAAAAATAGTAATAATAATAAAATAAAAATAAAGCTGGCACAGTGGCTCACGCCTGTAATCCCAGCACTTTGGGAGGCTGAGGTGGGTGGATCACGAGGTCAGGAGATCGAGACCATCCTGGCTAACACAGTGAAACGCTGTATCTACTAAAAATACAAAAAATTAGCCGGGTGTGGTGGCGGGCGCCTTTAGTCCCAGCTACTCGGGAGACTGAGGCAGGAGAATGGCGTGAACCCAGGAGGCAGAGCTTGCAGTGAGCTGAGATTGCGCCACTGCACTCTAGCCTGGGTGACAGAGAGAAACTCCATCTCAAATCAATAAATAGGCCCGGGCATGGTGGCTCACGCCTGTAATCCCAGCACTTTGGGAGGCCAGGGCGGGTGGATCATGAGGTCAGGAGACCGAGACCATCCTGGCCAACATGGTGAAACCCCATCTCTACTAAAAATACAAAAAATTAGCCGGGCATGGTGGTGGGCGCCTATAGTTCCAGCCACTCAGGAGGCTGAGGCAGGAGAATCACTTGAACCCAGGAGGCGGGGGTTGCAGTGAGCCGAGATTGTGCCACTGCACTCCAGCCTGGCGTCAGAGCGAGACTCCATCTCAAAAAAAAAAAAAAAAAAAGTACCACAACGACTGCTTGTATGGTAATGGATTATAAGAATTATTTTTCTTTTTCCCACTGCTTGATTTTTCCAAAATATGTGTAACTACATACTATAGAATCCTTTGAAGACAATTAATTTCCACTATGCAAAAGTGAGTATACAGCACAATGCCAGGCACATAGCAAAGGTTCAGTGTTAAAAAACAAAATAACAGCAAAAGACCTGTAACCTCTCATTAGTCTATATCTACAGAGACTCAAAACATTATGCAAGGGTGAAAGATAAGGTTGACTCGTTTCAAAATGAAATGATGTTTTAACCTGAAACTGCTCTACTACATTTCACATGACAAACTCAGCTGACCATTCCCATAAAGCACTCTGGCCATACTGAAAATCCTTGATTTTGTTTAAAGATACAGAACACCTTAATGATGGGTAACTTCGGGGAAAGCTACTCTGGTAGGAAGCCTACACAGCTAATAAAAGAATTTGTGCCATTCCACAATAGCAGTTAAGGTTCCTTAGAGCAATCTTAGTGCACTAAGGAACCTTACTGCTTCTTTGTTATGTAATGCAACAGTCTAAAGACATATTTATTTTTTGCTAAGATTTAGTGCAACAGAAACAGTTATGCAGACGGATTTTGCTGTTTTAAACTTTAGCATCTTTCCTCAGCATATAGATCAAAAGAAATATGTAGAACTTGGATATGTATGTCTTGTTAATGAAAACAACATGTGCAACAGAAAAGCCTTCTCAAAGTCTCAAGTGTGGGCAAACAACAGCAGGAGAGTCTAGAACACTGCAGGACACCAGAAAAACTCATTTCCAACAAAGAATAGTAAATAGTTTTCACAAATGAGACTTGTTCATGTGGTGATGGCTTTTAAAAGTCTGGTTCCATCAAAGCATAGCCATGGAAGAAGCTGTGTAATTTTTCATTACAGGAGAATTCTACTTGAAGCCATCTGATTCAGTTAAGAAATCTGGGGATGATTTGATTTAGGAAAACTGCTTTATGTTTATTAAATTACCTGTATGTTATTTATTTTAGAAACAGCGTCTTGCTTTATTGCTCAGACTGTAGGGCAGTGATGCAATCATAGCTCACTGCAGACTCCAACTCCTGGGCTCAAGTGATCCTCCTGCCTCAACCTCCCAAGCAGCTGGACTACAGGTGTGTGCCACCACACCTGGCTAATTTTTTGCAGAGACAGGTTCTCACTATGTTGCTCACACTCATCTTGAACTCCTGGCCTCAAGTGATCCTCCCACCTGGGCCTCCCACAGTGTTGGGATTACAGGACAAATTACCTGTACTTTTGCCCTCCTAAGATGCATTCAGGTTGACAATGAAAATACTTACATAAGTTTTCAGGAAATATTCTGTGCACAACAGCCAAGTTTTTTTGGAATTAGATGGATGAGTCACACTAGCCATACTCTGGAGCCTGGCAATGTGAGGTTTTGAAAAAGCATTCTTCAGTTTAGCTGATACCAAAAATGTTTGTGTTTTGTGCGGTTACTGGGAATTTGCCTGCAGCCACTAATCAGCTGAATCTTTAATCACCATTTTGCTCTTTATTGTTAGAATGTGGAGGTAAAATATCAAGTGTATGATACCCCTATCCTCTGACTTGAATATCACCATTATCCGTTTCCAAATAGCATTTCTAAAAGTAAGTTTTCTGTTTGTAAATATAATACATAATCATCATAGAAAATGCCAATACAGAAACCAAAAAATCAACACTTTAAATCCTACTAAAGATAGCCACTTAATTTAGTAAACATTCCAGATACATTTCTACACGCACCAAAAAAAAAAAAAAAATGTACAATTCTATATGAATATAGCTGACCATGGTATTTACAACCTGCTTTTTCTTCCTTTACTCATATGTCTCTAACTTTTTTTTTTATGGCAATGAAAACACTTTCCCTTCTATGGTTTCATTGTATTTCATCAATTAAATAAATATTGGCATATCTGTAGAATCTCCACCAATTTTAGGATCCTTCCAATTTTTTGCCACTACATTCAATGGAAATTACATTCCCACGCATGCATCTTTGTACAATTGTGTGATTGTGCAATCATCCAATTATCTCCTTATGAGAAACTTCTAGGATAAATTGTTTTGATGGGATTTCTAGGTCAAAGATTTGAAAATTTTTGTTACATCTTCTAATTTATGGTCATAAAAGTTGTACTAACTTTACCTTTCCACAAATACTCCATGAATAAATTTATTTTCTCACAGCCTTAGCCAAAATTGGGTGATCTTTCTTCGCTATTTTGTAATCTAAATTCAAACTGCATTTCATTGATAACTAGTGAGGCTGAACATCTGTTTTCTTCATTCTTCCTATGTCTATATTGAACTGCTCAAGTATTCCTTTTTGTCTGTCTTCCCATAATCCAAGTGGCACTTTAGTCTAACCTGAAGACTGTGGCCTCCTTTACAATTTGGTCAGTCATTACATTCCTCATCTTGGCAACTATTTTGCCCATCACATCACAAATACACAAAAGGCTGAAGAGCTGTTGTTCTCTGATTCCCCTCAGCTTCAAAATGCATCTTACCTGATGTACCCCTTGTGGAGATCTCACATGTCAGTCGCTTGAAATATTCTGGAAGATCGGCATAGTCATCTCCATAGGAGATGACTTTAATCCCCTTGTCCAGCATGTTTTCTCGAAGCTTTTTGAACTCATCTACGTCTCCTCTCCGAACCAGCATGAAATGTTCTAGGTCAGATTTATGCTTGACAGCCTCCAAGAAAAGGGCCTGGAAAGTGGTGTCATCCACAGTCCAGCCACAGCCCAGGAAAAGAAATGACTTGTTTTCGTAGAGTTTCTGAATTTCTCTCTGGAAGGAAAAGATACAACATATTGACATTGTGAAGACACACTCAAGGCAAGTCTGAAACAAGAAGGTCATGCTACGTTGAGCAGACTGTGATGACCAATTAAGCAAGACTTAAGTGGGTTGGTATGTCCCATCAAGGAGTGTGATCTCTTGCTTATTGCTGTAACTTGATGATTGGTCTAAAATTTTATCTTTACCTGCCATTCTTCTGTAGGCTCTCTAATCAGCGTTTCATAGAGCTGGTGTCAGTGTACTGGTGCAGTAGTTTACTTCTTTATTTTTTATGCTTTATATATTTTTTGAGACGGAGTCTCACTCTTTCACCTGGGCTAGAGTGTAGTGGTGTGACCTCGGCTTACTGCAACCTCCACCACCCTGGTTCAAGTGACTCTCATGCCTCAGCCTCCCGAGTATATTACAAGTGTGCACCACCACACCCAGCTAATTTTTGAATGTTTAGTAGAGACGGGGTTTTGCCATGTTGGCCAGGCTGGTCTGGTACTCCCGACCTCGAGTGATCCACCCACCTTGGCCTCCCAAAGTGCTGGGATTACAGGCGTGAGCCACTGCACTTGGCCAGTAGTTTACTTTTTTATTTTTATTTTATTTTTGAGACAGAGTCTTGCTCTGCCACCTAGGCTGGAGTGCAGTGGCATGGTCTTGGCTCACTGCAACCTCCTCTGCCTCCCAGGTTCAAGCGATTCTCCTGCCTCAGACTCCCAAGTAGCTGGCATTACAGGCACCTGCCAGCACGCCCAGCTAATTTTCCTATTTTTAGTAGAGACAGGGTTTCACCATGTTGGCCAGGCTGGTCTGGAACTCCTGACCTCATGTGATCTGCCTGCCTCAGCCTCCCAAAGTGTTGGGATTACAGGCGTACTTTTTTAGATTTATGTGCCCAGAG
Source organism: Homo sapiens (assembly GCF_000001405.40). Lineage (NCBI taxonomy): Eukaryota > Metazoa > Chordata > Mammalia > Primates > Hominidae > Homo > Homo sapiens. The sequence goes on along the minus strand of NC_000011.10, from coordinate 126,255,662 downwards.
GTCATTGTGCAAAGAGTAGGTCTTCATATATCTTAATCCTTCCATTTCTGGACCATATTTGCCTTTGTCTCACAAACTGAACTGTGAATCACCAGAGAAGATAATTCCATCATCGGATTTGCTCAAGGAAAGGCGTTTGATACTTAGAACATCAGTATGTGTGTGTGTGTGTATACATATACACACACAAAAACACAGAAATGACTGCCTAAGGGATCACTCAATGTCAGAGATGGATGCAGTTATGGCAGATGTTGGGAAAGAATGGGTAAAAAGAAAAAAAAGTCCCTTGTGCTTTAGACAATACATTTTCTCGGTCTTTTGCCTCATTATTAAAAGATGCTATAATCTATATGACCCAGTCCTGAAAACAGCAAACAAGATTCTTAGAGCTGGGGGCAGCGAATACTTCTGGTTTGAACATGTTTATCTGAACAAGTCGAAAATGTGCATCCCAAAAGATCAATAAGCTTTTCACAAAGAGTAAGTGTGAATAAATGTGGTTAATTCAATATAAGCCCATTGCCATTTATACAAAGTCTCTTTAGAATGTATTCTCTAGTAGTGGTTGGTTTGTTAAGAAGCTGCCTCAATTATTTCTGACACAGAGAGGGCTATTAATAAACCAAATGATGATAAAGGGTACTAATGTATCCTTTGTATGTGAAGATGATGCCAATGATGACATGCCATCTGCTGGTTGTCAATTAAGTACAAACAAAGATCATAGGGTTTGACACCTTAAGAGAAATTCTACATTTCCTAGACAGCATGCACACCCATAAGTTAAGAAGCACAGGAAGAACGTCTGACTTTCCAGTTTCTTTCTTTTTTTAGAGATAGGGCCTTGCTCTGTCACCCAAGCTGGAGTGCAGTGGCTCTAGACACAGCTCACTACAGCCTTATATTCCTAGTCTCAACTAATCTTCCTGCCTCAGCCTCCCAAGTAGCTGGGACAGCATGCACCATGATGCCTAGCTAATTTTATTTTTGTAAAGACAAGAGTCTCGCTATGTTGCCCAGGCTGGTCTCGAACTCCTGGCCTCAGGTGATCCTCTCCCCTTGGCCTCCCAAAGTGTTGGGATTATAGGCATGAGCCACTGCTCCTAGCCCCTGACCTTCCGTTTTCACTTAATGAAAAGAAGATGTTCCCCTTTAAGATCTATGGCATATTTAGAGAGATTTCCCAGGAAGGAGTTCCTGAGACCAGCAAGATCAGCCCCACTCACCATGACTTCAGTGTTCCTGAGCACGTTCTGATATCCAGCCGGATGAAGGACAATGCCACTAGGGTTGGTGTAGACTCCGTGAATATGCAACACGCTCAGCTTACGCTTCTCCTGAGCCCACTCGAGGACCTGCACAACACACATATAGCCCAACCAGCTTGGCAGGGCTGAGCACCTGTTTAAAGGTCACAATGGGCAAGAGGCTGTTTTGAGGACTAGACTTCTGACATAAACTCTCTAGCTTCATGATATAGGACAAGAATGCAAAACCTGATGTGGTCTAAGTTTCCACTTCAGGAATGACTGTCAAGAATGATGGCAACAAATTTGGTGATTTCTCTTTGAAAGTAAGCATCAAAAATCACAATTTGTCATAATTTGCAGAAACAACAGGGACCCTTTGCACTGGTGGCATGCATGAGAGCTATGGACAACTGCTTCAGTGATCGCCCCAAGAAATCAAGCCTCTGTATCCAGGCCCTTGTGTGGCCCCTCTTCGGAGTGACTCCAGGCTAACCACATGGCTTGCTTTTAGCCAATGGGATACTAGCAAACACACACAAGCAGAAGCTTGAAAAGTGTTGGCACAAGAAGTCTTACTTCTCTTGTGTTACTTTTGGAATCCAGCTGCCATGCGAAGAAAGTGAAGAAGCCTGGGCTAGCCTGCTGGGACATATATGGCCTGGCCAATTGCTTGCAGGGAAGTATGGTCCCCTTATATCACTCAGCCCTGGTGCGGCCATCAGATGTCTGCAGGTATGTGAAGAGGGTGCAAAAATCAGCAGAAAAAATGCCTGGCTGAGTCACTGAGCCCAGTTCAAATTGTTAATATACTTTATCATGGGCAGATAAGATATTTGTTGTTACAAGCCACAAAGTTTCACGGCCATTACTTGTACAGCAATAGATAAGTGATAGAAAAATCACTTCAGTCACCTCTGAGGAACCTAAAAGGCTGCCAGCGAAGAACAATCATTTAGACAACAGCGAATGCAATAGCCACCTGATTCCATGGCTCCATTTTCCCAAGGACTGGAGACAGCATACATTTATTCTTATCACATTTTGGAGAAATAGGCTATGAATCAGGAAAGTAGTCAAGAGGCACCGAGATTTAGAATTTGAATGTTACTAGGCCCCATTCTGACTACCAGTCAATGTCTTTAACCATTAGACTGCAACACTGCCCCTAATGTGGGCTGAAAATACAATGCAAATCTTGAGGCCCAAGGATGAAATGAGAAGGAAAACATCAAATGTGATAGATATCCTCAGCTTTTAAAAGGTCCTTATGCTTCTGATATCCATGAACACACTTGGTCATAATCTTTGGAAATTTTATCACAAATAGCATAGAAGCTGCTAGTTTTAAAATTTCAATCATTTGTTTGTTTGTTTTTAGACAGAGTCTTGGTCTGTTGCCCAGATTGGAGCACAGTGGCGCAATCTTGGCTCACTGAAACCTCTGCCTCCTGGGTTCAAATGATTCTCCTGCCTCAGCCTCCCAAGTAACTGGGATTACAGGCGTGCACCACCACTCCCAGCTAGTTTTTGTATTCTTAGTAAAGACGGGGTTTCACCATGTTGGACAGGCTGGTCTCAAAATCCTGACCTCAAGTGATCCACCCACCTCGGCCACCCAAAATGCTGGGATTACAGACGTGAACCACTGTGCCCAGCCTATTTATTTAGAGACATGATCTTATGCTGTCACCCAGGCTGGAGTGCAACAGTGTGATCACAACTCACTGTAGCCTCGACTGCCTCAGCTCAATCGATCGTCCTGCTTCAGCCTCCCAAGTAGCTGGGACCACAGGCAAACACCACCATGCCCGGCTAATTTTTAAACTTTTTGTAGAGATGGGGTCTTGCTATGATGCCCAGGTTGGTCTTGAACTAGGCTCAAGTGATCCTCCCGCCTCAGCTTCCCAAAGTGCTGGGGTTACAGGCCTGAGCTGCTGTGCCCAGCCCAATCATTTATTAATCAAAAAAATATTTACCAAGCACCTAACTGTCATATTTGAGACATGAGGGTTGTATTTGAGTTATGAGGGTAAGAAAGACTAACATGATACCTATCCAAGTGAAGTTACTATTCCTATGGGGTAAACAGTCAGAAAACAGATAAACAGCCAAGATAAAAACTGTGCTGGGTGTGGTGGCTCATGCCTGTAATCCCAGCACTTTGGGAGGCTAAGGTGGGCAGATCACCTGAGGTCAGGAGTTCGAGACCAGCCTGGCCAACATGGTGAAACCCTGTCTCTACTGAAAATACAAAAATTAGCCAGACGTGATGGCGGGTGCCTGTAATCCCAGCTATTCGGGACGCTGAGGCAGGAGAATCGCTTGAACCCAGGAGGAGGAGGTTGCAGTGAGCTGAGATCATGCCATTGCACTTCAGCCTGGGCGACAAGAGCAAAACTCCATCTCAAAACAAAACAAAACAAAACAAAACAAAACGGCCAGGCACATGCCTGTAATCCCAGTACTTTGGGAGGCTGAGGTTAGCAGATCACCTGAGGTCAGGAGTTTGAGACTAGCCTGACCAACATGGAGAAACCCCGTCTCTACCAAAAATACAAAATTAGCCGGGCGTTGTGGCACATGCCTGTAATCCCAGCTACTCAGGAGGGTGAGGCAGGAGAATCACTTGAACCCAGGGCAACAAGAGCGAAACTGTCTCTCAAAAAAAAAAAAAAAAAGCTGCAAGTTAATACTAAGTGCTACAAAGGAAACGGACAAGAGACTGGATAAAAAAAATAAGTATCCAATTTAAATAGGATGGTCAGAGAAGGTCTCTCAGGAGGGGATCCCTAGGTTGAGAGTTATAAATGAAGAAGGAGCTGACCATACAGAATATGAGGGCGTAGGCGGAAGACACTTGGACCAGAGAAAACTAGTCTTCATGGGGCAGCTTTTCTCTAAATTCAATTCCCTTTAAATCCTGCCATCAAGGTCAGCAAAACCACAAGAGTGGTATTTCAGCTACCACTCTGGCAGGGGCAATACTGTAGTACTGAATGCCAGCAGGCAAATCACTTGTCTATTCAACTCTACTTAGTTGGGCTCTAAATTGGACATAAAGGCAGATTCCTGAGGAAAACAAAGTGTAGGAAAAAACATTACAAAAATCACAGAGTAGGACCAATGAGACTTTAAGAACTCATCTCATTAGCTGACACAGATCAACATCTATAATTCAATAATTATGGTAGGTACAGTATAGACTATGCTAAAACAAAGTCTGCTGAGGTTTCCACTAAACATTAACCTCAATTCAGCCATCGCTTGGCCTGGAAGTTGTTCTTCCAATCAGTATAAAGTAGTTTTCATACATTTCCAATAGATGCCATAAAAAAAGGTATCCTAAAATAGAACCAGCATTATCAATATTACACCACTGAATACTGTCAAGTGCTAAAGAGATCTTACAGTTCAAGTGACTTCCTCTAATCTTGCTTTAAAACTGGATGAAATTGTCAAGAGTCATAGAACTGAACACTTTTAAGTTCTATGCATTTTACTGTATATTGATTTGATCTTTAAAAAGAAAGAAAAAAGAAAAACAAAAACTCCAACCAGGGAAAAAATTTTTCCTTTCTAGCTCTACATAAATACCAATATACCAACTAGAAAAGAGCTTTTCTGAGGAAGATAAAATCCACTAGCCTGAAGAAGGGACCAATGCTTTACTTTTTACCTTTTTCTCATCAGTAAGGTCAAGGGATTCAAGCTGTTTCCCCTGATCTGCTGCATACAGTTCCAAGAGATTATCAAAATTTGTAGTTAATACGAGGGCTCCATTTTCCATCAGGTGGAGAACTGACTGAAGTAGCTGTTTTCCAGAATCTTCCATCTTTGACTCCAAGTCATCAAATACTTCATATAAACAGTCCTTGAAAAATGTGGATCGAACATTACTGGTACGCTGAGGAGGGATTTGAAAAAAGAAAATTAGTCCAAAGTGCTTTGGTAGGTCAGTTGTTTTAGTTACAGCAGTAACAAATTTTGGAAGAATATTTTGAATTCAAAACAGAGATAAAGGCCAGGCGCAGTGGCTCACGCCTGTAATCCCAGCACTTTGGGAGACCGAGGCGGGCGGATCACGAGGTCAGGAGATCGAGACCATCCTGGCTAACACGGTGAAACCCCGTCTCTACTAAAAATAAAAAAAATTAGCAGGGCGTGGTGACAGGCGCCTGTAGTCCCAGCTACTTGGGAGGCTGAGGCAGGAGAATGGTGTGAACCCAGGAGGCGGAGCTTGCAGTGAGCCGAGATCGCGTCACTGCACTCCAGCCTGGGCGACGGAGCGAGACTCCATCTCAAAAAAAAAAAAAAAAATCCCGGGGATAAAATATTATCTATCTCATACGAACGTAATAAGGAAGATGAGATGATACATGCCAAGTGCTTAGCACAATGCTTAGCAGATAGCAAGTGCTACTATACGTAAGCTTCCTAAAATAGGCATTTTTATAGAATGAAGAAAATAAACCTGGCCAAGGGATATGAATTTACTGTCGGTATTAAAGGGAAGCTGGGGTACAAAGCAGAGCGACAACTACCCTCTCATGAGGTGCCAGGTAAGAAGGCAACACTTTCCGTTCATCTTGCCTTATGTAGGGAAACGCCACTGAGACACAGCCCTAATTGTGGTTTGGCATCTCCTTTTCTTTTTCTTTTTTTTTTTTTTTTTTTTTTTGAGACGGAGTCTCATTCTGTCACCCAGGCTGGAGTGCAGTGGCGTGATCTCGGCTCACTGCAACCTCCGCCCCGCCAGGTTCAAGCAATTCTCCTGCCTCAGCTTCCCAAGTAGCTGGGATTACAGGCGCCTGCCACTGTGCTCAGCTAATTTTTGTATTTTTAGTAGAGACGGGGTTTCACCATCTTGGCCAGGCTGGTCTTGAACTCCTGACCTTGTGATCCACTCACCTCAGCCTCCCAAAGTGCTGGGATTACAGGTGTGAGCTACCACACCCAGCCTCAGCATCTCCTTTTCTAATCCTAGGTGTTTGTACAGCTGTTTATGAATTTAGGAAAAACTGCTTAACTTCTACATGCCATAATTCAGCAGTTCATAGGTTTATTCTGAAGAATATCCAGTATACAAAAGGTTAACGTAAACAATTTAATACGTTTTTTAAATTAAAAATTTGCATTTTGCAACTGTTGAAAACATCAAACACCAATCAGTTCTAAACAGAATCCCAATGTCTTGTTTTGCAGATGTGAGGTCTGGCTATGTTGTCCAGGTAGGTCTTGAATTCCTGGGATCTCAAGTGATCCTCCCACCTCAGCCTCCCAAAGTGTTGGGATTATGGGTATCAGCCACTTTTCCAGACCTCCTACTTCTTAACATACGGCTTACTTAAATAACTGCTTTTCAGATTCATTTTGAATACATGTAAATATCCCTGAGTACTAATGAGGAACTATAATACCAACTTCAGGTGGGAAACTGGCTTTACAACTGAAAAGACAAAGTGGCTCTTGGGACGAAGGGAATTTGAAATGGGAAAGTAACTATGTAATGTGATGTAATATCTGATCCCTAGCCTGTCTGTGAAATGCCATTTGCTAGGGTTTGGACTGGTCCCCTAACGTTCATGTGTTGGAAACTTAACCCCAACGGAACTGTGTTGGGAGGCGAGACCTAGTAAGACGTGATTAAGTCACGAGGGCCGTGCCTCCATGAATTGATTAATGTCATTATTGCAGGAGTAGATTTGTTATCCTAAGTGTGTCAGTTATAAAAGCGAGTCTGGGCCGGGCGTGCTGGCTCACGCCTGTAATCCCAGCACTTTGGGAGGCCAAGGCGGGTGGATCACGAGGTCAAGAGATCGAGACCATCCTGGCCAACATGGTGAAACCCCATCTCTCTACTAAAAATAAAAAAATTAGCTGGGCGTGGTGGTGGTGCCTGTAGTGCCAGCTACTCGGGAGGCTGAGGCAGGAGAATCGCTTGAATCCGGGAGGCAGAGGTTGTAGTGAGCCAAGATCGCACCATTGCACTCCAGCCTGGGCAACAAGAGCGAAACTCCATCTCAAAAAAAAAAAAAAAAAAAAAAAAAAAAAGTCAACTACTATTGAAGGTCAGATACTTTTTTAGATTTGTTATAAAAAATATGGTGCTCTTTTCTTGTCTACCCAAATCACAAATCCATTTGCCCTATGATCTAGCAGTCACATGTATCCTACAAATACAATTTCAAACAAATGAAATGACACATATGAGGTTATCACTGCATCATTATTTTATTTTATTTTTTATTTATTTTTATTTTTCTTGAGACAGAGTCTTGCTCTGTTGCCCAGCCTGGAGTGCAATGGCGTGATTTTGGCTCACTGCAACCTCTGCCTCTCTGGTTCAGGTGATTCTCCTGATTCATCCTCCCGAGTAGCTGGGACTACAGGTGCGTGCCACCACGCCTTGTATATATATATACAATATATATAATGTATTGATAGTGTGTGTCTGTGAGTCAGAGTACAAAAATATATATATAGATATACGTATCTATATAGATATACGTATATCTATATATATATATAGATATATATATATATTTTTTTTTTGAGATGGAGTCTCGATCTGTCACCCAGGCTGGAGTGCAGTGGCGTGGTCTCAGCTCACTGCAACCTCCGCCTCCTGGGTTCAAGCAATTCCCCTGCCTCAGCCTCCCGAGTAGCTGGGATTACAGGTGCCTGCCACCACGCCAGGCTAATTTTTTGTGTTTTTAGTAGAGATGGGTTTCACCATGTTGGCTAGGCTGGTCTTGAACTTCTGACCTTGTGATCTGCCCGCCTCGGCCTCCCAAAGTGTTGGGATTGCAGGCGTGAGCCACCGCGCTGGCAAATACGTACTACATTTTAACACCAGTTTTATTATTACACACACCGATAAAAAGGCCTGGGTATACAATCACATAATCATGGGTGTGGAACATATTTTCTTGCTTCTAAGAAAAAGAATAGAAAAGGTTAAAACCTGGGGGGAAAAAAATCCAGGTCACTTATTTTAATTAAGTATCTTTTAGACCTATTTAAGCTACTAAATCCTACATATCAACATAGGAAGGAAATATGATTCTGCAACTGCATTGATTTCCTCAAGATTCAAAATGGAAGTTTGTCTCTTTTTTTGAGAGAAAGTCTGGCTCTGTCACCAAGCTGGAGTACAGTGGCATGAACGTGGCTCATTGCAGCCTTGACCTGCTGGGCTCAAGCAATCTTCCTGCCTCAGTCTCCCAAGTGGCTAGGACTACAGGCGCACACCACCACGCCGACTACTTTTTAAATTTTTCGTACAGACAGGGTCTCACTATGTTGCCCAAGCTGTTCTCAAACTTCTGGCCTCAAGTGATCCTCTTGCCTCAGCCTCCTGTGTAGGTGGGACCACAGGCGTGTACCACCACACTAGGCTAATTTTAAAATTTGTGTAGAGATAGGGGGTCCCGCTTTGTTTCCCAGGCTGGAAAGTTTTTTTCTCTTAAAGCAGATGACCCTAGAACTAAATTTGCCACCAGTGGCCTTTATAAGCAAAGACAAAGGAATGAAAACATAAACAGGGAGGCTCAGTAGTCAGAAGGAAATGCCAAACTCCCACACAACTTCTAAGGGCCTTTTCCCATTCATCTAAAACAGTGACCTTCATTTCCTTCTACCCTGAAACTTAGTAAAAACAAGAAACAAAAAATTGGCATGGTAGCTCAAGCCTGTAATCTCAGTTTTTGGGAAGCTGAAACAGGAAGATCACTTGAGCCCAGGAGTTCAACACCAGCCTGGGCAACACAGGGAGACCCCATTTCTATTTAAAAAAAGAAAGAAAAAAAACCTGTTCCCCCACCGCCTCCCGCCCCAGGGTTATTAACATTTCTAGTGCATCAACTATGTGCCAGACATTTTATACACATTATCTCACCTATTCTTCACAAAGCGACACAAGGAAGTAATATCCCAGTTTCACAGGTGCAAAAACAGATGTTGACAAGTTAAGGGATTTGTGCAGGGTTCCAGTGCATTTAAGTGGCAGAGTCTGATTCCAAAACCTAAGCTCTTTGCAGTGAATCTGTAATGTCACTTCCCCAGTATACATTAAACTGGCTCGGTAGATAGGCCTGTTAACCCTGCCATAGTACTGCTGAGTTGATACTGTTAGATTTGATTCTTTTCTAATATGGACATTTCCAAACACACACAAAAGTCAGAAAAGTACATACAAAACAAAAACATAATCGCAATACTTCTATCTCACCTAAAAAATATTAATGTCTTAATATTAGTGTTTAAATTTCCCCTAAATATATCATTTTTATTATTAAGTTGTAATAGTTCTTTATATATTCTGGATACTAGATTTTTGTCAAATATGATCTACAAATAATTTCCTCCATTCTGTGGGTTCTCTTTTCTTTCTTTCTTTCTTTTTTTTTTTTTTGGGACGGAGTCTCGTACCTGTTGCCCAGGCTGGAGTGCAATGGCGCTATCTCGGCTCACTGCAACCTCCGCCTCCCGGGTTCAAGCAATTCTCCTGCCTCAGCCTCCCCAGTAGCTGTGACTACAGGCATGCGCCACCACGCCCAGCTAATTATGTATTTTTATTAGAGATGGGGTTTCACCATGTTGGCCAGGCTGGTCTCGAACTTCCGACCTCAGGTGATCCGCCTGCCTTGGCCACCCAAATTGCTGGGATTACAGGAGTTAGCCACTGCGCTCGGCCTCATTTTTTTTTCTTTTTTAGAGCCGAGGGTCTCACTATGTTGCCCAGGCTGAGGTACAATGACATGATCATAGCTGATTGCAGCCTCGAACTCCTGGGATCAAATGATCCTCCTACCTCAGCCTCCCAAGTAGTTGGGATTACAGGTACAAGCCACTGTGCCTGGCTCTGTTTTCACTTTCTTGATGACAACCATTACAGCACTTCCGTTTCAAAGTCTCATCATGTCCAATTTATCTAGTTTTCTTCTGTTGCTGGTGCCTTCAGTGTCTGATCTGAGAATCCTTTGCCATGCTGCCTTAGTTACTGTGGCTCTGTAGTAAGCTTTGAAAGAAAAAAAAATTTGAGTCTCCCTACTTTGTTCTTTTTCAAGACGGTCTTGGCTACCCTAGGTCCCTTGTAATTTCATATGAAGTTTTAATTTTTTTTTTTAGAGACAGGGTCTCACTATGTTGCCCAGGCTAGAGTGCAGTGGCTATTCAGACGCAATCCCACTACTGATCAGCATGAGAGTTTTGACCTGCTCCATTTCCAATCTGTGTTTGTTCACCCCTCTTTAGGCAACCTGGTGGTCCCCTGCTCCTGGGAGCCCAGAACTCCTGGGCTCAAGCCCTCCAGCAATCCTCCTGCCTCAGCCTCCCAAGTAGATGGGACTACAGGTGCATGCCATGGTGCCTGGCCCCATATGAATTTTAAATCAGTTTGTCAATTTCTACAAAATCAGCAGCTGGATCCTAATAGGGACCATGCTTAATCTGTAGACCAATTTGCAGAGTATTCCATCTTAATAATATTAAGTCTTCTGATTCAGGAACATGGCATGTCTTTCCATTTATTTAGATCTTCTTTCATTTCTTTCAGTGTTTTGTAGTTTTCAAAGCATAAGTTCTCCACTTATTTATTTATTTTTTGAGATGGAGTTTCGCTCTTGTTGCCCAGGCTGGAGTGCAGTGGAGGGATCCTGGCTCGCTGCAACCTCTGCTCCCAGGTTCAAGTGATTCTCCTGCCTCCACCTCCCGAGTAGCTGGGATTATAGGCACCCGCCATCATGCTCAGCTAATTTTTGTATTTTTAGTAGAGACGGGGTTTCACCATGTTGGCCAGGCTGGTCTCTACCTCCCGACCTCAGGTGATCCGCCCACCTCGGCCTCCCAAAGCGCTGAGACAACAGGCATGGGCCACCACGCCTAGCCTTCTGTACTTCTTTCGTTAAATTTATTCCTAGCTATTTTACTATTTTTGATGCCAAGTGGAAGAATTTTTAATATTTCATTTTAGTATTGTTCACTGCAAGTGTATAAAAATACTATTTTTATATATTGATCCCGGATTCTCCAACCTTGCTAAGCTTGTTAGTTCTAATAGAGGATAACCTAGGATCTTCTATAGACTAGATCATCACATCTGCAAACAGAGGCAGTTTACTTCTTCCTTTCCAATATGGATTCCTTTAGTTTTCTTGCTTAACTGCCCGGTCTAGAACATCCAGCACCATGTTGGACAGGAGTGGAGTGGGAAAACAGCCTTGTCTTGCTGCTGATCTTAGTGGAAAAAATCCAGTCTTTCACCATTAAATATGTTAACTGTGAGTTTTTCATATACGGTCTTTATCGTGTTGAGGTAGTTACCTTCTATTGTTTGCTATTATTCCTTCATTTGTAGAGTGTGGCTTTTTTAAAAAAAATCATGAAAGAGTGTTGCATTTTGCTAACATGTTTTTTCTGCACCTACTGAGAAAATCATGTGGTTTTGTCTTTTATCCTATTGATATGATGCATTATATTGATATGCAGACTTTTTTTTTTTTTTTTGAGACGGAGTCTTGCTCTGTCGTCCAGGCTGTAGTGCAGTGGTGCGATCTTGGCTCACTGCAGCCCCTGCCTCCCGGGTTCCAGCAATTCTCCTGCCTCAGCCTCCTGGGTAGCTGGGATTACAGGCATGCACTACCATGCCCAGCTAATTTTTGTATTTTTAGTAGAGACAGGGTTTTGCCATGTTGGTCCGGCTGATCTCGAACTCCTGACCTCAAGTGATCTGCCCACCTTGGCTTCCCAAAGTGCTAGGATTACAGGTGTGAGCCACCGCACCTGGCCTGATATGCAGATGTTAAACCAACCTTTCATTCCCCAGAAGACTCTGACTTCCTCATGGGTACTGCATTCAGTCTGGTTGTACTTTGTTGAGGATTTTTGTGTCCATGTTCCTAAGAGATCCTGGCTGGTTTGTAGTTTTCCTTTTTTTTTTTTAGAGGCAGACAGGGTCTTGCTCTGTCACCGAGACTGCAGTGCAGTAGCACGATCACAGCTCAGTGGAGTCTTGAACTCCAGGGCCCAAGTGATGCTTGTGCCTCATCCTTCCAAAGCGTTGGGCTTACAGGCCTGAACCACTGTGTTTAGTCATTTTCATTTCTTCTGATGTCTTTTGTTTGGTTTTGTTATCAGGATAATATGGGCCTCATACAATGAGTTGGAAGTACTCCCTCCTACTCTATTTTTTAGCATAGTTTGGGAAGAATTTCCTCTAGCCCTGTCAAGCAATAATCTACTTTCTGTTCTATGGATTTGCCTGTTCTGGACATTTTATATGAATGGAATCATACAATATATGTCCTTTTGTGTCTGGCTTCTTTTACTTAATGTTTTCAAGGTTCATCCATGTTGTTGTATGGGACGAGCACTTCATTCCTTTTAATGGCCAATTAACATTGCATGGACAGACATTTTGTTTCTCCATTCATGAACTAGACATTTGAGTTGTTTCCACTATTTTGGCTATTATGAATAACGTTGCTATGAACATGAGTGTACAGTTGCTGCATGAATATGCTTTCCATTCGCTTAGGTATATACTTATGAGTGCAGTTGCTGGTTCATAGAATCACTGTTCAACTTTTTGAGGAACTGCCAATCTGTTTTCCAAAGCAACTGCATCACTTTACATTCCCACAAAGGTTCCAATTTCTCCACATCCTTAATAACACTTATTATTGTCTTCTTGATTCTAGTCATGCCAGCGGGTGTGAAATGGCACCTTGTTGTGGTTTTGATTTGTATTTTCCTAATGACTAATGACGCTGAACATCTTTTCGTATGCACTTATTGGCCGTTTGTGTATCTTCTTTGGAGAAATGTCTATTCAACTACATCGTTATTTTAAAATTGAATTATTAGCCTTTATTAAGTTACAGTAGTTCTTTATAGATTCTGGATATTATACGCCTATGAGATATGTGATTTGCTAACATTTTCTCATTCTGGAAGCTGTCTTTTCACTTTTTTTTTTCTTTTGGTAGAGACAGGGTCTCACTATGTTGTCCAGGCTGGTCTTGAACTCATGCCCTCAAGCAGTTCTCCTGCCTTGGCCTCCCAAAGTTCTGGGATTATAGGCATGAGCCACCATCCCCGGCTCACTTTCTTGACAGTGTCCTTTCAGCCTAACAGTTTTTAACTTTGGAGAAGTCCAGTTTATCTATATTTTTTTTTACTTTAGTTTTTTGCATTTTTGGTGTCATGTCTAAAAAACCACTGCCAGATCCAGTCATGAAATTTTAAATCTGTATTTTCTTCTAAGAGTTTTACAGTTTTAGGTATCATATTTAGGTCTTTGATCCATTTTTAATTTTTATAAAGTGTATGGAGATTCCATGAACTCTTTAAAACCCCATTAATTCCTTTTTTTTTTTTTTTTTTTGAGACGGAGTCTTCCTCTGTCGCCCAGGCTGGAGTGCAGTGGCGCGACCGCAACTCAGTGCAACCTCCACCTCCCGGGTTCAAGCCATTCTCCTGCCTCAGCCTCCTGAGCAGCTGGGATTACAGGTGCCCACCACGCCTGGCCCTAGAAGCCTGATTTTTAAGATTTTAAAACAGGCTGGGTGCAGTGGCTCATGCCTATAATCCCAGCACTTTGTGAGGCTGAGGTGGGCAGATCACTTGAGGTCAGAAGTTCGAGACCAGCTTGACCAACATGGCAAAACCCTGTCTCTACTAAAAATACAAAAATTAGCTGGGCATGGTGGCACATGCCTGTAATCCCACCTACTCAGGAGGCTGAGACAGGAGAATCGCTTGAACCCAGGAGGCGGAGGCTGCCATGAGGCGAGATCGAACCACTGAACTTCAGCCTGGGTGACAAGAAGAAGATTCCATCAAAAAATAAATAAATAAATAAATAAATTTTCAGACAAAGCAAGACAGGGAGTCCTTTTATCCAACTCAGTTTGGTAAAATAAGGTGCAATTCCTTCTAAATATTTTGACTTATTACCTCTAAAAAGAACACTAAAAACTGGTTTTGTTTCATGTATAAAATGATAAAATTATCTCCAATCTTTGTGGGATTCCATACAAGGCATGGATGCCACAGAACACAGCTTTTATAGTAGTGATGCAGGAAAAAAATAAATTCAAAACACAGTGGTAATTTGTACATATAAAGTCCTCAACATCATTTCTCTCTCATAGACACACAGTGAAATGGGGTTAAGACAACTGTCCTGAGTAGGGTCCATAAACAGACATTGCGCAGAAGAGTCAAATGTTATGGAAACCTACAAGCTGTAAATGAATATCCCTGTTACATTTGGCATGCTAGTTTTGACAGCCAAATCATGCTAGTTGTGATAGTTAAATTTTAGGAAATTCCAAATACTGTGGCACATACTAGGGTACTCACAGGAGAGAGTTTCTGGATAAGGTCATGGGCAACATGGACCAGGTTCTTGTCTTCATGGAGACATTTCTGAAACTTTTTGCTCTCCTCATCTTCTAAAAGATCAAAATCAATGGCAGCATCCAGTAAGGCCTGAATTAACCCCTTCCAGGATTTGAGGGCTGGAACTTGGGGCGCAACTGCAGCACTAATGCCTGTTCCAATCACTAGCACAAGTTCTCGAGGCTTCTTAGTTTTTAAGCTTGGAAGCAGCTTCCTATAAAAGCAAAACAAATGAGAGGATTGGAATATCCAATAGATATGAGGCACACAGAAAGACTGTCTGACTCAGGTTACAGTTTTTAGCTAACTTTTATAGTTGCAAAGAAGATGAACAGCAGTTTTTGACACCTTTCCAAAGCAGTTTAAAGAAAACAACCAGAATATTGTGTCAGTGCTTGCTGAAAAACAAGTCATAAACCTATTTCAGGAATCCCAAAACCAATCTTAAAATCAGTTTTCCCTTCCTAGTCCTCTCAACCTAAGAAATTCCACTAATATTAGGAAAAGATCCAAATAGACTATAGCTCAGCTGACTTCTGCCAACTAAATTATATTTTAAACCAGTATTAAATTTCAAAAGAAGACGTTTGATTTGTACTCTAGAAAAAGAGAAAAGAACCCCAGGACAAATTAAGTTCCTATTATTGAGAAATGTAAAACACTAGGGGAAAGGCAATACAAAATTTAATTCTGAATTTTGTAAACATTAACCTCAGGCAAAAAAAAAAAAGAAAAAAAAAGTGGCCAATAGAATTCTGAAAACACAGGGGCCCTACATACCTAAATAAAGACATTAACTAATCAAAGGACATGACAAAAAGTGAAAAACATTCCTTTCTTACCATGATAAGCAGAGACAGACTTCTCTGTTCTGAGGCCCATATGTGAGACAGCATGGGTGCTAATTTTTGTTTTTGTTCCCCTCTCTTTCATTCTGGAGACTATCCCTGCTTGAAATATGTTCCTTCACATTAATTTTTGCTGATGGCATGTTCCCCTCCCCTGAAAATGGCTTCTCCCCAACCTTTTTGTCTAAATAATAAAATGGAGAGGATCAGCATTTTGGCATAACTCAAGAAAGGAATAGCACTTTCAAGCCTTGGGAAACCTGGTTTTGGGGACACAGCCTCTAAAACTGCTTTCCCTAACCCGAGCTTCTGCATTCAGTCATTCAACAAATATGAAAAACCGAGGCCAGGAGCAGTGGCTCACGCCTGTAATCCCAGCACTTTGGGGGGCCAAGGTGGGCTGATTACTTGAGGTCAGGAGTTCAAGACCAGCCTGGCCAACATGGTGAAACTCTGTGTCTACTAAAAATACAAAAATTAGCTGGGTCTGGTGGCGCACACCTGTAGTCCCAGCTACTAGGGAGGCTGAGGCAGGAAAGGAAAACCTGTATGTACCAGACACTACGGGAGTCATGTATCCATGAACAAAATGGAGTCCCTGATCTTGAAAGATCAGTCTACTAGAAAAGACATTAATAATAGATGTTAGAAGCAAATGATGAAAAATGAGTTTCAGTTCAGAGCAATCAAGATAGTGAAGCATACACAAATCCACATAAACAAATATACACACACATAGAAAATTTCTAGGATTCACAAGATGTATAAATAGTGGTTAAATGGGGATAGCAGAGAATAAGGACTTTTTACTTTTCATTTTATACTGTTGTACTGTATTTTTTTATATAACATACAGATTTGAA
Organism: Homo sapiens; assembly: GCF_000001405.40. NCBI lineage: Eukaryota > Metazoa > Chordata > Mammalia > Primates > Hominidae > Homo > Homo sapiens. Next base: position 126,239,294 of record NC_000011.10, on the reverse strand, counting down.
CTATAATTCTTCCTAATTAAGACTTCCAATTTGGCTAAGTGCAGTGGTTCATGCCTGTAATCTCAGCACTTTAGGAGGCTGAGCTTGAGCCCAGGAGTTTGAGACAAGCCTAGGCAACTTAGTGAGACCCCATCTCTGCCAAACAAAGAAAGAACGAAAAAGAAAATTAGGCACGTCTGTAGTCCCAGCTACCTGGGAGGCTAAGTTCACGGGAGGATCACGTGAGCCCAGGAGGCTGAGGTTGCAGTGAGCTGTGTTTGTGCCACTGCACTCCAGCCTGGGTGACAGAACAAGACCTTGTCTCGAAAAAAAAAAAAAAAAAGACTTCCACTTAAAAATAAAACATTTAACAATTGTGTTTTATTACTGGTTCTTTGTAAACCACCAAATAATAGTTACTTTTTTTTTTTAGCGGGTATATATACCTAAAAAGTAGGCTAGGTAAAGATGACAGCAGACAACAGAGGTCAAAGGGCAACAACATTTTACCAATTGTAATGCAAAGGCCGATTCCCTTGGTAGAATTTTGGGAATGTTCATGTACATCTAAAGGTAGAGGGGCTGGTGGGGCTAAAATAGGAGAATCAGTTACAAGCCTTTAACAGTTACAACTTTCAGCAGGCTAGAGGTTTCCCTTCTGCAGAGGTTGACCAGAGGACTATATCTGAGAACACTGCACACAGCTGAGGGTGGGGATTAAGTAAAAGTCTGTATATAAAATACAAGATTTCCCCCAACTCTCTTTCCCCAGAGGAAGCTTTTCAGACTCTAGGAATCAACTCTGTACCTGCACCCCTATCCCCCATCCAGTTAGGAAATGAGGACGATTCCTCTTTCAGGAAAATGGCCAGTATGAGATGAAAAACCTGCAGATTCTGACAGGTGGGAATTCCTTAACTCTACATAGAGTCTGGGACCAAGCCCCTTATGTACACACAGATTCTCCAACTGGCTTTTTTTTTTGAGATGGAATCTCGTAATCTTGGCTCACTGCAACCTCTGCCTCCTGGGTTCAAGTGATTCTCTTGCTTCAGCCTCCCGAGTAGCTGGGATTACAGGCACGTGCCACCACACCCAGCCAATTTTTGTATTTTTAGTAGAGACGGGGTTTCACCAGGTTGGCCAGGCTGGTCTCAAACTCCTGACCTCAAGTGATCCGCCTGCCTTGGCCTCCCAAAGTGCTGGGATTACAGGCGTGAGCCACCGCACCCGGCCTCTTCCATTGGCTTTTTGGTGTTTTCTGTTAAAAATGGGCAGACAAACAAGGGTCACCTCACATCTGAGGAAAGCCCCCAACATAACAGTTATACCAAACAAACTAGCAGGTAGAGAGAAATCTGAAGGAAATAAGAGATAGTATGGGAAGGAGAAAAAAAAATTAAAAGAAAACAATGATATCCTCACATATATTTTTTCTTTTCTTTTTTTTTTTTTTTTTGGAGACGGAGTCTAGCTTTGTTGCCAGGCTGGAGTGCAGTGACACAATCTCAGCTCACTGCAACCTCCGCCTCCCAGGTTCAAGTGATTCTCCTGCCTCAGCCTCCCGAGTAGCTGGGATTACAGGCACGCGCCACCACGCCCCGCTAATTTTTTTTTTTTTTTTTTTTTTTTTTTAGTAGAGACAGGGTTTCACTATGTTACCCAGGTACCCAGGATGGTCTCGATCTCCTGACCTCACGATCTGCCCACCTCAGCCTCCCAAAGTGCTGGGATGACAGGCGTGAGCCACCGAGCCTGGCCTAGATTTTTTTAAAATTGGCCAGGTGGGGTGGCTCACGCCTGTCATCCCAGCACTTTGGGAGGCCAAGGCAGGTGGATCACTTGAGGTCAGGAGTTTGAGATCAGCCTGGTCAACATGGTGAAAACCTGTCTTTATTTAAAAAATAAATAAATAAATAAAATAAAAATTAGCCAGGTGTGGTAGAGCACGTTTGTAATCCCAGCTACTCAGGAGGCTGAGGCAGGAGAATTGCTTGAACCCGGGAGGCAGAGGTTGCAGTGAGCTGAGATTGCACCATTGCACTCCAGCCTGGGCAACAGAGCGAGACTCCATCTCAAAAAAAAAAAAAAAAAAAAAAAGGCCAGGCGCGGTGGCTCACGTCTGTAATCCCTGCACTTTAGGAGGCTGAGGCAGGTGGATCATGAGGTCAGGAGATTAAGGCCATCCTGGCTAACACAGTGAAATCCCGTCTCTACTAAAAATACAAAAAATTAGCCGGGCATGGTGGCGGGCGCCTGTAGTCCCAGCTACTCGGGAGGCTGAGGCAGGAGAATGGTGTGAACCCGGGAGGCAGAGCTTGCAATGAGCCGAGATAGTGTCACTGCACTCCAGCCTGGGAGACAGTGAGACTCTGTCTAAAAAAAAAAAAAAAAAAAAGCATCTGTGAAACATAAACAGAGTGCTATGAAAAAATGAACAAACAAAAAGACTTCATAAATCAAAAATAACGCAACAGAAATTTTTAAATCCACAAGATAAAACAGAGAACCCCCGAGAAAGCTAAATTTAAGAAAACGAAATGGGGGGGAAAAAAATAAAGCAACACATAAAAAATTAGAGACTTAATACAAGAAGTCCAACATCTGAATAACAAGAGTTTTAAAAAAATGTGGAATAGAAAAAACATTGTAATGGAAAGTATCAAAAAAGTAATATAAGTCAACTTCTCCAAAGTGAAGGTACTAGTTGCCAGCTTTAAAGAGCTGCCCGGTGTCTAGATTCATATGACAAGATACATCACTGTGAAATTTCAGGTTACTGAGAATAAAATAATGATCCTTATAAGCTTCTAATGAACAACAACAACAACAAAAATGAAACAAAACAAAACAAAAAACAGGGAAAGAGGTCATACAATACAAAGGATTGGGAATCAGAACAGAGTGGCTATTTTGGCAGGAATACTTAGATGTTAGCAGAGTATGAATGAGAGATACTAAAAATTCTATACTCAGTCAAACCATCAAATGAATGTAAGTGTATGATAAAGACCTTTTCAAATATGTCCAAATAATTTTCTCCTATGGGTCCTTACTTAGGAGGCTATGCAAGGACATGCTTCAGGAAAACAAAGGCGTGCACCAAAAAAGAGGACATGAGATCCAGCAAACAGAGAATCGATACAGGAGAGATGTAAAGGAAATTATCAGGATGATGGGAATGGGAAATAGCAAATATCAGGAACGCAACAGGACTGGAGAACAAGTGTCCAGAGTGGACTAGCATCCAGAAGGAAGAATCCATGACACAAACCAGCAAGTTATCGGTGTGTTTCAGTATAGCTAGGAGATTTATTCTTCTGTCAGAGCATGTGAGAATACATTGAAAGCAAACAAACAAACAAAAAAGACAGTCTTTAATGACATAAGCAAAAAAAATGGGCAAGAAAGGAAACATAATCGTTACGCATTAGGCTCAGCTATGAATACTACTTATACAGTCGTAATAATGTAAATATTAAAAGTGGATTGAACCAGGCCGGGCACAGTGGCTCACGCCTATAATCCCAGCACTTTGGGAGGCCGAGGCGGGTGGATCACGAGGTCAGGGGTTCGAGACCAGCCTGACCAACATGGTCAAACCCCATCTCTACTAAAAATACAAAAAAATTAGCTGGGCATGGTGGCAGGCACCTGTGATCTCAGCTACTCAGGAGGCTGAGGCAGGAGAATTTCTTGAACCCGGGAGGTGGAGGTTGCAGTGAGCCAAGATCGTGCCACTGAACTCCAGCTTGGGCGACACAGCAAGACTCTGTCTCAAAAAAAAAAGTGGATTGAACCAAACACTGTGACACAAACATACAAGAACATGGGGAGAGTGTGTGGAGTGGCAATACAGAGGGAGGAGTCATGAGAGCAAAGCAGTCCTTATATTCCATACTCAGAAATCAATAAAACCAAAAAACTAAAAAGCAGCAATATATATAGTATTTTCAAACATGGATGTCAACATTAGAAGAAACAGGTAAAGTTGAAAGTGATTATCTCTGAGGAAGGGCGGACTTTGAAATACTGATTTTAAAAACTATGTACCTGTACTGCCTTGATAAAAAATAAAAATTAAACCCAAAATAAAAACAATTTAATTTTGAGTATGAAGGTCAATACTAATTAGTGAAAACAACTGATATAGAAGGTATAAGTTGGCTATTTTTCTTTCTCTCCCACTAATGGTAATTTACTCTGCTGATTCCCTTCTCTTGTTTACCTGGGCTTTTTGGTGGGAGGTTCGCCATCGTTGAAGAATCCAAAAATCTCGTCTATATCAGAGGCCTGGCTCCCTGTAGAAGCCATCCAGTTTCTAAAATAGATTAAACACCATGAACCACAATTAGATCTGTAAAGTATACTATTCAAAATAGCACATATATTAAACAGTTTAAAAAAGCTGTATACCCTTAAAGGTGTTTTGGAGGTGCCCCCTACTTAACAGAAATTTGTTAATTAATGAACATTCTAAACAAGGAGCTAAATTAAATTAGTCTAAAAGAAGTAATCTGGAAATTATAGGACTTTGGTGCTCCATACTACCATCTTGCTTCTGTTTCTGAAGGCCTGCCCCCAAGTTCCCACCAAAAACAGTGTCAACTCATGTCAATTACTGGCCATCACTTTGTAGAACTTAAGAAAAACCAGTTATTCTCCCACAAGATGGGTTTGCGGAAGACTCAGGGGATAAAAACCACCCATAGATAAGTGTATTAATAGCCCCCAATTACCCATTTACTCTCAGCTGAAGAAATTACTGAGTCAAGAACAGAACAATCAATACTAATTTGCTGAATGACATTCTCTGTTGTTGGACGATGGTGACCTTGTAGCCAGTGGGGCATGTCTCTCTAACTAAACATGAAGTGGACTTCAAATCAAGCCACTGTGATGACTGGTAAATGTATCATCAAGCAAAGATGTATGAAAAATGGCCAATTATGTTCGGGTGCTGGAATAACTGGCAAAAGTAAATAATTACCATGGATTAGAATGAATACTATAAAGTTCTAAGTGCTCAAACTTTGGCAAACTTGTTAAATCTAAAGACTGTGAATTTAAAAATAGTAATAGTATTTTAAACACACACACAATATAGAAGACAATACATACTACCACCGTTTGGGGTGTTTTAGTACATTCCACTGGCAACATATAGAACTGAATTACTAATAATTACTGCAAGTTTACTGTTTTATTAGAAAGCCCTTTTCTTTTCTTTTTTTGAGACTGGGTCTTGCTCTGTTGTCCAGGCTAGAGTACAGTGGCGCCATCTTGGCTCACTGCAGTCTCGGCCTCCTGGGCTCAAGCGATCAACCCACCTCAGCCTCTCCATCACCTGGGACTACAGGCACATGCTACCACATCTGGTGGAATTTTGTACTGTTTGTAGAGAGGGGGTTTTGCCATGTTGCCCAGCTGGTCTCTAACTCCTGAGCTCAAGTAATCTTCCAGCCTTGGCCTCCCAAAATGTTGGGATTACAGGCATGAGCCACTGCACCCAGCCCAAAAAAGCCTTTTTCTTTATTAAAACACTAAGTTTCTGAATTAATTTTTTGTGGTAAACAGAAGGCTCACATCCTCACCCCATAGTCCATCACACGCAGTGTAATTCTTCTTTATATCATAATCATAAGGTAAATAGAAATAATACAGTCACAGTAGTGAGTTAGGAAGTAGATCATGTTTCCAGTCAAATCTTTGATTCTGTTGGTGAGAAAGCTGGGGCTCAGGAGAAGACAGATGAGTCACTTATCTCAGTAAATCCTGCCTTAACACAACCATGTAGGTTTTTCTGGGTTTTTTGTTTTGTTTTGTTTTTGAGACAGAGTTTTGCTCTTGTTGCCCAGCCTGGAGTGCACTGGCGCAATCTCGGCTCACTGCAACCTCCGCCTCCTGGCAGTTGCTCCCTTCAAGCAATCCTCCTGCCTCAGCCTCCTGAGTAGCTGGGATTACAGGCATGCGCCACTATGCCCAGCTAATTTTGTATTTTTAGTAGAGACAGAATTTCTTCATGTTGATCAGGCTGGTCTCGAACTCCTGACCTCAGGTGATCCGCCCGCCTCAGCCTCCCAAAGTGTTGGGATTACAGGTGTGAGCCACCGCACCCAGCTGGGATGTTTGTTAAAAGTATATATATTCTTGAAAATAAAGTTAATTCATTAAATTAAAAAAGTTTGTTTCTAGGCTCTACTCCAAAATTACAGAATCAGATTCTCCAGAATCTTCCTTCAAATAGGAAACACCTAAATAAGATGCAAACTTAATTTTTCTACAATGCAACAATTTTGTTAAATATAGGATGCACATGAAGTATACCATTAAGCCATCTTCCCTTAAGTGTAATAACTTATTACAGTCTAACGACTTCCCAGTTTGCTTATAACAATAGCCAGGTTTTAAGTGTCCTTAAAATATTTTTATGAAGTTTTAACTTATGTGACTCACTTCCGATTCTAAAAGTCAACGCTCTAGAATGGTGAACTAGGGGTAGAATGTGTTTACTTCTTCCACACACAGGACAATCCATTAGTTTGGGGATATATATTTTTTTAAGTTTTTTTAAGGAAAAAATATATTTTTTTAAAAAAAAATATTTTTTAAGTTTTAAAAAAACTTTAAAAAACTTAAAAAAATATATTTTTTAAGTTGTTTTTAAGGAAAAAACTTAGGTGCTTAAGTTCTTTTCTTAAATATGGTTCTATAAACCCATCATCTAAACAGATGACATGCAAGTAAAAACACTATATTGAGAGAGATGAAAGTAAAATGTAGAGGGAAGTTCATGCTTATTAAGTTTTGAAGATGGACATCTTCAGAATTCAATGCTCAATTCAGCTACTAAGCCAGTTTACAAGCTCTTAACTACATGCCATGGACTATTTATAAACATTAACTCATTAATCCGCATAACCTTACGAGGCATTGTTCTTACCTTATTTTACAGATGAGAAAACTGAGGCACAGAAAGATCGGGTACTTGGTAGTACCAGTATTCAAACCATGGCAACTGTGCCTCTCAAGTCCAAGTTCTTAACTACACTATTGCTAAACAGGAAATGCTCAATGGAACATTTCAGATTTCAGATTTTTTGGACTAGGGATGCTCAACCGTTAAGTATAATGCAAATATTAAAAACAAAACAAAACAAAAAAATCCCCTAGAAATCCAAAACACTTCTTTCTGCTCACAAGCATTTTAGATGAGGAATAATAAACCTGTATTAACTTTTCAGCCAAAACAAACAAAAAAAAACTTAAAGTCCAAAACTATCAACAAAGGAAGTGCCTGCATTCTAGAAAGGAGATTTACTTGAAGTAATGCCAAGTAATCCTTAACAGCTGCTTGTTAACTAGGTACTCCATTGATGCAATCTTGGCAGTCAACTACATTCAGAAGCTGGGAAAACTACTTTCTCCAGTGACAAGCACTATTTGTTATATACTTCTCACTACCACTTATCCACCAGAGCCTAGATCTGTCCTACCATTTTGTCCTGGAAATTACGTAAGATCGTTTTTGCTGGATTCTATTTCTGCCAGATGGTTAATTCATGATGTCTAGACCTGAATACTAAGCTTTCTGACTTATTTCTTTACACAGTCAACTTTTCTGAAGGTCCATTCCAACTACTATTACTTTAAAAAATTAAATATAGCCAATCGCTTCTGACTGAGAATGTTTAGGGTCTTCTTATTTAGGTACTGAATGAGACGTAGCTCAGCATGCCTACATTATATCCAATCATATACTCATCCTGTTTTCTAACAGAGAAACATATTTTCTTTACCCTAAAGGATGCCTCACATGATACAATCTCACATGTATACCCCAGTGGCATATAAGCACAAACCATATTTTATTCCTTCTAGAGTACTGTTTTCAGGAAAAAAAAATCAATTTTAGCATGTACCCTAAACAAAATGCAGTTATTGCTAAAGAGCTTCAAAGCTAGTTCACACTTTAATTTTTTTTATGTGATCACGTTTGAGTTTTCATTTTTGTGGGACTTGCTATGTATAGCAAAAATGGAAAATGTTTTTCTGCCACAAGAAAACAAAGTCAATTACCTGTGGCAGTGTCTTCATTACCTCAATTACTGCTAAGCCACTGAGAAATCCTTCAAGGCCAATAGAGTACAGCAAAATAAAAGTCAGATACTTGGTAAAAGATGAGCAAAGTAACAGCAACCTCATTAACAGAAATGTTAAGGCTGAAGTCTTCATATGAGACAGAACACTTGTACTTTGAAACCTGTCAGCTTGGCAGGAAATGTAATGCTTCTATCTCTGGTGGATGAAAAAGGAAAAAGGGCGAGTGTTCTAGAAAAAATCCAGAAGAAATATGGTAAAGGGACAAGAGAAAAGGAACTGGTTATCCAAATGAAATTAAGTTTGCACACAGCAGAGGACTTGTGGACTTGAAAACATCAAAGAATCCCAGCAGCTCTTGTTTTGATAGCATCTTGGTGCTAAAAAGATAGCAAGCTCTGGGCTTCCCTTCACTTGAGAATCAGAGTGAGGTCTCCCAGCCCGCCTTCTTCATTCTGAGCTATGTTTCTCCTGTAAGTCCAGTGCATACTCCTCAGCTCAAACAAGTGACATGCCAGAAGGAGCTCAGAGTGATACACCTGGGTATATTAGCAGACGAAATAAATCAAATGGAGAGAAAAATTCTAATGTTTTAAAAAGTATTTTTGCCTGGAAATAAAAGATCTACAATTACCAGCTTGAGAAAGTGGTACGTTTCTTGCTGTAAAAGGATCAGCAAGCTTCCTCCACCCCCTTTTAAAAAATAAAAGTGACTGGAATAAAGAATGGTTTATTTCTCTAGCATAAATATAGAAAAGGGTTAACTTCATTTCTTAAGGGAAAAGAGTCATCCTCTGACTTGAGAAGAAACCAAACCTTTCTAACTGTGGCTCTTGGACTAATTCCAACACATCTGGGTTTTTAGCAACTATCGGATTTGGGAGGAAGGGAAAGATACCCAAAGTGAAGTACTACTAAAGAGTTCCCAACAAGCTTGTCAGTAGTGAACAAATTAAATAAAATCCTAAAGACTTTGCTTGGGTAGTTGATGAATTCAGTTCCATATGTAGACTGCAGCCTTTCCCATCAGTGGATAAAGCAAACTCACGGTTTCCTCTATCTCAGCACACAGGGAGACAGGAATCATGTCTAGCTGTGCCAAGATCTGATTCCTCTGTGGATCCCAGTCTTGAAATATTTCATCTATGGTGAACTCGATTGGCTCCTAATTTTATCCCTTAGCATGCCTGAGACCCTCTACCTTCTGTCAGATAAGATCTGTATCACACTCATTTCCTGAACATGTGCTTTAACAGAGTCACTGAGGAAATGCCAGACTGATGCCACTTGTTCTTGCCATTTTACTAGCAAACAATGACCCCATCTGAACAAGGTAAGGAGAAAGACCTCACTAGAGGTAAGGTTTCTGAAAGACATTAAGGATTGAGAAGAAAAACCCCAAATTCTAGAATGCCCTTTAACTTAAGCCCCCAAAATAAATCATACTGGTATTCCAGGCTCAAGAGCTCAGATGTGGCTGGACACGGTGGCTCACGCCTGCAATCCCAGCATTATGGGAGACCGAGGTGGGTGGATCGTGAGGTCAGGAGTTTGAAACCAGCCTGGCCAAGATGGTGAAACCCCGTCTCTACTAAAAATACAAAATTTAGCCGGGTGCGGTGGTGGGCGCCTGTAATCCCAGCTACTCGGGAGGCTGAGGCAGTAGAGTCGCTTGAACCTGGGAGGCAGAGGTTGCAGGTAGCCGAGATGGCGCCACTGCACTGCAGCTTGGGTGACAGAGTGAGACTCTGTCTCAAAAAACAAAAAAACAAACAAAAGAGCTCAGATGTTGCTTGTTATTTTCTATTATAAAGCCAAAGTAACGCATATGTATAGGGAACAAAAGTGTTCCAAGAAGAAATAATGAACAAATTAAAACCTAATTTGAATTAGAAGTTGGTGACTGGAGGTGATGATTTTACCGTGCAAAGAATGACAACTTCTTTCTTTGTCACTGCTTTCCTCCTGTGCAGCTTCTGAGAAGGTATATCCTGAAAATAATGACACATGTTGCTAAGTAAGGAGACTTTTAAAATATCAGATATTTCCCATAGATCAAGTAGTATGATCACACAAACAATTCCATCATAAATGGCATAGGTTATTCATTAAAAATGAAATTGAATAACTCTTTAAGGGCAAGATAACTCTTTAAGGACTCTAGTGAGTCCTTAACAATTGAATTTCTACTACAAAAATAGTGTGGGTTACCTATGAGAAATAACCCTCAGTAGCTTACTTTTATGTCAACAGAGTAAACACAACATACTGCGTACAAATGCAGATTCTTCCAAGTCTGGGGCATTCCAGAAGATGCCATCATTATAAAGGATATTCTCTATGAGTTAAAATTTGAGGCCAGGCGCGGGTGGCTCAAGCCTGTAATCCCAGCACTTTGGGGGGCCAAGGCGGGTGGATCAAGAGGTCAGGAGTTCAAGGCCAGCCTGGCCAAGATGGTGAAACCCCATCTCTACTAAAAATACAAAAAATTAGCTGGGTGTGGTGGTGGGCACCTGTAATTCCAGCTACTCGGGAGGCTGAGGCAGAGAAGTTCTTGAACCTGGGAGGCAGAGGTTGCAGTGAGCCAAGATCATGCCACTGCACTCCAGCCTGGGCAACAGAATGAGACTCTATCTCAAAACAAAAACAAACAAACAAACGAAAAATTGACAAGTCTTAATGAAGGGAAGACTTTCCTGCCATAAAAATTAAAATGGGCTAGGCCCAGTGGCTCACTCCTGTAATCCCAGCACTTTGGGAGGCCGAGGCAGGAGGATCACTTGAGCTCAGGAGTTTGAGACCAGCCTGGCCAACATGGCAAAACCCCATCTCTACCAAAAATACAAAGGTTAGCCAGGTGTGGTGGCACACACCTGTAATCCCAGCTACTCAGGAGGGAGGCTGAGGCAGAACTGCTTGAACCCAGGAGGCTAAGGTTGCAGTGATCTGAGATTATGCCACTGCACTCCAGCCTGGGTGACAAAGCGAGACCCTGTCTCAAAAAACAAAACCAAAAAAAAAAATGTTTAGTAAATACATTCCACTTCATTTTCACCCCTTTTCACTTCCTTGAGGATTTCCAACTTAAATAGAGCTGAAAATTAAAAACAAGTTTTTTGGCTGGGCGCAGTGGCTCACACCTAATCCCAGCATTTTGGGAGGCTCAGGAAGGTAGAATGCTTGAGCTGAGGAGTTCAAGACCACCCTGAGCAACATGGCGAAACCCCATCTGTACCAAAAATACAAAAATTAGCCAGGTGTGGTAGTGCATGCCTATAGTTCCAGCTACTCGGGAGGCTGAGTTGGGAGGATCACTGGAGCCTGGGAAATCAAGGCTGCAGTGAACCATGATCATGCCACTGCACTCCAGCCTGGTGATAGAGTGAGAACCCATCTCAAAAATAAATAAATAACAAATTTTGAAAATTAAAAAATTTTACCATTAAAAACCCTCAAGTGTAACTGTCTGTAGTGATTAAGTGAATTCACTTGGCTGCACCAGGTGAAATATCCTGGAGGTCCCCACATTGTGAGCATGGAATCCAAAACCATTGATAGCAAAACCAAGAACAGAAGGATAAGAAAGATATGAAGTAGATTCGTGTTACAGTTATTCTTAGAATTAAAAGGAAAATAAATGTTTTACAACATGAAGAGGTACAAAAAAGTCACTCAAGTTCACTTCATTCATTCATCATTACACAATTACTTTCGAGTTCACATTCAGGTGTACAACATTTTAGACAGATATAATGGATTAAAAATAACTGAATAAAAACCCATCATAGGTTTAGTTATAAATAAAATCCAGTTATCAGAGTAGGAACTAAAGAAGGATTTATGAATAAGCTTGTGGCTGGGCACGGTGGCTCACGCCTGTAATCCCAGCACTTTGGGAGGCCAAGCAGGTGGATCATCTGAGGTCAGGAGTTCAAGACCAGCCTGGCCAACATGGCAAAACCCCATCTCTACTAACACTACAAAAATCAGCTGGGCATGGTGGTGGGTGCCTGTAGTCCCAGCTATTCGAGAGGCTGAGGCAGGACAATCGCTTGAACCCGGGAGGCGGAGGTTGCAGTGAGACAAGATCATGCCACTGCCCTCCAGCCTGGGTGACAGAACCAGACTCAGTCTCAAAAAAAAAAAAAAAAAAAAAAGAAGCTTGTATTGTTTGAGAGCATTCAATTTCTCTCTTTCAATTTATCATTCAATAGTTAATAAATTTAAGTCTACAAAATGCTAGCTAGGTGTTTTTTTTTTTTTTTGGACGGGGTCTCACTGTTGCCCAGGCATGATCATAGCTCATTGCAGCCTCCACCATCAGGCTTGGTGATCCTCCCTCAGCCTCTCGGGTAGCTGGGACTACAGGCGCATATCACCATGCCTGGCTAATTTTTTGTAGACACGGGGTTTCACCATGTTGTCCAGGTTGGTCTTGAACGCCCAGGCTCAAGTGATCCGCCTGCCTCAGCCCTCCCAAAGTGCTTCAGTTACAGGTGTGAGCCACTGCACCTGGCCAATGCTGGGTTCTTGACCTTCCTATTTAAAATGGCAACAGAACTGGAGGCCAAAAGAGGTAGTTGCATTTCCTTTTAAAGAGAAAGAGAGTAGACTAGTAGATTTGGGGGTGATCTATATGCAGCCCTGCCGGGGGGAAGGAGAGAAAAGGCCTGTTAAATTGCTGAAGGGCCTTTCTAACTCACAGTGATAGGAACTTGCGCCACGTTCCTTTCTGGCCTGCCTAACTCACAGTGATAGGAACTTGCGCCACGTTCCTTTCTGGCCTGCCTAACTCACAGTGATAGGAACTTGCGCCACGTTCCTTTCTGGCCTGCCTAACTCACAGTGATAGGAACTTGCGCCACGTTCCTTTCTGGCCTGCCTAACTCACAGTGATAGGAACTTGCGCCACGTTCCTTTCTGGCCTGCCTAACTCACAGTGATAGGAACTTGCGCCACGTTCCTTTCTGGCCTGCCTAACTCACAGTGATAGGAACTTGCGCCACGTTCCTTTCTGGCCTGCCTAACTCACAGTGATAGGAACTTGCGCCACGTTCCTTTCTGGCCTGCCTAACTCACAGTGATAGGAACTTGCGCCACGTTCCTTTCTGGCCTTTCTAACTCACAGTGATAGGAACTTGCGCCATGTTCCTTTTTGGCTGTGAGAAGAATGTAGACTATTTTTTGCCTTCCATGCTTCTCAACATTTTATTTAGTAATCTTCTTCTTTTTCTTGAGACAGAGTCTCACTCTGTCACCCAGGCTGGAGGGCAGTGGTGCAATCTCAGCTCACTGCAACCTCCATCTCCTTGGGTTCAAGCAGTTCTCCTGCTTCAGCCTCCCAAATAGCTAGGATTATAAGCGCCCACCACCACGCCCAGCTAATTTTTGTATTTTTAGTAAAGACAGGGTTCCACCATGTTGGCCAGGCTGGTCTCGAACTCCTGACCTCAAATGATCTGCCTGCCTTGGCCTCCCAAAGTGCTGGGATTACAGGTCTTTAGTAATCTTACTTCACTCCAACCTCATGGAAAACTAAGCTGGAAACAATGAACAGCAACTCAGAGAAGAGGATTCAAACTGACCAACCATGACAAACTGGGAATCAATCTGAAGCTTAAGAAACTACAAAAGGACACTCTACTTACAAAAAATAAAATTCAGAAACAACATGGGAAAGGATTAGCTGTGGGCAAGTATGACTGGAACAGCTCTAGCGATCTCACTGGAGAAACTGGGTGTGGCTCTTTATAAAAATTATTGTGCATGTGAAACCAAGACAATGCTGATGCTCTACACCCACAGAATACACGTGATGTACACACAACTTGGGCAATATTCTACTATAGTGGGTATTGATTATGACCTTTTGAAAGTAGTGTGCCAAATTTAAGATTGGAAACTTAGGGAACAAATGGAAAATTTCACTGCGTCAAAGAACAGAAAATGTGGATTGCCAAATAAAAAATTGAAAAGGATTTGGTGGTACTGAGCTCGAAAGAAACAAGGGACCTGAGAAAAGCTGCTCTTAAAAGGCAGTTCTCCCTAAGCCCACAATCGCTGCCTCTCTTAAGATGCCAAGTGCACTTGGCATCTTTGCCATCCTCTGCTGCAAAGTAGAGCCTTTTGGCTTCTAATCTGGAGATCTAGAAATTGGAATGGCAAAAGTCTTCAGTTTCTTATTCACATAAAAGAGATCTTGTTTGCTCAGCTGCCCTATGAACTGAATTTAAGGAACATTTGCATTATTTTGGAATTACCTAATTTGAGTTAAGACATGAGTCTGGGTGTTTATAGGTTACCATCTGCAGAGCATTCATGGGATGGGAGATCTCTGCCTAATTATTCATCTGTTTTGGCTTATGAACTTTTTGAAATTGACTGAGGAGAAACGCATTCCTAGGAAGCCAAGATATTCTCACATACCCTCCCTCCAGCTACGCTGGCCTCTTCACTGTTCCTCAAACAGGCCTGGTACACCCCGACCTTGGGGTTTTCCTTTGCATAGATCATTCCTTCTGCCTGGAATGTTCTTTCTCTATGTATCTGTACAGGTTTCCATGCCTTTATTCAGATTGTACCTTCTCAATGATGCTACTCTACCCATTCTATTTAAAATTATACCCTCCACCATGTTAGCTGTTCTACTTTTTATTTCACAGCACACAGCACCCTCTAACATACCAATTATTAGTACTATGACTCTACTAATTTTTTTTTTTTTTTTTTTTTTTTTTTTTGAGACAGGGTCTCGCTCTGTCACCCAGGCTGGAACATGGTGGCATGATCATGGCTCACTGTAGCCTTGACCTCCACGGGGCTCAAGCAATCTTCCCATCTTAGCCTCCTAGTGCTACAGGTGCTACAGGTGCATGCCACCATACCCGGCTAATTTCTTTGTATTTTGTAGAGACAGGGTTTTGTCACGTTGCTCAGGCTGGTCTCAAACACCTGGACTCAAGCAATCCGCCTGCCTCACTCTCCCAAAGTGCTGGGATTAAAGGCGAGAGTCACTGGACCTGGCCCTAATTATATTTATTGTTATCTGCCTCCTCCACTAGAATGTAAGTCCCCCAAAGACAGGGGTCCTTTGCCTGTTTAGTTTATGGATATAGTCTAAAAGTGCAGAACAGTGCCTGCCACACAGTAGGCATTCAGATATTTATTTCACAAACTAACTCAAACGAAAGAACACCCTGTAACTGCTTTTAATAAGGACCATAAAAAACCATGTTAGTTTTTAAATGGAACAAATGGGAAAACTGTGTACACAAATAAATCAATATTCAGACTATCATTTTTTGGATATGCCAATCGTCCTAACAGTGAATGTAGTCTGATTCTAGCAGGCAGAAGAAAACTTCAACTTAAGGTTCCAAGACCATTGTCTGGCACCAAAACATTTTATATATAAATCACTTTATAACTCAAGTCTCTGATGTCTACTCTGTAAACTGGTTTTTAAGGGTTGATTCTTAGGGGAAGAACTATTTCTGGCAAATGATTCAAGGGCATCAGTATTTTGAGCTAAGAAATCAGTTTCT
The DNA here is from genome assembly GCF_000001405.40 of Homo sapiens. Lineage (NCBI taxonomy): Eukaryota > Metazoa > Chordata > Mammalia > Primates > Hominidae > Homo > Homo sapiens. The sequence continues at coordinate 126,223,671 of NC_000011.10, read as the reverse complement.
CTTATTTTACATATTAAATCTATCTAAAATACAATTAGAGAAAAAAGAAAAGCTTATGTAGCAGCAAAAGATTTTTTTTTTTTTTTTTCGCTCTTTCGCCCAGGCTGGAGTGCAGTGGCGATCTCGGCTCACTGCAAGCTCTGCCTCCCGGGCTGACGCCATTCTCCTGCCTCAGCCTCCCGAGTAGCTGGGACTACAGGCGCCCGCCACCACACCCGGCTAATTTTTTGTATTTTTAGTAGAGATGGGGTTTCACCGTGTTAGCCAGGATGGTTTTGATCTCCTGACTCGTGATCTGCCCGCCTCAGCTCCCAAAGTGCTGGGATTACAGGTGTGAGCCACCACACCCGGCCCCAGCAAAAGAGATTTCAAAACACAAATTGGGTTAAGTCATGTTTGAATCATTCCATGGCTTCTCACTGTGTTTAATAACATACTCCTCATCGTGGCTACAAGACCTGGCATGATCCAGTGTCCGGCATCCACACAACATCCATCCAGCCCCCTCCCTCACTCGCTGGGCTCTTGAGGCGCACAGGCCTCTTTCAGTTGCTTGAACACCCCCCCCTCCCCCGCCCCACCTCAAGTTCCCAGCTGCAGCCTTTCCTCAGAGTGATATTCTGCAAGGGCCTCCCCACACCCTCCTCCTTGGCATCTCAATTTAAATGTTACCATCTGTAGCCTGGTTTTCCACTCCCTTTACCCCAAGTTCTTCATTTATACTTCATCTCCTAGTTTGTATCTCACAGTACTTGCAATTATTGGCCTCTCCCACAAGAATAAAAGCCCTTCTAGGGCGAGTACAGTGTCTAATTTATTTATCATCCTATCCCCATCCCATAGCATAGTTCCTGTTATAAAGTGTGTATACGGTGCAGAAGAAGTTCAAACATTCGCTGATGGAATGAGTGTGTATCTACCATTAATTAAAGTCTAAGGGATCAATTGATATTTCTAATTTTCTGAGCTGCAAAAATTAGGATGAATTTGGGAAGGTTGTAGTATTTTCTCTCATCCAAACAAATACCTTCCGTGCTGATATCCACCACTCACCTGTTTAAAGCTGTTCATCCCTAAACATAAAGATTCTCACCTGCTTTGGAGGTTGTTTTTCCTTCCTAACAACAAGAAATTAGAATCACATAGTACTTTTGTTGAAAGTCTATAGATTTGTTTCATAAAACAAAGCTACATGCACTTTCCTCTCAGTCCACTTCCATTTGTAGTTCTCCTATGGCCTGGCCATGATTATATTCTGTATATGCTTGTAGAATTTTAAAATGCTAGGAACTGAATTCATCACAGGTTACTACATCTTCACGTTCAAATATCTGTTAAACATCCAGCACTGTGCTAAGAATATTAGTATTGCTGCATCCAGTTCTCCTCCACCAAACACTACATAGCATTGACAGTAAGCCAGGCACTGTTTTCCACACTTCACAAATATCTGCTCTTCTGTGAGGTAGATGCTATTATCATCTCATATCATAAATGGTATAGACAATGAAACAGAAGCACACAGATGTTAAGCAGCTTGTTAAAGGTCACACGACTATTACACATTAGACATGGAGTCAGTGTTCATGTTGTTAAGACACAAAACAATACCATCTCACAAAAACGAACAAGCCGTGGGCCACACTCTTAACAAGTCTACACCTTTGGAGAAACAGAACTATAAACAAACCTTTACAACATGTTTGTGCCAAGTTTCACATGCCTGGATGAGGTACCAAGGAGATGAGCACTTCTGCTTGAGGAAAATCAAGGAAAGCTTTATGGGAGATAAATACCCTTATGGCAAAATTCAATGAAATTGTTGGTGTTTATCCTCCTCTGCCTCCTGAAACACCCAACACTGAAGTCCATCTTGCCTTTTCCTGGTTTTCCTCCCTCCCCTCTAGTGGGAGGTCTTCCCTGTTTCCTAAATGCTGAGGATCCGCAGGGCTCTCCAGTCTATTCCCTTTACATACTCCCTTCCCTTCCCACCCCATTCACCCCTAGATATTAAAATACCAACTAAACGCTAAGGACTCCCAAAACGCTACCTTCAGTTCAGATCTCGGTGGTGCTTCAGGCCCAGGAGATAGCCATGTAAGTTTCAGTCAGGCAGCCCTTCAATATTGAAAGGTACTTTCAGACTGTACTTCAAACTTAAAAACCAAAAAACCGTTCAACAACCTGCTCCTTATCCTAAGTTATACAGATCTCTGAATAGTAGAAATAAGCTATGTGATAATATTTATAGGCCATTATTTCTTTCTTTCTGTTTTAAGCACCAACATATGTATTTACTGATTTTGGAAAAACTGTCATATACTTCAGAATAATGTATTTGGATCATTTCTAAACAAGAGAATATGAACCAAAGGGAACCCAGGGAAGAAAGTAAATCTGTAACCTTAAACTAGCATGATATTCTTTTCAGGATATTCTCTTTTTCCTAATAAAAATTAGCCAAAAATTAATATTGTTTTTCTTTGAGATGGAGTCTTACTCTGTCACCCAGGCTGGAGTGCAGTGGCTTGATCTCAGCTCACTGCAGCCTCTGCCTCCCGGGTTCAAGCTATTCTCCTGCCTCAGGCTCCCAAGTAGCTGGGATTACAGGCCCACGCCACCATGTTTGGCTAATTTTTGTATTTTTAGTAAAGACAGGGTTTCACTATGTTGGCCAGGCTGGTTTCAAACTCCTGGCCTCAAGCGATCCACATGCCTTGGCCTCTCAAAGTGGTGGGATTACAGGCATGAGCCACTGCGCCCGGCCTACTATTCTCTTTGATCTGAAGATGAACTGAGAGCTGAAAAGCACTGTTTAGATCTGAAATAAGAATCTGAAAGCTCTTAAAAAAAAAAAGGCATTATTTGTCACAGAAGCCATCAGAACAACTACAAAGACCAGGTTTCTTAGGAGAAATAGCTCTAAAAACATGGTTTTGCCAAGCAGGTAGCATCAGTCTTTTTTGTTTGAGACAGTCTTGCTCTGTTCCCCAGGACGGCAAGATCATGGTTCACTGCAGCATCAAACTCTGGGGCTCAAGGGATCCTCCTATCTCAGCCTCCTAAGCAGCTGGGACTACAGGTGCGCACCACCACACCTGGCTAATTTTTAAATTTTGTTGTAGAGATGGGCTCTTGCTATGTTGACCAGGCTGATCTTGAACTCCTGGCCTTGTCAAGCAATCCTCTTGCCCTGGCCTCCCAAAGTGTTGGGATTACAGGCATGGGCCACCAAGCCCAGCCAAGCATCAGTCTTAAAAAAAAAGTGGCCAGTGAAAACAATTGAGGGTATTAAAAAAAAAAGAGAGAGAGAGAAAACAGAAAGCAGGTTAGGGAGACTAAAAACATACTTTCATAAGGAAGTGAAGGAGGTCAGTGGAAGACCAAGGAGGACTCTCAGGGAGCAGCCAGAAAGCTGGGCAGCCTGGGCCCAAGGGAGGCAGGTGGAGACTTCATTCAGAAAAAGAGAGCACCTTTCCCCCAGATTTGAAAGTAACAGATCACTGCAGGAAATATGCAGAAAGAGCAAAATGAAGCCCCCCTTCCTCCAACGTGGAGCTAACCACTGCTGACATTCGGATTTATGTGGAGAAAAGCAGTTTTTAAGAGGAACTCTCGGAATAAGTCTGAGTATCTTGGGTTCATGTTCATATCAATTCTAAAAACTTCATTCATTAGAGTTTGCCCCTGCTTTCACACCATAAATCTCCATACATATAAGCCCCCCCTTTAAAAAAAATTCTTCCTTCAATGTCTTATTAAAATTAACTTAAAAAAAAAACTCAAGCAGCTCGAGCTGCTTTTTTTTTTTTTTTAAGTTAATTTTAATAAGTACAGTAGTGCATGTTTTCTGCAGTAGAAGAAAGAAAGAAGCAGTCTATTTCTAGTGGCTGGGGGTAGGGAGGTGCTGGGGAAGAGCAGGAACCTAGGAAGAGTCAGCAGAGGGTAGCCACGCCCCAGCCCCATGGACGAGACTCCTGAGGAATCCATAAAACTGCGAAGTACTAAGTTCTGGCAACAGATCTCAAACCTGCTCCTTAGCAAGAGAGCTAAAAAGAGAGTGTTTCTTATGTACTCTGTTAATTTGACTCTTAAGGCATATAAACAATAGGGAGACCCTGTCTCTACAAAAATAAAAAACTTAGCCAGATGTGGTGGCATATGCCTATGGTCCCAGCTACTTGGGAGGCTGAGGTGGGAGGATTGCTTGAACCCAGGAGGTCGAGGCTGCAGTGAGTCATGATCATGCCCACTCCAGTCTGGGCAACAGAGAGAGACTCTCAAAAAAAAAAAAAAAAAAAAAAAAAAAAAAAAAAAAAAAAGATAAACAAGAGCTGAAGGATAAGCTTCCAAAATAAACGAGGAAAACAAGAAATCTGTGCTTTTCCTTATGTGATATTCCTGTGCTGCATTCCATGACACTAAGAATATAAAACATGATAACTTCTGTCCTTACGTGTTTACTTCTTAATCTTTTTCAAAGTACGCTATTAAAATGGCAACAGAGGAGTTTTTCTTTTTTCAAGGTATAAAACCAAGAATGTGAGGTGCAGGAGATAAGCATTCAATTTTTCAATGAATTTTTGGAGATGGAAAGCAAGCTTTAAATGCAGATCTGAAAATACGGATTGGCATAAAGTCTATTTAACTAATGCGCAAATTCTCTTCCTCACCTCCTATTTTCATCTATTTTCTCCACCCCCAAATCCAGAGGTTTAAAGAAAAATGAACCGAAATCTGAAATGGGTCTGGAGTAAAATACATCAGCAGGAGCAATGAAGAACTGAAAATACAGATTATGTCAAAAGATGCATACTAAAAGGTTCTCCAAGCCTCCATCCTTGTCCCAGCAACCAATGCACTGTCAGCTAAAGAAATATTAGCAAACATATACATTTGTACAAACATACACACAAAATCCATATATACCAGCCACCCTATAGTAATGGCCACCACCCAACAAGACCCACGCTGGGAACTTAAAATAACAAAAAACAAAACAGAAATGAACAGTCAGAATCATGAGACATTCAAAGAAATCCCACAATAAAATAATTCATTTATTCCTTAAGTTATTAAGCATCTATTCATCGCCAGGCACTGTTTCAGAGGCTGGAATTATAGAGGTAAACAAAAAAAAACCCAAAATCCCTGCCCTCATAGAATGTTTATTTTAGTGGTGAGGGAAACAAGTAAATAAATATGTGGGATGCTAGATGGTGGGAAATGCTTCTGGAGAGAAACAAAGCAGGGAAGTGAGATGGGGGTCTGCACTTCTCAATCCAGTGCTCTCTTCACTGAGGTGACATTTAAGGAAAGACTTGTGGATTCATCCAAAGTGAGGTGTGGGAGCAAGTCGCTGGATATCTGAGGGAAGACACATCCAGACAGAGGCACAGGTGCAAAGGCCCACATCACCTGAAGGAAGTGGAGCCTGTGCAGAGAGGAAGAAAACTCAAATACTCCAGCGGGCCCTCTGAGCCCACCATATCCACATAACAAGAATGGATATTACAAAAAGGTATCAAAGAAAAATTAAAGATTGAGCAAAAAATCACAGAAATAGTACAAGAAAACATCCCGGAACTAGAGGACGTGAATTTCCAGAATCAAAACCGTCTGTGAGAAGCCAGCACAACAGCTGAGTAAAAGACCCATACCCTGGTGTTAATACACATCATAAAACTGCAGAACACCAGAGATAGAGAATATCCTCAAAGCTTCCAGAAGGGGAGAAAACAAACAAAATACGGTCACGTAAGAAGGATTTAAATCACCACATCTCTAGAGCAATTACAGATGCCTTCAACATTCTGAGAGAACCTTATTTCCAATCTAGAATTATATAACTGCCAAACTATCAAACAAGTGTGTGGGCAAAACCAGGTCATTCAAATACTTCTTAGAAATAACTGAAGTATATGCTTTTAAAAAATAAAGACATAAGCCCAGAAAGAGGAAGATACGGTTCCTGCACAGGAAAGGGCAGGTCCAGGAGGACCCCAGGCAGCAGTTCTTGAGAGCAACAGTAAAGGCAGGAGGAGGGGGCAGGGCTCCAATAAACAGGTGATACATTTGAGCTCACAGAAAATGTTACTGATAAGAATGTGACAAATACATTGGAGCATGTGGGAAAAAAATTAACAGTAGGTACATGAAAAACACAGGTGAAGGCCAACCTACACACCAGGAGGAACACACTGTAATAGATCATCCAGCTCAACAGTGAACAGTATTTGACAGAGGTGTAAGTACATAAAAGCTACCTGTTTTAGCAAAAAATTACAATAGAACTATATTAGGGGATAGAGGGCATGGAAAAATAGGAAAGTGGTGGGATGCAAGAGCTAAATACAAATCTATCACAACAAGAAATCAACAGGCCAAACATGAGGGGAAAACCAAGAAAGAATAACAAACCAACTATTTAGCAACAAGAAGATACAGCAGACTCTCAAAAAAAGTCTTTTTGTTCAACATCGTTTTTTCATAACATTGATGAGAGAATAAGTGATTCCTGGCTGAGGCTACCCGTTTGTGTGGAGTTGGCATGCTCCCCATGTCTGTGTGGGTTTTCTCCAGGTATTCTGCTTTCCTCCCACGTCTCAAAGATGTGCCTGCTAGGTTAGCTGGTGTGTCTAGATGGTCCCTGTGTTTGTGTGTGTGTGCATGCACACCCTATGGCATAGACAGCGTCCTGTCCAGGGCTGGCGCCTGCCTTGTGCCCTGAGCTGCCAGCATAGGCTCCAGCCACCTGTGAGCCTAAGCTGGAAAATAAATGAATGAATACAAATTACCAGCAAATAAAAATCTGCAAAGTCTATGGTAATCATCCAAATGCACAACAATAAATGATGTGGTACAATAGCTCTCAGTGAGCCTGCCCTATTGGTGATTGATTGCTTTGGAAATGAGTATGGTGGTAGGAAATGCTTCTGACAATTTTCACTTTGCACACATTTATTCCTTGATTTAACCCACCACCACTATGACTGCAGTAACTCACTGACTCACCAAAAAGTGGGTGAAAATCTTACTTGTTTCAGTGTTTCATATTAGAAATGTTTGGGTCTTTATTTAGAAATTGGGTATGTTTTTGTGACCAGAAAAACGCCATAGAAACCATATGGTAAAACTGGTTTTGTTATATCATGTTTCAAGAATACTGATGGTGTTGACCACTTACTGTAAAGACAGAGGAAAAGAGGAAAACAACTGAGTGGTTGCCTCTAAAGAATGGGACTTTGAGGTAGGGAGGGCAGAGAAACGGTTTTTGTTTTGTTGGGTTTTTTTTTGGTGACAGAGTCTCGCTCTGTCACCTAGGCTGGAGTGCAATGGTGCGACCTCGACTCACCGCAACCTCCATCTCTCCAGTTCCAGCGATTCTCCTACCTCAGCCTCCCAAGTAGCTGGGATTACAGGCACACACCACCATGCTCAGCTAATTTTAGTATTTTTAGTAGAGATTGGGTTTCACCATGTTGGCCAGGCTGGTCTTGAACTCCTGACCTCAGGCAATCCACCTGCCTCAGCCTCCCAAAGTGCTGGGATTACAGGTATGAGCCACTGGACCTGGCCTGAGAAACTGTTTTTTAATTCCAAATCTTTTATTACTATTTGACTTTTAAACTGTATTACACAAATTACTTTTTCTTTTTTGAGATGGGTCTGTCTCTGTCACCCAGGCTGGAGTGCAGTACTGCAATCATGGTTCACTGCAGCTGCAGCCTTGAATTCCCGGGCTCAAATGATCCTCCCACCTCAGCCTCAAGGGTTAGTTAGGACCATAGGTGCGTCACCATGCCCAGCTAATTTTGTGATTTTCTGTAGAGACGAGGTCTTGCTATGTTGCCCAGGCGATCTCAAACTCCTAGGCTCAAAAGATCCTCCCCGCTAGGCCTCCCAAAGTGCTGGGATTAAGGTGTGAGCCATGCACCCCACCCCCATTTAGGACATTTTTTTTTTTTTTTTTTTTGAGACGGAGTCTCATACTTTCACCCAGGCTGGAATGCAGTGGCGCGATCTTGGCTCACTGCAAGCTCTGCCTCCTGGGTTCACGCCACTCTCCTGCCTCAGCCTCCCGAGTAGCTGGGACTACAGGTGCCTGCCACCACGCCCAGCTAATTTTTGTATTTTTAGTAGAGACAGGGTTTCACCGTGTTAGCCAGGATGCTCTCCATCTCCTGATCTCGTGATCCGCCCACCTCGGCCTCCCAAAGTGCTAGGGTTACAGGCGTAAGCCACCGCGCCTGGCCAGAAATCTTAAAAGTATATTCCAACACCACTCAATGAAGTAACCTCCAAACATAAACATTAGCTCAGTGGCAAAAAGTTAAATTCTGGGGACAAGAGCAGAATCCAGTTTCTTAGTATCAATGCTAAATGTATTCAAGATAAATCTGAAATAAATCCCACTAATTCGGGCTGAAAGAGAAGTATTTCAGTATCAGTGGAAAATCTTCATAGACTAGAAACAGAGTTGCAAAAATCTTTCAAATGACAAAAAACTGAAGCCCAAATTATTTGTTCAAGTACGCAGCGGCTGAACTGGAACTAGTCCCACATCTCCTGGCTCCCAATGACTGTACTTTCCAGGGCACCTCCCAAGAGTTCCTGCTAATTGCCTCCTTTAATCTCTCTAAAACCATAAAACAATGTCCAAGTACTTCCTGCTCTTCAAGGAAATGGAATCGCTGGTTAATCTGCAACTAGCAAATCACAGTTTGAGGAGGCGTAACTTAACTTTATACCACTAATTAACCTTAAATTTGTGATAAACGCAAGTTCCTTTATTAGTTAGTCCTTGTTTGTTTATATTTGCGAAATACTAATGCAGCCTTTTTGTTCCTGAATAGACTAGGAAATATCTTTAAAAAGAAACTATCAAGTTCTTCTTTATATGGTTACTTTAGGGGCACATATTATGATATATCAAAATCAATGTAAATAAGTCATGTTTGAACAGAGCCGTAGTCTGCAAGAATGAAGAAATCACTAATAGAATTTCCTTCCTTGTTCTAAGAAAACATTTAGACAAGAGGAGTTCCCAACAAATGGACTGTGACATTGGCGCAGAAGTGGAAAAGTGAACTGCCTAAAAAAGGACCAGCTGAATGAGGAACAGGGAGGAGGCAATATAGAGGTAAAAAAAAAAAAACAAAAAAAAAACAAAAAAAAAAAACAGAAACAAAAGAGTTTTTTGCAGTGGCAGTATTGCAGCCAATGAGGTTTATCTGAGGGGTGATTATTGCTCTTTGAAAATTGGAAAAAAAAAAAAAAAAAAGACATGACATTTGCATAAATTCTTTTTTTTTTTTTTGAGATGGAGTCTTGCTGTGTTGCCCAGACTGGAGTGCAGTGATGCGATCTCGGCTCACTGCAAGCTCCGCCTCCCGGGTTCACGCCATTCTCCCGCCTCAGCCTCCCGAGTAGCTGGGATTACAGGCGCCTGCCACCGCGCCTGGCTAATTTTTTTTTTGTATTTTTAGTAGAGACGGGGGTTTCACCATGTTAGCCAGGATGGTCTCGATCTCCTGACCTCGTGATCTGCCCGCCTCAGCCTCCCAAAGTGCTGGGATTACAGGCGTGGGCCACCGCGCCCGGCCACATAAATTCTTTATACTGAGAACAACTCTACTTTAAATCACCAAGTGCCTAGACTCACCGGAGAAACATTAAGGATGTCATAACTTATGTACCCATACTGGCTAAAGCTGCACTGTCATACCAAACAAAAACTTTGAATTCTTTAAATTTCTCTACAAAGTTTCAACAAGACAAACCTAAAAGTTCCTTCTCCAGAAAAAAGGGACCAATATTTTTATTCTTAAGTCACTAAGTGTGTGCTTTGAGTTAACCTGAAACCCTAGAGCATAAGCTCTGTGTCACTAGCAATGACATTTGAGTTGGTTCTTCATTTTGTTTCCCGCCACAGAAGGCCAACTCTGCAAGAACAGGTGTAGTTTCTTGAATGCCATAAGGTTAGGGTAGAAACAGCCTCTCCCATCCCCGACACAAAACCATAAAAGTCCTGTACCCAAAACAAGTTTTTAATTAATGTAATGATATGAATTTAAGTCCCGATGTCAAAACTTCAGGGTCCTTGGAAAATTGAGCTTCAAGTATCTAAGTAATATGTGATGTTCAAGTGAAATTAGAACCTAGGTCTGGAGCATGGAAGGTAATAATTCTTTTAGGGTGGAATTTCTCAACTTTTATAGACCTCTGTCTTACTGGTAAATTTGCAGGGGGTGGGTGGGGAACAGGAGAAACAGATGTTTCCCAATCTCCCTTGGAAATCTTTGCATTTGTATCTGGATCTGCATTTACACCTGCCTTATAAGAGAAACGTACACAAGCCTTGCTTCTTTCCCACTTTACAAATACATCTTCCTCTACCTTCATTCTTCAGGCCAAACATTGACAGAAATAAGACAATTCAAAATGTTCAGACACACCTAGCATACATTTATGATGCACTTCAGCCATCTAACAGATATCGAGTTTACTATGTGCCAGGTGAGTGGATTAAAAAAAAAAATTCTTCCAGGGACTCACAGATCAACAGCAGCTGCCAAGAGTACGCCTTGACCTGCATAACTCAATTAATTCAAACTCAAAGGAGTTACAGTGTAGGGGGAAAAGACCAGACCTCATCACTGACCACCTAGATTGTAACTAGTTTTCCTACTATCAAACCCTTTCCTTCCCCACTATCAAACCCTTTCCTTCCCCATCTGTCCTGCATTCAACTGCCAGATTCATTTCCAGAATTCCACTTTCAAGGAGTCTCTCTGCCCTACTCGAAAAGCTTCAAAGACTCCTCACTACGTATCACCTCTAGTTCAAACTCTTCAACTTGAGTCTTCTATGAGTAGCTCCACCTGATCAACTTTGTTTCTTGTTGGTACGGCTCCCTTCTGCCAAACCCTTTAGGAGGTGTAGAACCCAAATCTAATTCAACTACCTATTCTCTAATAACTCCTCAGGCAGCCTTCATTCCAAGCAGTCTTAAAAAATTGTTCCTTCTATCGTCACAGATCCATTAGTTTTCAGGACATTCTTTCTGAACTCAGCATAAGCTTTCCTCTTAACAAATGGCAGGTATATCCCAAGTTATTTTTAACACTACCATCCCAAACAGATGTTTATCTTCCCAGCCACCCCTGAGTGAAATCAGAGGGAGTCGCCTGCAGTTCGGGCAAGGGAATCCCAACATCGCATCTCGTGAGAGGAGGTATGGTGTGGTTGCAAACTATGGAGAGGAAAAATAAAGGAAACAGGAAAAGTGAAGGTCTGTGCTCCGTTCTTTCAGCTTTTTCTTTAGGAGGAGTAGGGAAGGTAGGGAGGAGACCCCCAAGAAATGAATTCTTGAGGAAGGGCAGAAAAAACACTCACAGTGCTTCCTAAGTAGGAAATAGGTGCTGGGGGCCCTGGATAAGGGAAGGGGCCGTCATCCTTAGGAGAAGGGTACAGGTTACAACGCGAAACAAAGAGGCTGGGAGTTGGAAGATGAAGGGTGGAGAGACTACAGAGATCCGGGCATCCGATCAAGAGGGTCCCCGACGCGTCCCGCAGGGGACTGGCGGATCACCGGAGATTCAGTGGCTAAGAGGGACGGCGTCGGTGCCTAGGAGGGCTCTGGGGCGAGCGTTTATGGGACATCGCTCCTAAGGGGGCGCGGGGGCGGGGAGGAGTTTTTGAGTGGGATCGTGTACCAAAAGGAGAAACGTTTCTCAGACCAGTGCTCTTCTTGAACGGAAATCCCGGGGACGCAGAAAACGTTAAACCGTTGAGGCACCGGCATTTCCCAGCCCCAGCCCGGCTTCCCTACACACTCACCGAGTCTCCTCCAAACGCCACTGCTCCAGCTGCAGCTACCGGCCGGCGCAGCCGCACTGAGCGCGCACCGTCCCCACGTGACTCGCCCAGGCCCCACCCCGCACCACGTGACCTGCAGGGCCCACCCACTCCCGCCTCATTGTAGTCGCCCTTCTCCACGTGGTCTTGGCTCGCCCCGCCCTTCCTTGTAAGATGGCGGCGCCCAGGTGGAGCGCGTCGGGCCCCTGGATCCGGGGAAACGGCCAAGGTTGCGGGAGTCTCTTCACTCTCGTCTCAAAGCCATTTTGTGCCGCTGCCGCTGCCTCTACGGCCATAAATGCCCAGAGATTAGCGGAGAAGCTCCGAGCCCAGAAACGGGAACAAGACACAAAGAAGGAGCCGGTGAGTCCAAAGGGACCAGAACTCCCTAGAGGCAGTGCGCTCATTGGTTTCCCAGACGGGGAGTAGGTAGGAGGGTCCTCTGAGTGAAAGCGTGTGAGTCAATAGCCCGGACGCAAGGTGGGAGAATGGGGAGAAGGCGGAGGGGAGGGGTCAGTAAGGGTACGGTGTTTTCCCGTGAGCTGGATCTTTGGCTACTGTCAGGCTCAGTCCTAACCACTGCGTCGGTACGCAGGTTAGACAGATGGGTATCTCTGCTCTCAAATTAGTCGAAGGCGGCGCGGGTCTGATGCAAAGATAGTCATTCCCTACTCAGATTCTCACCCAGACCTTTATGGAAGGTCTTCTCCACGGCTTCCGCACCAGGCATTCCCCACGGCTCCTTCTTTCTCCCTAGGTGTCCACAAACGCTGTTCAGCGGAGAGTGCAAGAAATAGTGCGGTTCACACGGCAGCTGCAGCGAGTCCACCCCAACGTGCTTGCTAAGGCACTGACCCGAGGAATTCTCCACCAGGACAAGAACCTTGTGGTCATCAATAAGCCCTACGGTCTCCCTGTGCATGGTAAGGACCACGCGGGAAAGGTGGAGGAACCTGCAGCTGCTTTCTGCTACAACCGAGGAAAACTGAGACGTTACTTGTGGTGCACTCTAAAGCCTTGCATTCAAATTAATTAAACTTTTGTAAACTACCGTCCAATATAAGGAACCACCGAGAACACAGAAATAAATAAATAAGACAGTCCTCCCTTTCTAAACATCTGACAGTAAGCAATTCGTAGAATACGCTGTGTGCAGACTACAGGGATCGCTGTAGAGATATACAAAGGCTGTGTGGTTCTAGACTAAAGGTTATCTTCCATCAGAACTGGGAATGAGAAAATGATACATAAGAAAAAAGGGGGTGTGTGTGTGTGTGTGTGTGTGTGTGTGTATGTATGTTGGAGTATATGTAACATACAACCCCAGAGTGACTGGAATTTAGTGGACCTTCAAATGTCTTTCAACAGATGTTGCATGTAGTTGTCAGGGACAGCTGAAGTGAATCAGGAAAGATTGATTTAAAAAATGCATTTGTGAAAGAGGGAAAAGGCCCATTTTAGCTAGAAGAAGGTAATGCTTTTTGGGGAGATACGGAGATAGTTGTTCACAAAGACAAGGAATTAAATCACATCACCAAGTGTTTGTATAATTTTTTTCTCTCTTTATTTTCGCAACAGTTTTTTGCCTTTCCATTCCCCAATGAAGTTGTTTTCCAGATATTTACATTTTATAACGAGAAAGCAAAGTTGGAAAGAGAAGTAATGTGTCCAAGGTCAAAAAAATGGCTAGTAAGAAGAGTAGAGTAGAACCCCAGGAATGTCTAACCCCGAAGTCTATCCTCCTAATCACTCTTATTTAATGCTTCTCGAAGGCCTCATGGTTTTTCAAAGTATGTCTGAGAGGAAGCCACATGCTCTAGAATGGTGTTTCTCAAACTTTAATATGCTTCTGAATCACTTGGGCAGCTTGTAAAATGCAGATTCTGACTGAGTAGTCTAGGTTGAGAGCCTGAGATTCACTTCTAATAAGCTCCCTAGACATGCCATTGTTGCTAGTCTCTGGACCACACTTCAGTAGTAAGGCTCTAGAAAATATTGACAGTTTATCCATTAAGGGCTTTTCTCCCAAGGAGAGTTCTTTGGCGAGATCTTTTCCTGGCCGCTCAAACCTTTGGCTTTTTCCTTCTTAGGTGGCCCTGGGGTCCAGCTCTGCATCACTGATGTACTACCTATCCTGGCAAAGATGCTTCATGGCCACAAGGCAGAGCCCTTGCATCTGTGCCACCGGCTGGACAAGGAAACCACAGGTGTAATGGTGTTGGCTTGGGACAAGGACATGGCACATCAAGTCCAAGAGTTGTTTAGAACCCGTCAGGTGGTGAAGAAGTACTGGTATGAGGCCTGCTGATGGCAGTAGAGGTGGTATAAGTGGAGGCATTTCTTTCACCTATTTATTCATTAAAAACAGAAACTCCCATTAATAGAAGGCACTGCACTATGACCTGCGAGATTGTAAAAAATATGTGAAACAGCTTTGGTGCTTAGAATATTAAGTCTGATAGAACAGTGGTTCTTAATTCTGGTATACATCAAAATTATCAAAAATTAATTATACAAGCATGGGGTGGACATGGTGGCTCACGCCTGTAATCACAGCACTTTGAGAGGCAGAGGTGGGAGGATCACTTTAGGCCAAGAGTCGGAGAACAGCCTGGGCAACATAGTGACACCTTTTCTCTATAAAAAGTAAGAAGTTAGTCCGGTATAGTGGCACATACCTGTAGTCCCAGCTACTTGGGAGGCCAGGGTGGGAGGATCACTTGAGCCCAGGAGTTTGAGGTTACAGTGAGCTATGATCACACCACTGCACTCCAGCCTGGGTGACAGAGTGAGATCCTGTCTCTAAAGAAAAAAAAATTAATTAATTATACAAGTAATATATGATTTTATTCCCATGCTAAAAATAGTCAAACAACAAAGATCATGTGAAAAACTCCTGGAGAATCCACCCATTCTGCCATTCTAGTGTTTTCTCTTGAGGTAACAACCCATGTAATCAGTTTGGTTTTTTTTCCTCTGGTTCTTACTCAACGCATTTACATATATGTCTAGTGTATACAGTATACGCGTGTGCGGCGTACGCAGTATACGCGTGTCCGGCATACGCAGAATATGCGTGTCTGGTGTACGCAGTATATGCGTGTCTGGTGTATGCAGTATATGCATGTGTACATATGTATGTACACATATATATCTATATATATATCACATTGTACAATTTACATTATACTTTTTTCCTCTGCTCACCTCTATGTCTTGGGGATCATCCTGTGTTAGCACATAGAGGTTTACCTCAGTGTTTTTCATAGAAAAAAGATGCGTGAGCAAAAAAGAAACCCTCTATTCCCCATCTGTGCAGTTGCCTTCCCCAGCGTCAATCGCTGTGACTGGTGTCTTCTGTAAACTTCCAGAGTTATCGAGCATATATAAGCATATTACTGTATGCTAGTGTATTTCACACAGAGTTTTGTACCCTACAGTTTTCACTTGGATCATATATCTTAGAGCATTTTGTGTCATACGTTTAGAGCTGTCTCCTTTTTAATTGCTCTGTGAAATACCGCTGTATGGATGGATATTTAGGTAATTTCTCATTTTTTAGAGCCTATTGCAAAGAATATGTGAATGTATTTTTAAGATAAATTTCTAAAAATTGAATCGCTGGGCTGAATGGTTTGTATATTTAAATTTTAATAGTACTCACATTGCTCTCCACAAAGGTTTTTTATCAGTTTACATTCCCACCAGCAGTGGTGAGTACCCACCTCCCCTTATCAGCCAAAGCATTTTTAAAGGGTTTGCCACTGTGATAAGTTAAAAAAAAAAAAGATATTTTCTATTTCCTTGTATAACAGTGATATTGGCTATCAATTTACATGTTTTTTACATGTTTATTGGCTATTTGAGTTTCCCTTTTGGGAACAGACTGATTATTTCTTTTGCCTATTTTTCTACAGGGTTGTTTATTATTATTATTTTTTTTTATTTAAGACCGTGCCTGGCCTTTTTTTTTTGAGATGGAGTCTTGCTGTGTCACCCAGGCTGGAGGGCAGTGGCACAATCTTGGCTCACTGCAACCTCCTCCCTGGTTCAAGTGGTTCTCATGTTTCAGCTAGCTGGAATTACAGGCACATGCCACCATGCCCAGCTAATTTTTGTATTTTTAGTAGAGATGGGGTTTCAGCCTGTTGGCCAGGCTGGTCTTGAACCCCTGACCTAAAGTGATCTGTCCATCAAAGTGCTAGGATTACAGCGCTTACAGCTCACAGGCGTGAGCCACTGTGTCTGGCCCAGGTTGTTTATTCTTTTCTATTTGATTTGTAAGTATTCATTTTATATTTTGAATGTTAGTCCTTTTTAGATTACAGATTTTGCAGATACTTTGTGAATCTGAGGAGCCCTTTAAAAATATGTATGATTGAGACTTACCCACAGAAGTTCTCATTCGTAAGTGTGGTGGTTGTGGGGATTGGCATCTGTATTTTAAAATTTGATATACAATCAAATTTAAGAACTATGATAAGATTATGGAGAATGGAGGAATTTAGGACAGTAGCTAAGACCTCAAAAAGATGTGTGTTCAACTCTCAACTGTGTCATTTAACAGCTGTGGGGCCTTGGGCAGGTTATTAAATGTCCATAAGCTTTGTTTTCTTCATCTGAAAAATGGAAACAGTAGGATTTATGAGATAGTTAAATAAGATTGATTCTTGTGAAATGTTTAACACAGTACCTAGTTCATAGGAAAAGTTAAAAAATAAAAAATAGAGACTTATTTTTCTATTCAAGCAATCAAAATATTAAGACTATAAAATACATGTTATGTTATTTGTGAAAAATGTCCATTAAGGTTCAAAATTGGTAACCATTCTCGGTATCAGGTTCATGGAGGAATTGAAATCAATCAGTTGGGTCTTGCTGATGGAACATTCTTGAGTTGTAGTGTCATATCATTAGGAAGGACATTCTTGTCACAGAAGATCTACAAAATCTGTAAAATACGATAAAATGTACCAGATAGTAGCTGAAACTGAAGTGGAGTGTCTGCGTTGTGAAATAGTGTGTGTGAGTAGGATTTTGACCCCGTGGTTAGTGATTATACAACCGACCACCAGGTACCCAGATGGACTTTTCCATCATTGACCTGAAAGAGGCATAAATTTACAGACAGATTAAACAGTCTTCTACCTGTCTGTGAGGTCATGAGGTCATGGGAGGGAGAACACCAACAGAAGTGATTTGGAATGAGTTATTGAGTTGTGGTTGTGGTACCTATGACTTCTTTCTTTCTTTTTTTAGACGGAGTCTTGCTGTGTCTCCCAGGCTGGAGTGCAGTGGCATAATCTTGGCCCACTGCAACCTCCACCTCCTGGATTCAAGCGATTCTCATGCCTCAGCCTCCCAAGTAGCTGGAATTACAGGCACGCGCCACCACGCCTGGCTGATTTTTTTTTTGTATTTTTAGTAGAGATGGGGTTTCACCATGTTGGCCAGGCTGGTCTTGAACTCCTGACCTGAAGTGATCCACCCGCCTTGGCCTCCCAAAGTATTGGGATTACATGTGTGAGCCACCACGCCTGTCCCCTGTGACTTCTTCGGGTACAGTTCCCTCCTGTTTTACCTATGTGGCAAATGAGCCAGGAACGGTTCTCTGAATGTTTTATTAGGTTCATTCATCCAATTATTCATTTGTTCATTTACCATGCAGTCAGAATCTACAATCTTTTATTATTTGAAAAAAAATACAAAACTATATTACCATAATTTTATTTTAACTGTACATATCCATTTTTAAAGACTGGAAAGACCATGTTATTAATGTAATTTTTTTCTTTTTTTACCCCAAATATTCTACAATTAGCATGTATGACTTTAGTAGTAAAAAAGATAAGCTTGTGAAATCTATCAGCTCTCAGGCTAAGCATTACACCAAGAGAATCTTGCACGATCCTTCAATCATAAGAAATCACATGTTAGTGCAGAAGGTCCAGCGTGAAATCCTCTAAGTGGCCAAATCTAGGAGTTCTTCTCTGGCTTGGTTGGCTAAAGCAGTGATCTGTGTCACCCCCAGGGCCATCACTGTGCATGTCCCCATGCCCTCAGCAGGAGTCGTGGACATCCCCATTGTGGAGAAGGAGGCGCAAGGCCAGCAGCAACACCACAAGGTGAGCGAGCAGCCTCCCTGAGGCATGGGTTGCTGCTCTTCCTTGGGAATCATATCTTGATTTCTTTGGCTTCAGATGACATTGTCCCCGAGCTACCGCATGGACGATGGGAAAATGGTGAAAGTGCGGCGCAGCCGGAATGCGCAAGTTGCTGTAACTCAGTACCAGGTGCTCAGCAGCACTCTCTCCTCCGCCCTCGTGGAGCTCCAGCCCATCACTGGTGAGAGTGTCACTTTTCCGCAGTGGGATCACAAAACCCTGTGCCACCAGGTTTTGTCCAGGGCCTCGTTCTGAGCAGCTAGTAGTGTGGCTGACTTGTGTGAGAATGTGCTTCTGGTGCTGATCTGAGGCCGGGGACTCCCAGAGAGATGGTTGTGGCTAGCAGAAGAATACAAACAGGTTGAATGCCTCTATTTAAAACTGTGTAGAGTGGTTCCTCAAAACGATTAAACAGAATTATTGTAAGATCCAGCAGTTCCACTTCTGGGTATATACCCCAAAAATCAAATATTTGCACACATATTCATAGCAGCGTTATTCACAGCAACAAAATGTGAAGATAATCCCAGTGACCATTGGGGGATGAATGGAGAAACAAAATGTAGCATACACATAAAATAGAATGTTATTTTCAGCTTTAAAAGAATTAAAGGAAGGGAAATTCTGACACATGCTACAATATGGATGCACCTTGAAAACATTATGCTAAGTAAAATAAGCCAGGCACAAAAGGGCAAATATTATATGATTCCACTCATGTGAGGTACCTAGAAGAGTCAGATGTATAGAGACAGAAAGTAGATGGTGGTTGCCAAAATCTTAGGGTAGGGTAAAGGAGGGGAGATAAATAGGGAATTGTTGTTTAATGGGTCCAGAGTTTCAGTTTGGGAAGCTGAGAAAGTTCTAGAGATGGATGGTGGTGGTGGTTGCAAAAACAGTGTGAATACACCTAATGTCACTGACTTGGCATTTAGTATAATGCCAGTGGTTAAACCAGGAAATTTTATGTATATGTTACTACAATTCAAATAATGTGCAAATCAATACTACTTATGTAGTAAAATTACTAAAAAGTTGGGGTAATGGTAGACGGCAAGTTCATGATAATGGTTATCTATGGTGGAAAGAGGGAATTGTGGTGGGGAGAGGTACTTAGAGTATTTACGGCGTTTACTTCCTAAACTGGCTGGTGCTACATAACTTATAGTTTGCTATATTATTCGTTATACTTTATTATAGTTGGGACTTGGCCAGTTTACTGCACTTTGATGTAACACGATTTGAAGCAGATGCCAATACTGGTATTGTTTCTGTAGCTCCTCACGAGTTTTCTCTCTTTCTCTCTCTCTCTCTTTTAAGGAATAAAACATCAGCTTCGAGTTCACTTGTCTTTTGGATTGGATTGTCCAATCCTTGGTGATCACAAGTACTCAGACTGGAATAGGTTGGCCCCCCAGGTAATACTAATTTGACCCAATGTGCAGCAGATACGGGAGAGAACTTAGGCGTTCCTTTTCTTAAAACTCTGAAATGAGTTACAACAAAGCCTACTGATTGTCTTCAGACATGATACCAAGCTCATTATCTTGATTTTAGAGAAATTTAGGAGCAGTTGGTTACTGTCCTTGTGGAACTGCAGGATCTGTTAGTGAAAAGCTTACTGTTACATTTGTTTATTCAGATTTTGTTGGGAGGCTGTGGACAAGGGGAGGGGTGTTTCTGAAGGCTGGGAGCAGCTTTTCATGGTGCTACTAAAAAACCGCAGGGAAAGCCTTTTCATCCTTATACCACAGCCCATTCTCTTGTTAGGCCAAAAAGCACTGGCCAAAAAGAATGTCTTGGTGTGGTCATTTTTCCCTTACCTGAGTTCTGAGCCGTTCTTAGACATGCCACTGAAGCAGACTCTCCATTACTGTGTCTTCCAGGGGGTTAGTTTTGGTTCCCTGTAAGTAGAAGTGCCCTGACCTTGCATGTTCGTCAAGGGTGGACTGTTGGCCTTGCTCTCAAGGGTCTGTCCTTTCTTTGTATAGAAGCTGTCTGTGGGCACCCTGAAGAAGCTGGGGCTAGAACAGTCGAAGGCCCGCTACATCCCCCTTCACCTGCACGCCCGGCAGCTGATCCTGCCTGCCCTGGGGTCCGGGAAGGAGGAACTCAACTTGGTCTGCAAACTTCCTCGCTTCTTTGTGCATTCCCTGCACCGCCTGCGTTTAGAGATGCCAAATGAGGATCAAAATGAGAACAATGAAGCCAAGTGTCTGGGAGCACAGTGAAGACCATGGGAGCACCCTGGCACCTGGGAGCACAGTGAAGACCCTGAGAGCATCCTGGCACCTGGGAGCGCAGGTTGGCCCCTGAACTGTTCTTTGTTTACAGGACTCTGCTAACTTCTCACTTGGAACAGACTGCGTAAGAGCCAGGTGGGATAAGGTAAAGCAACTCAGCTGCTACAGGGCTTTTAATGGAGAACAAAGTCTATTTACTGATAGTTTGGCTGCACTGTGGAAAAGCCTGCTGGAAGTCTCCCTGCCGTGGGCTCTCATTGCCAATATGGAACAGAGCCCAGGGCCAGGCAGACTGGGGCAGTGACTGGAAAAGGAAAACTAAAGGTCAGAATCCGGGATCAGGAACTGTTTTTATCCAGCAGTGAAGCTCTTGAGCTCTTAGGAAGGTTCCCGTGGTTGGAAAGAACATAATGGTTAACAAATATCACAGCATCCAGGGATTGCCCAGCTATAGTGTGGGTGCCCTACTGAACTCTGATTAGGGAACCTGTATAAGGGTATTGAGTGTGAGGTTGAGGTGGGACATTTGCTGAGCAAGGAGAACCGATGTGAATGGCAGGCAGATAACATGCACACATGAAGCTGGCTGGGTGTAAGGCAGTAGCGGGGAGCGGCATGCTGTCTAACAGCTGTTAGCTCCAGCTGGTTGTTGCCATGTGGGAATGGATTTTCTCATTTCTTCAGAGAAGCTGGAAACCTAGATATTTATGTGAAACCTCCCAGTGTATTGCCAACTAAATCAAATTTTTAAAGATGCTTAGGCACCTAAGCAAATAATACTTAGAGGTTGAATTTGGTCTACAGGCTAGCAGTTTGCAGTCTATGTTTAATGAATGGTATAGAAGTTTGGGGAAAGGTGCCATCTTGAAAATTCTGGATCAGTGGTTGGCATTTTCGCTGCGTGTAGTATGTATCCTTTCTAGGCTTGGAGATGGCTTTGGTTGGTCCGTGAATGTAGTTATGAGAGTGCTGCCATTAAAAAATCAAAAATCTCTGTTGTGGAAGCGTATCTTCTGTTCTTAGGTCTCAGGAAGGAGAGGGCTATACTGAACACCATTAGGGATAGATGGAAATGACCTTGGCCTCCCTGCTCAGCTGGTCCATCTAGTTTCCACCTTGTTTCTTGCAAACAAATACACCTCACACTACTTTTTCTTTCTGACAGAGTTGGAGTGACAGCACAGTTAGGGGGGTACACCCCGGGACAGTCTTTATATGTTCCCTCTGTATAGATGATGCCACTTTCTAGCCCTTTCCCTGTCTCCATGGTACCCATTACTGTGCATAATAAATTTAACTTTGAAAGCACAGACGAGATGACTATATTTGTTTATATAAGACCTAAATATTTTTGCTGTTATTTCTGTTTCTAGTAAACCATGCTAGTCAAGAAAAAGGAACAAGAATGTGACACTTAGGAAATAGTGATAATTGACATTAATTCAGGGAAACAGATGAACAGGAATACCCACAAGAATGGAGAAGAGGCTGGGCGCGGTGGCTCACACCTATAATCCCAGCACTCTGAGAGGCCGAAAAGGCCGAGGCGGGCGGATCACCTCAGCCCAGGAATTCGAGACCAGCCTGGGCAACGTGGTGAAACCCTGTTGCTACAAAAAATACAAAAATTAGCTGGGTGTGTTGGCACACGCACACCTGTGGTCCCAGCTACTCAGGAGGCTGAGCTAGGAGGATCACCTGAGCCCAGGAGGTTGAGACTGTAGTGAGCCATGATTGTGCCACTGCACTCCAGCCTCGTGACAGAGTGAGACCCTGTCTCACAAAAAGGAGAACAATCTTAGAGGAACAGATGATGGAAATAAAAGAACTGGAAAATGTAGAAAAGTAGGAGCTAGTCAGGATACATTTTGGAGAAGTAACAGATGATTTATATTCTCATATATAAATATGGTCTCCTCCAAGATGTAAATCTAGTCTTTAATTTGGCAAACTGAATATTTACTAGGCTGAAGGTATCTGGGGATATTCACTCATCTCAGGGAGCTCTCTTTAGCTGGGAAAATTCAGTTAGCTGTGTGGTTTACTGACAAGTAAGTGTGAGGCGGGACTGTTGTTCCCCAGGCGGGCACGTTGGAGCTAGACTGAGAACCAGCTGTGTCGTTCTGTCTGCCCGGCTTTGTCACAAATGCTGCCCTACTGTTCTTCGTGATTCTTTAGCACTTCAGTGCTGGGTTTTGTGTTGGTTGCTGAACTGGGAGCTACCAAGCTAGTGACAGTTGACTTTTTGAGAATTCCTAAGCTTCCCTGGGATATGGGGTCACCACATTGGAGACTGGGGCAGATGTCTGCCCTGCTGCACCTTCCCAGACCCTTCTCAAGCCGAGGTCAGCGGCTCTGTGCCCCGCAAAAGGACTGTCTTCTTTAGTGTCGACTGACTCATGGGGGTGCTTAAGGACCAGGACAACAACCTCATATAACCTAGTTGATCTGCAGCTTTTAAGGGTGCAGGGAATGTGATTATAGCTAGGCAGAGTAAGCTGAAATGCTCTTGTATGTTGATTCGTTAGCCATAAAAGTATGATTTTTTAAAAATGTGTTTGCGTTTTAAATAACTTTTATTTGTAAATATGGAATGGCCTTTTAAAAATTAATAGAACATTTAAGCACACCATAAGAAATATCAAATATTAGGTCATGTCATCTGCTTGTAATTAGTTACCATCTGGGCTTGAGAGGGACCTGGTTTAAGAAGCGTGGTAGACTGGGCATGGTGGCTCATGCCTGTAATCCCAGCACTTTGGGAGGCCAAGGCGGGAGGATCGCTTGAGCCCAGGAGTTCTGAGATCAGCCTAGGCAACTTGCCGAAACTCTGTCTCTACAAAAAAGTACAAAAATTAGCCAGGCATGATGGCACCCCTGTAGTCCCAGCTACATGGGAGGCTGAGGCAGGAGAATCACTTGAGCCCAGGAGGTTGAGGCTGCAGTGAGCCATGCTGGCGCCACTGCACTTCAGCCTGGGTGTCAGAGAGAGACTCTGTCTCAATACAAATTAAAAAACAAAACAAAACAGTAAAGCAGTGTGACAGATTTGTCTGGAGTCAGATCCAGTGTTGGGGGTCCCAGGGTGCTATGGTCTGGGAACAGATGCTGCTCCGGATGTGCAGGGAGGACAAGGTGTGGGAATCTGCTCGTCACGTCAGGCCGTTTAGCCCAGGACACTGGCCACAGAGGTGGGACCCAGCCTCTCTGAAATGGGAGTCGGGCAGGGGTGGGGCCCCCGCTGGTTTCTAAACCTTGTTAAATGCAGATCTGTTGAGGGTTAGGGCTTCAATATATGAATTTTGAGCGGGGAAGGGAAGTGGACACAATTCAGTCCCTAACACTAATTATTATTTTGATATTTTCCCCCAACTATTTAACAACGTAAAGCCCATTCTTAACTCACAGGTCATACAAAAACTTATGGCAGGCCACATTCAGCCCACGGGCTATAGTGTGACTGCTTATATTTCTTGTAAACGATGCTTCTCGAGATAAAGGGACGGGAATGTGACACTTAGGAAGTGTTGATCTTTGACTTTAATTCAGGGAGACAGATGAAGAGGACCCCTGGTCTTGTGGGTGTTTGACGAAATCCCAGTTACCCAGGAAGGCACCACAAAGGGACCAGGCACTAGCCCACATGCCACAGGTGTCAGCTGGGAAGACGGGGAGCAGCTTGAAGAAACCGCGTAGCATCCCACACTGCTGCCGTAGTTGGGCAGGCAAGGGTGAAGGATGATGAAGTTCTTCCTTTTCTGTGTTTTCTTAGGCCTAAAGAAAGGATTAACATTTCTCTGATTCTTAGTGGGATCTGGACTGCCTGAGCAGCAGGTCTTGCTAGGTACAGTGGCTATCTTTTTTTTTTTTTTTTTTTTTTTTTTGAGACAGAATTTCACTCTTGTTGCCCAGGCTGGAGTGCAATGGCGTGATCTCCACTCCCCACAACCTCTGCCTCCCGAGTTTAAGCGATTCTCCTGCCTCAGCCTCCCGAGTAGCTGGGATTACAGGCATGTGCCACCATGCCCGGCTAATTTTGTATTTTTAGTAGAGATGGGGTTTCTCCATGTTGGTCAGGCTGGTCTCAAACTCACAACCTCAGGTGATCCACCTGCCTCAGCCTCCTAAAGTGCTGGGATTACAGGCATGAGCCGCCGTGCCTGGCCCAGTGGCTATCTTTAATTACTGACAATAATATAAGAGGAATTTTACCCCAGGTTAGTGTGGCCTGAGAAATGGGTTACACAGCAAAGGAGGTTGGAATGTGCCTAAAATGAACTGCATCTATTTTGAAATACTGATTAGAGCCAGCTAAAAGATATGATTTAGTGTTAAGTCATATACAGTAATTAGTATAAGAAAATGGGCTTCTTAAATTTCTATTTTTATCAAAGTTCTATGTGCACATGATTTAAAAAATCAAGAACTATTCTGCTCAAATGACTCTGGTTAAAAAAAGAATAAGAAAAAATCAAAATGAAAAATCAAGAACTAAAGGCTTGCCATGAAAAGCAGCAGCTCCTTGCCCACGTAGGGATTTTGTTTGCTGTGAGCTCTGGGAGGTGCTTGTGCTCAGCAGAGGGGGGAGGCCGGCTCTCCCAGTGCCCCTTCTGGTGGCAGCACTGGCTCTTCTGCTCCAGGAGGCAGCTTTTGGGTAGCTGGTTTTTTTCTGTGCTAGGCATGCCCAACCTAATAAGCCCACAGAGCACTTTCTCAATCCTCGTATCACACGTCTTTGCATTTGATAACCGAATTGCCCACTCTGAGCTCCTCACTCGCTTTGATTCCATGAACTCCTCCTGCATCTCCTTGTCTGACCTCCTTCCAGGCTCCTTGAAGGGCCCCAGCATGGTGCCCCCCAGAGCTCCATCTTGGCATCCTGCCCCTCTCCCAGAGGGAGAGCTGGGCCAACTTGGGAAGCCTCTACCTGTGTGCTGACGACTCGCTAGTCTGTCTCTGACCTTGATCTCCCCCTTGAGCTCCTTATCTTCACATCCATCTGCCTGTGATCGTCTCCCCTTGGGAGCTCCCTCTCCGGGCCTGTTGCTCCTGTCCTCTTACCTGCCTTAGTTTAGATGGCATCACCAGAGACCTGGGAATCACCCTTAACTCCTCCCTCGCACCAGTCCCCAAATCCAATTAGCCACTAATTCTTTGCCAGTTCCATCTAAAACCCTTCTCTTAAAATGCACTTCCCTCTTTAATTCTAATATCTCCTGAGCACCAATTTCACCGTCCCCACCCTTCAGCTATGATGGGATAGGTCTGGGAGGTGGAAGGGCATAGTGGGTTAGAAATAGGATCATAGGCAACCTGCTAGTTCCCACCAGAAACCAAACTCACAACGGGGTGTTGAGACCATCCCCAGGTTCCTGGGGATAGAGCAGTGTGGGAGGGGGTACCTGTTTTAAACAAGACAGGCAAATAGAGCAGCCTCCCACCATGTTTTCTAGGTCTGCTCTCCTTGGCTCTCTGGACTGCTTTTAGCCAGAGTGCCTGGTAGGATATACAAAAACATGGCCTCCTGCTTGTGCTTGTGCAAAGCATGCCATGTGGGTGCAGACAGCTTCTCCCAGTGCGGAGCAAAATCTGCTGGCTCAGGGCAATGTAATTCAAACACCAGCTACCCAGCGTTAGGCCAGATGTCACAAGTTAATGGCACATTCCACAGGACTTGCCTCACTTCAGACACCAGCTGCAAGCTCTGGGGTTTTCCAGCCACCTGTACTTCTGACCAACTAGCTATGAATTCAAGAGTGTTCACAAACCCCTCAGGTTTGATCATTCACTAGAATGACTCCCAGAACTCAGCAAAGCACTAGCTATGCTTACTATTATGGTTTTGCTGTAGCAATAAAATGATATGAATCAGGACCAGCTAAAAGAAGAGATGCATGGGCAAGGTCTGGGAGAGTCTCCAGCATGAAGCTACCGTGTCCTCTGCCCACCGTGTCACCCTCCCAACACATGGATGTGCATCACCAGCCAGGAATGTCACCCAAGCCCTGGTGTCCAGAGTTTTTATTGGGGTTTCATTATGTTGTCGTGGTTGAACAATTGGCTACATTGTTGAACTCGGTTCTGCTGGGTTCAAAGTGCCAACCCTCTAATCACATGGTCGGTCTTTTTGCATGGCCAGCCTGAAACTACCCATCCTGAAACTAAAGCCCCACCGTGAGTCCTCACATTTAATAGCGTAAACTATTAGGGCTCATCATGAATAACAAAAAATGTTAACATCACTTGGGAAATTCCAAGGATTTAGGTTCTCTCTCCCAGGAACCAAGGACGAAAGCAAGGCAAATTATTATAGAACTCTGAGTTTTCCTCTCCATCCCCCACTCCCTTAGGCGTCTCTTGATGTCCTCTCTTAGGGATCCCTTCATCTTGCTGTCCCCCAGCGAGTGACCAGCCTAGGTGGCTGTCTGCATAGATGCCCCTGTTGGTTGTGGCCTTAGGATCCTTTCAGGCAAGAAGCCTTGAGATATTTCTGTTCACTTCCCTCCTGGCACCTGCTGTGGAACACTGTCATCTGCTGCCATCCTTGCAGTGGGAAAGGGATTTTAATCAGGGGTGATTATACAGATGGGTGAAGTTCTTCTTTCCCAGGTATTTTCTTTTTTTTTCTTTTTTTTTTTTTTTGAGACGAAGTTTTGCTGTTGTCCCCAGGCTGGAGTGTGATGGCGTGATCTCAGCTCACTGCAACCTGCGCTCCCTGGGTTCAAGTGATTCTCCTGCTTCAGCCTCCCGAGTAGCTGGGATTACACGTGCCTGCCACCACACCTGGCTAATTTTTTGTATTTTTAGTAGAGACAGGGTTTCACCATGTTGGCCAGGCTGGTCTCAAATTCCTGACCTCAGGTGATCCGCCCGCCTCGGCCTTCCAAAGTGCTGGGATTACAGACGTGAGCCACTGTGCCCGGCCTTTCCCAGGTATTTTCACATGCTGTGAGGGCACGGCCATGGTGACTTGTACTTAGTCAGATACACCCCGAAGGCTCAGCTGGCCCCTGCCTTCTCACCACCGTCAAATCTGTCCACACACATGCCCCTACCTCCTAGATGTATCTGCATCCCGAACCCCTGCATTGTTCATATGATTTCTCAAGGACTAACCACCCTCCACACCTATTGGGCTGTTTGCCTACTCCTGGCTCACTCCATCAGACCTTCAGCAGAGGACTGCAGAATGCTTTGTCAGGAAACAGGAGTGTGGAGACCAGTGAGGCGGCTGACACGGTCCTCTATGCAACATGTGACGGTGGCTTCCACTAAGCTGTCACTCCCCATTCCCACTCCCAGCCGTAGACAACTGCTAATCTATTTTCTGGAAATAGAAGGATTCTCATTTCCCTATAGATTTGCCTATTTTAGATGTTTCATACAAACAGAATGATAGAGTATGTGCTCCTTTGCCACTGGCTTCTTTGAGTTAGTGTCATGTGTCCAAGGTTCCTTCACAATGTAACATATGTCACTCTTTCACTTCTTTTTTTGTTGTTTTTGTTTTGAGACAGAGTCTCGCTCTGTGGCCCAGGCTGGAGTGCAGTGGCGTAATCTTGGTTCATTGCAACCTCCGCCTCCTGGGTTCAAGCGATTCTCGTGTCTCAGCTTCAAAAGTAGCTGGGATTACAGGCGTGTGCCACTATGCCCGGGTAATTTTTGTATTTTTAGTATAGACAGGGTTTTGCCACGTTGACCAGGCTGCTCTTGAATTCCAGGCCTCAAGTGATCCACCCACCTCGGCCTCCCAAAGTGCTGGGATTACAGGTGTGAGCCACAGCACCTGGCCAGTATTTTACTTCTTTATATTGCTGAATAATATTTCATTGTATTGATATACCAAATTTTGTTTATCGATTCATCAGTTGGTGGCTGTTTCCACTTTTTGACAATTGTGAATCACGCTGCTTTGAACATTCATGTATAAGCTTTTATGTGGATGTGTATTTTAACTTCTTGGGTACCTAACTAGGAGTGGAATTGCTGGGTCGTATGGCAACTCTGTTTCTAGAGCTGCCAGACTGTTTTCCAAAGGGGTTGCACCATTTTACATTCCCAGCAACAATGTATGAGGGGTCCAGTTTCTCACCAGCACTTGTTATTACCTATCTTTCTGATTACAGCCATCCTAGTGGATGTGAAGTGGTTTCTCACCGTGGTTTTGATTTGCATTTCACTAGTGGCTAATGATACTGAGCATCTTTTCATGTGTTTGGTGACTATACATCCTAAAGAAATATCTATGCAAATCTTTTGCCCATTTTTAAATTCAGTTATTTGCTTTTATTATTAATTTGTAGGAGTTCTTTATATATCCTGGATTCCACTTTTTTGTTTGTTTGAGACAGAGTTTCGCTCTTGTTGCCTGGGCTAGAGTGCAGTGGCGTGATCTCGGCTCACTGCAACCACCGCCTCCTGGGTTCAAGTGATTCTCCTGCCTCAGCCTCCCCAGTAGCTGGGTTTACAGGCATGCACCACCATGTTCAGCCAATTTTTGTATTTTTAGTAGAGATGGGGTTTCGCCATGCAGGCTGGTCTCAAACTCCTGACTTCAAGTGATCCGCCTGCTTTGGCCTCCCAAAGTGCTGAGATTACAGGCATGAGCCACTGCGCCCGGCCTGGATACCACTGTCTTATTAGAGGTATTGTCTGCAAATATTTTTTCCCTTTGTGTTGTCTTTTCACTTTCTTGATTATATTATTTGTAATAGGAAAGTTGTCGATTTTGATGTCCAATTTTTCCTTTTGTCGCTTGTGCTTTTGGTGTCATATCTAAGAAACCATCACCTAATACAAAGTCTTGGAGATTTCCTTCTGTTTTTTTTGTCTAAGAGTTTTCTAGATTTAGGTCTATAATCTTAAATCATTTCTGTGTGTGGTATAACGATGGTGTCCAATTTTGACTGGGTAGCCAGCCGTCCTAGCACCATTTGTTGAAGTCTGTTCTTTCCCAAGTGTAATTTTTTTGTAAGTTGTGATTTTTGATGGTTACACTGGGTCAAATATAGACAATTTCATAGGGTAAAATGTAGTTTTATTACTGTATTAATATGAACGCAGTAAAATGCATTTTCTAATGTTGCCACCGGATGGCAGCAGTACTCCAGCTTTTATCCCTCTCCAGGCTAAGCTGCTACAAAAAATGGGAACATGATTTAATCAAGTATGAAGTATCCCGCACAAGAGCCTTACCATCTTTTTCTAACCCCCTGATAACCCTCACCGTGGCTACTCCAGCGTTGTAAATCTCGGCCCCCTACTTTTTTAGCTAGCCTGACGCTGGGTTTTCTGTTCTCTCGTGTAGGGTGGAGTAGTAGGAGGTCATGTTTTGGGCTCTTTGAGTGAAGTTGAAATAGAATTTGATCCCTACACACTCAGTGAGAAGAGTGTTACATGTTCATTATAAAAATGTAGAAAATATAGTCAAGCTGTCCTCAACTACCCAAAAGCCTAATAGGAACAGGCATTTACCCACTACGTGAGTTCAGTGTAGCTAAACGTCAAGCATTCTTAGCTCTTTGCTGATTTAATTTTGGTTTAAGGTAGTAATAAGTTGCTATCTCTGCTGATCAGATGCACTAATTGATAGTTATGTACAATTTTCACTAAGCACAATCAGGTAAATGGATTATTTCCCTGCATTATTTACTAAATAGTGGAGAGAAAGTAAGAGAGTGACAGCTTGGATGCCTCTTCTACAATGATGTGTCTTCGACACGTAAGTGTGTGAGTGCCAGCCCCGGCTGTTCCCTTCATCCTCTGCTGTTCTTGGGTGACGAACTTCCCCAGGGCAGGCCTCACTCCTGCCATTCCTGCAGGATCCTCTGCCGCTCCCACGGCCTGTCTGACATGGACTGAGGGGTCCTCAGACCCCTTAGGTCTCTGCACATCTCACCTGCTGCGCCTGTGGGCCTCTGAACCCCAGCATCAGAGCTACCCGAGCACCCTCTTTCCCCAAGGCAAGCTAACCAGACTGTCCCAGGGAGCAGTGAGGGGGACCGAGAAGTGGGCAGCCAAGACAGCCTCCCATGCAGGGAGCCCACCGAGGCCCAGCTCCGACCTGGAGCCGCGTCCTCTTTCAGCAGGCTGGGAGCGATTACCATCTGTCCATCAGCAGCTTCAAGGAGCCAGTGATGACCTGGGCCATTCAGGGAGCCAGCCTGGGGGAAGGGGTTCCCGCTTTGATGTGCTCAGCGAGGTCAGAGAGCAAGCAGGGGGGAGGCCCACGGGGAGAGCGGCTGGCACTGTCTCCTCTCCCATCCAGGTTTCCGGGAAGACGCCAGCTTGTCCTCATCACCTCTTTCATCTCTCCGTTCTCTGGGGCTGGTTCTTGTCCTCTCGGGCCTCCCTGCCGCCCAGGTGGACAGCCTTGGGCCCCTCATCCCAGACCTCCAGCCTGTGTTCCGAGGAGCTTGTGGTGGCCAGACCCATCCACCCACTTTCTCTGTAGTTGGCTTTAAGGGGCATGTGGTCATCACTTCATGCATGCAACACCACTCTGAGGGTCAAGCGAGAATCTCCCCCTTGGAATCAGGGGCTCCCCATGCTGGAAGGGGACTCAGGCTGTGGGCATCACCCCCATGGTGGGATGCTCCAACTCCGTTGCTAACAGACAGCTGCCAAGCCTGGTCTCACTCACTCACAGCTGCCAGGGACTCACTGGCCACTGAAGGTGCCACCTTCATGGGAAAGAAGACAGAGGAAAAGAGAGGGTGGGAGCTGGAAGGTGGCAGGAGGACAGGGAGGGAGCGAGCCACTGTGCCCTGGGCTCTGTGCGGTCCTCCGAGCCTCTGTCTCACACCAGGGCCTCCTTCAAGCCGTGTCTGAAAGGCTGCCAGCCCGTCCTGGCCCTGCCGGGGAGTCTGGCCTTTTTCCTGCCTAAAGTTACAGAATTTTCCAGAAGTATCCTTGGGTTTATTTTCTGGAGTTATAAGCCAGATTTCCCTTGTCACCCTACTTCTCCAGCCTAGGAAAGAAAATTCCACGAGAGAAGGCAAGCAAGAGGCTTAGAGGGCCTGTGATCACAGCTGAGACTCACTCTTCCTTTCCCTACTCCCACACGGACCCCCGAAAGCCAACACTCGTGGTAATTTCTGCATTCGACTTTTGTGGCCTATGTGGAGCCTGTTAGGTTTAAAAGCTCCCAATAATAGCCTTGTGAGGGATATACTATTCTTCCTTGTTTTTATTTCCATTTTACAGATGATAAACATGAAGCCCAGAGTGGTCCACTGATTTCCCGAGGCCACATCTGTACACAGCAGAACTAGGTTTTGACCCATCCGTCTAACTTGGGAGCCCCACTCTTAACCTGTGTTTCTCCAGTGAACCAGGTGCTGAGAGACCAAAAGAGAAGTCCCGATTCTCCTCTCTCCAGCCTTCCCAGATCCCAGCCAGGGATGAGCGAGTGTACACTTGGAGCAGGAAGGCAGGTCTCCTAATGGAAAGACAAGGCAACTGGGTTCTTTTTAAATTCTGCCGCTAGCTAGCTGTGTCACCATCTTTCCAGACCTCAGTTTCCTCACCTGTAAAATGGGCAGTTGAGACAAAGTTGATGATCTCAGTCTCTAGATAAGACAATCTCTGAGATCCTTTCTAGTTTCAAGACCCTGAGTCTGGTTATGCCAAGATTACTTATTCGGGAGAAGACACAACATCCCTAATCCCTTACTGGAACCCACAAATTCAGCATCTCAGAGAAGGGCAGTGTAGAAACTCAATGTTAAGATCCAGTTTAGAATCCAGACTGTACTTGGAAGTGAAACCTCCCAGAAGGGACCTGGACATCGGGCCTTTTACTATCCTGCCCGGGGCCTTCCCGTCCTTTCT
Source organism: Homo sapiens (assembly GCF_000001405.40). Lineage (NCBI taxonomy): Eukaryota > Metazoa > Chordata > Mammalia > Primates > Hominidae > Homo > Homo sapiens. Next base: position 126,191,573 of record NC_000011.10, on the reverse strand, counting down.
GGGGCCTGGCATCCTGCACGGTGCCTGGGCTGGGAAGGACGGGCCTGGCATCCCAGGCAGTGACTGGTCACACTGCAGCTTGCCATAACAAAATATCACAGTTTGCTGGGGCTACCGTAACGAAATATCACAGCCTGGGTGGCTTAGACAATAGAAATTCATTTGCTCATGGTTCTGGAGGCTGGAAGTCCAAGATCCAGGTGTTGGCAGGCTTGGTTTCTCTGGAGGCCTCTCTGTTGCTGATGGCTGCCTTCTCTGTGTGCGCTCACACAGCTTCTCCTCGGTGTGGGCCTGTGATCTGATTGCCTCTTCTTACAGGGACACTGGTCAGAGTGGGTGAGGGCACGTCCTCGAGGCTCCATTTCAATGGACTCACCCCCTTAAAGGCTTATCTCCAAGGGTCGTCACATTCTGAGGTACTGGGGTTGAGTCTTCAACACAGGAATTTGGGAGAGACAGTCAGCCCATAGCACACACCAGCCACTGCTGGGGAAGGTGGTCACAGCAGCAGAGGCTGGCTTCTATCGGACACTTGCCGCGAGCCAGGCACGGTGCTGGGGCTGTGCCGTGTGAGCTCATTGAATCCCGCAGTGCTTCCACGAAGGAGATATTTCAGAGATGAGGAAATCAGCTTGGGCAGACTGCCTGAGGGCATGCACCTGGAAAGCCAGGAAACAGGCCTGGACGCACGGACTTACCCACGGTACTATGTTGCTGCCCGATTAGATTTCTAGCACTTTCTCTAGAGGAGGAGGGTCATGCGGTTACGCTCTTTGGGGCCATTAGTCTGTTTTTCTAGAGTCCTAATGGGAATGAAGAACAGCCCTAACTCTGCTATTCTGACTGCAGTTTGGGGGAGAACTAGGAAAGGAAAAGCAGAAAAAGGGGGTCAGTTCCTCCACACTGCATATGGAGAAGGGCATTCCAAGCTGAATTAGTGGCTTTGACTCCGGAGAGGGCAGGCCATGCCCAAGTGGTTGTTAGAACCTCAGGAGCACATGTGAGGAGCCCCCAGGCTAGCTTAGGAGATGGCCTTGGAAATGGGAGGGGGCACAGTTGTTTCCCAAACTGGGCGGGACTTGGGGAACCCCCATCTGGGATTGTCCACCATGGATGTGAAGACCAAGGGCTCAGGGAGTGAAGGTCATGGCAGATACCCCCAGCCAAGGTGGCTGGCCTGGGAGTGGGAAGATGCCAGGAGAACACAGCATGGCCAGCAGCTCCCTGGGGCTGTCTGACAGCTCCTGAAGGGCCTCGGGTTCCACACGGAGTGTGGGGTGGTTTGAAGGTGTTGGCATGAAGCCAGTGCTCCTTGGTTCCTGGTGTGGGGGCCAGAAGCTCAGAATACTGGGGCTAAGGGAACCCCCTACATCTGACATCAATTCTTTTCCCTGTCCCCAAATGGGGGCTGGAGTGGGGAAGGGTTGAGGTTGTCATGTCCAAAGCTCTTTCCTTCTCATCCTCCTAAGCACCCAGCATCACTCATCCCTGGACAATTTAGCTGCCATCAGCACCTGCTGTTTGATGCAGAAAGAGGGGAAGGGGAGGTCAGAGGAGGGAGGAGAGCAGAGGGGACACCAGAGGCTTTGTTCCCAGGTGCCCACCTCCTAGGGAGGGAGGGGTGGGGGTCAGTGGCAGCCCCATGCCCTATCTGGCAGGCAATCCTGTGTCTGAGTTTGGGAATTAAGCTGTCCTCGCCTCTCCAGCATGAATGAGGCCTGGGGGACTGTGACAAGAGCTGTCAGTGCTGGTATCCTGTGCCAGTAATCGCTCAAAAGGCCAGGCAGCTCAGGACGCCTGGGAAAGATGGGATGGAGAGGGCAGGGTCCAGGGCCTGCTGGGGAGGGGCCAGACAGGAACACAGACACCTTTGTGTGCACCTGATCAGTGCCAGCCACTGGCTGCTTCCTGTCGGAGGGGCTTTGTCCCTGTCCTGTCTCCCATGCCTGGACTTTAGGCAACTCTGGGCCTAGGGCCACATCCAACCACACTGTGTTCTGTCCCCAGCGCTTGCTCGGGGCCAGGCTCCGAGCTTCCCCTGAAAGCTTGTCCTGGAGGGGATCGAACTTCAAGGCGAGGCAGGTGACGGTGAATGTCTTGACGGCCCTCAGCAGATGGGGCTTTTACTGAGGTTGAGTTTCTTTCTGGCAAGAAGTTTTGGGGACCAGGGTTCTAGGCCGTGGGCCCCAGCCCAGCTCATTCCAAAACCATTAGGCCAGGTAACCGCAGCAGCACAGTGGGGCCAGGTGACAGCTGGAGCAGCTGCAGACAGCCTCAGTCCCCAGCGTGCTGACATGTTAGAAGTACACGTCACTATCTCAGCAGTCAGCCGCCACATCTGGAACTGCTCTCGGCCTCCTCTAATTGCCTCATTATTTTCCGAGGAAAAGCGCCCCCGTCCCCAGCTCTCCGTTGCTGTCCCTTCCCTCTGGCCTGTCCCGAAATCCACCTGAATGAGCCCCAGACCAGGGTTTGGGATTCTATGGGGGAGGGGAGGGCATCTCTCCAACTTGCAGGCCCTAGAAAAGAGAGAAACCACACATGGACCTGGCTTTGTCCCTGGTGCCCGGAACGCAGGGTCCTTGAAGAATTCAGGTGGATCCCTTGGAACACGCAAGACTCTGACCCCTCTTCCTGTCAGCAAGTGTCTGTCGTGCACAACATTGTCTGAAACTAGGGAGAGGGCAAGGAAGCAGAAGATACAGTTTCTGCACACAGTGCACCTGCCATCTAGGTGGAAAGACAAAAAGGAAGTGGAGAACCAGTCAGGCGAGGTGTGGCTTATAATCCTGACCGCATCTCATTTGTCCACCCATCACCTAGGGGCCCGGGCTGTGTGTTGGCCGTAGTGGGTGTCGAGATGCAGCTGTAGCCCTGTCCTGGAGCACCTGACATGTTTCAGAGAGATTGCAGGAGAGGCACCCAGGCATCCGGAGATCACTAGCAAAATGCCGATGCAGCCTGGGTGGGGAGGGGGCCTTCCTGGGGACCTGAGAGCTTTCAGGAGGAGAGAAGGGAGGGGCATTCCAGAGGAAGGAGTGCTGTGGTTTCTAGATGTGTCTGCAAGCAGTGTGGTGTGTTACTGCAGTGTAGAGCTTGTGGCAGGGAGCGACATGGCTGGAGAAGTAGCAAACTTGGGGAGCTTGGATCCTGACCCATAGGGGAGGGGAGCACGAGACGGCAGAGGTCAGAAAGCCCAGGGAGGGGGAGGTAGGTAGCACAGAGCTGTTGCGGAGTCAGGGCCGTGGCACACCTGGAGGCCTGCGCCGTCCTGATAATCCTCTCAGCCGGTGACTAAAGGAGCCCTCCAAGCAGCAGACAAGTTACCCCTCAACATCAAGACACCCAGAAACTCCCCGGCTTCAGCTCTCCCTGGGTCTCAGGTCACCACTTAGCCCAGCTGTGTCCGGTGCAGACCTGGAAGGAGTGTGGGAGGATCTGTTTGGCTGGTGGGTCTTAGGGTCCTTCTTTTTTTTTTTTCTTGAGATGGAGTCTCGCTCTGTCACCAGGCTGGGGTGCAGTGATGTGATCTCAGCTCACTGCAGTCTCCACCTCCCGGGTTCAAGCAATTCTCCTGCCTCAGCCTCCCGAGTAGCTGGGACTACAGGTGCGTACCACCACGCCTGACTAATTTTTGTATTTTTAGTGGAGACGGGGTTTCACCATGTTGGTCAGGATGGTCTCAATCTCCTGACCTCGTGATCTGCCCACCTCAGCCTCCCAAAGTGCTGGGATTACAAGTGTGAGCCACCCTGCCACCCTACCCAGCCCTTAGGGTCCTTCTTGTACTTGTTGGGGGCTCCTTGTTCCTGGAAGCCCACGGTCTCCCCCACCTGCCCAAGGTGGGCCCTGGGTGGGCCACTCTCAGGCCCAGCGACCCGGCTGGCCTGTCCTGGGAGTCTTTGCAGCCGGAACCTCAGAAAGGATGGGGAAAGCTTGGAGCTGCATGTAGGGTTCCAGCTGGAAAAATTGGAGGGGAAGGCACACTCCATCCTGCCCCCAGCATCAACTGAGGCCAAGAATTCTCCTAACAGGGCCTGGCTCCAAAAGATGACAGGCCGCCCATCATCTGCCGGCCTCTGTTGTGGTCCCTGGCACAGTCTCTGTCCCTGTCTGACTCTCAGTGTTTATACATATTCATCCCTCTGTGCCCCAGCATGTGGTCCCTGGTTAGTGCCTTCCCCTTCTGTTAAGATTGCACTCTCGTCCCCTCGCACCTGCCTCGCTCCCTGCCTCTCATTTTCTGTCTCTTATTTTCTCTCTCCAGTCTCTCCTTCTGTGTTAATGTCCCTTCTCTCCTCTGGGTGGCAGCTTCGGCGCCATCCTCTCTTCAGCCTCCTTTTCACTGGGGAGAGCCCCTCTTAGGGGAGGCCCAGCAGCGGCCCCATGATGCAGGGGTGCTGATGAGGGTGCCTGAGCCCCCACAAGACCTGTGTGGGAGGGCAAGGAGGGATGGGCAGAGGCGAGGAGAGGGTGGTGAGAGCTACGGGCAGGGCCTTGGTCAGGGAAGTGAGGAACCTCCTTCACCTCACCCAGTCCCAGCCCGGGACGCCCTTCACAGAGACGGAGGCAGGAATGGCGCTCTTTTCTCTGGCTTCCTGCAGCTGGGGCTCTGTGGGGCCGTAGTGGACTTCAGCCTCGGACGGTCTCCACCAGCTCCTCTCTCAAACAAACAAACTGAGCCTGCTCTGCAAATGTTTGATGACCGGTCCCCTCTATACCTCCCTTGCAGCCTCCCCAGGCCCCTGCTGTATAGAAATGCTGGAGCCTCCACCACTCAGAGATGGGCACCAGCGCTGCGCTGAGTCCAAGAGGGGCGAGGCAGGCCTCTCCTGTTGCAGGGGAGTGGGGTGTACGTGGGACCCTGGGGAATGATCCTAAGGTGACAAAGTTGGGACCCTTCAGTAGCTCATAAACTGGCGTGAAGACTAAAATGAAATGGTAGGGGCGACTCCAGTCATGGGCCCCTGGGCTTAAGGCACCTCAGCACTTCATGATCCCTCAGCCGGAGCCCGGAAGCCTTCCTTGGGGGAGGTCCAGCAGGCGTCCAGCTGTCCACTCCCTGGCCTCGCCTGGCTCCCTTCCCTTGCTGGACACGCACCGAGTCACCAGGCCTGCTTCTCCCCAGGCTTCAGATGTGCAGGCGCGCCCCTTCCACTCGAGGCCTGGTGAGCGGCTTCTCTCTGCTCCATCTGGCCCCTGGGCCTGGCTGGCTAAAGCCCCTGCTTCAGGTCCAGGCTTACAGGTTCCCATCTCCCCAGGAGCCACCTGTAAACCCTGCTGAGGACCTCAGGTCCTTCTGTGTGGTCTAACAGCCCCCATGCCTGCCAGCCTCCATGCTGTCATCATAATTGAAGTTAACTCTGTTTAATGTTTTTTTTTAAGACAGGGTCTCCTCGTGTCACCCAGGCTGGAATGCAGTGGCACAGTCATGGTCCACTGCAGCCTCAACCTCCTGGGCTCAAGCTGCCCTGCCTCCTCAGCCTTTGAAGTAGCTGGGACTACAGGCGTGAGCCACTGTGCCTGGGCAGAGTTAACTCTGTGTGACGTTGTGTCTCCATTGCCCTCTGTGGGTTCAGGAACACCAACCGCACAGCTGCAATGTTCCAGTCGTTAGCTAGGCTCTTTCGTGTGGCCTGCTCCATTTAATCACCTCGGTAACCCCTTCATAGAGGAGGAAACAGAGGCTAGGAGAGGTGAAAAGTCAGCCGGGGGCGCACAGCAATCGCTGCCTTTTCTCCTCCCCAGGACTCTGAAGGGATCAGCACTGCTTTCCAAGTCCAAGTTGTGCTGCAGCAACTTCACAAAATGCCACTTTTATGCATTTATAAACACCAAGTTTAACAAACACGTGTTGAGTGCATTCCATACATTAGGCACTAGGCAAGTCTGGGGTATGGGTGGGCGTGTCCAGCAGGTCACCTGCCCATCTCTGGACCACTCGATCTCCAACCCAGCCTCTCTGTGCCGGCCAGGGCTGAGCGGGAGGGACCGGGTGTGGGGATGCGTGCGGTGGGCTGGGGGTGAGGGTGGGGTAGGGGTGGAGGGGGACCGGGTTTAATGAGGTGACTGCCACTTGTAAATGAAACAGAAGGCGGAGCTGCTTGTGTGAACCTTGACCTCTCCTGTCCAGCGTGCCTTTCATCGGGAGCTTTATGAGCAGCCGCTGTGCTCCGACGGGACCCACCGCAGCCTGGGGGAAGGCAGGGCTGGTCCCAGAGTGGAGAGGAGGCCGCCTGGGGGAGGGGTGCAGGCCTGGCTTCCACAGAGCCCTGCGCCTCTGTCCCTCTGTCGTCTCTCCCAGGAGTTTTGGAAAATAAATGGGTGGGCTGGATTTGAGAGGCGCTGCTTAGCACTGTGGATCGCACACTTGGAGACCTCTGAGAATGCACATTTCCAGGCCCATCCCTGCCGCTTCCGGTTCAGTCGGTTTGGTTTCGGGCTCGAAAATTTGTAATTCTAAAAAGCTCTCACAGTGATTCTTAAAACCAGTCAATTTTAGGAGCCACAGTCTTGCAACACAAGGTCATGCCAACTCCAACAGAATCTTCAGCTGGGATTTGAAACCCCAGTGCTCAGGGGTAATCGTCACCCCGTTTACTGAGTGTCCCCACGTACTGGACACTTATCTTGCAGCCGTTACCCATCGGACCCTCCAAATAATTCTGCAAGGTGGATGGGATTGTCTACAATTCACACATGAGCCGGAGATTAAATAACTCAACCAAGGGGATCACTTCTCCGCCTTTTGGCTAAGATCAAGTGTAACTCAACCAAGGAGAAACAGAACTGAGATTCGAAAATGGTTCATCTCACTCCAAAAGTTCTCATGTCAAGCAGATACTCTTTATGACGCTTACATAAAGGTGGCCGTTCACACGGAGATATCCAGAAACCCAGAAACTGCAGGAACCCAGAAATCACTGTCTTATTTTATTCTAAGTGCAGCCCCTGGAGCCAGCTTTGGACATCAAGATTAAAGACAGCCCTGCAGGGCAGAGGCACCTGGATGGCTTGTTCTCAGTTTCATCCCCAGTGTCCAGCACAGGCCTGGTACATAGGAAATGCTTGGGACATGCTTGTCAAATGGGTAGTAAATACTGACCAAAAGAACAAAATAAAAGGGCCCTGGATACAAAGCCTCAGGCGGCCCCTTCTTCATTGTACACCTCTGCATCCAGCAGAAGAGTTTTCCTTTCTCTTGTGAGCAGAGGAAGTGGGCTTGGCTGGAAGGAGTACAGTTCTGGGGAAGGGCCCTGGGTGTGACCTACGAGAAGAGCAGCTCCTGGAATGGAAGGGGATGCCCTTTCCCCCTGCCCGGCCGACCTCTTGCTGCATCCACGGGCGTGCATTTCAGTGGGGCCGGCCCTCTCAGTCCTACTCTTCCGGAGAGGGTGCTCTCAGGAGCTGCCCACACCTGGGGGCCCAGGCTCTGCGGTGCCCTCGGCCCCATGCAACGTGATAGCAGCCTCAGCTTCATTTTGCCAGTGCCTCATTCATCCAAAAATTATCTATCAAGCCTGGCAAGGTAACCATTGAATTGCATGCTTTAAATGTGTGAATTGTATGGTACTGTGAATTCTCAAGAAAGTTATTAAAAAGAGAAAGGAAGAACCTTATTTTCTAGGCTAGAGATTCTTAGGGCCCTTGAACCCACTGAAGCTCTCACCTGTAAGGCTCACACCTGTAATTCCAGGTGTGACACCGAGGCAGGTGGATTGCTTGAGCCCAAGAGTTTGATACCAGCCTGGGCCACGTAGTGAGACCTCATCTTTCCTATTAAAAAAAATTAGCTGGGTGTGATGGCATGCACCTGTAGTTCCAGCTACTTGGGAGGCTGAGATGGGAGGATCACTTGAACCTACGAGTTTAAGACTTCAGTGAGCCCAGATTATGCTGCTGCACTCCAGCCTGGACAACAGAGTGAGGCCCTGTCACAAAAAAAAAAAAAAAAAAAAAAGGAAAAATTATTGAAAAGAATGAACTAGGCTGGATGCGGTGGCTCACACCTGTAATCCTAGTACTTGGGGAGGCCGAGGCAGGCAGATTACCTGAAGTCAGGAGTTCGAGACCAGCCTGACCAACATGGTGAAACCCCATCTCTACTAAAAATACAAAAATTAGTTGGGCATGGTGGCAGGCAGTTGTTATCCCAGCTACCTGGGAGACTGAGGCAGGATAATCGCTGGAACCCAGGAGGTGGAGGCTGCACTCTAACCTGGGTGACAGAGCAAGACTCCATCTCACAAAAAAAAAAAAAAAAAAGATTTAGTGAGCACCTCCTCTGCCAGGCACTAGCTATGTAAAGAAGAAAAGATGTGGTTTGTGCGTGGTTTGTGATCTTAAGGAGCAGAGCGGCTTGGGCACTGAAGGAGGTGGGAGGGAATGAAACGTTAAGGGGTTGGGATTTTTCACCCGGGGAGGAAAAGGCTGAGGGTGGCAAGGGCTACAGAGGAATGTCACCTTTGCCTTACATCGAATTGTAGAGGGGAGAGGCCCAGACCCCCTGCACTGAGGATGGGCGAGATGGAAGAGGAGGCATCTTATCCATGCTCAATGGAGGGCCACCAGACCCGTGAGAGGTGGCAATGCCCTTTCCTGCTGAGGTATGAACAGAACAGAATGAAACCTGTCTGCTGAGGAAGGTGGATGTGAAGCCTTCCTGCAGTCTGGACCACGGCTTCAGAGACCGCTGGAGTGCTGCTCACCCCAGGAGGCGTGACAATTCTATCTTTAGGTAAGGGGTTAATGAAATTTACAGTATCTTACAAACCAGGATACTTTTGAGAATGAAATTTGGCACTCAATAATCACACCAGGGCTGAGCGCAGTGGCTCATGCCTGTAATCCCAGCACTTTAGGAGGCCGAGGTGGGAGGATCACTGGCATCCAGGAATTAGAGATCATTCTGGGCAACACAGTGAGACTCTATCTCTACAAAAAACAAAAAAAAAACTAGCCAGTTGTGACGTGCACCTGTAGTCCCTGCTACTCAGGAGGCTAAGGTGGGAGGATTGCTTGAGCCCAGGAGGCTGAGGCTGCAGTGAGCCATGATCACCACTGTGCTCAGCCTGGGCAACAGAATGAGACCCTGTCTCAAAAACAAGACAAAACAAAACAAAAACCACACTGGAACATCGGGTTTAAACCAAGGCTGTCCCCGCAGGTAGGTAGCAGTATGGTCATTCTACCTTTGAGTTACTCCAGCATTGGAGTTGAGGGCAGTAGGAGCCAGGGATCTGTGTTCCAGTTAATGCCTGGAGCAAGTGGCAAAAGCAGCAAGTGGAGCCACTGCCAGCCTCTCGGGAGGCCTGGAGGGACAGCCTGGGAGGGGGCAATCGGGGAGGGACAGCCTGGGAGGGGGCAATCGGGGAAGGAAGAGGGTCACAGAAGGGAAGGGTCTGAGAATAGCTTGAGCCAGTGGCTCCAGGCTGTGGTCAGAGTGGCTGGCCCCCGAGGTGAGCTGCGGCTAACCCAACTCCACACCACTGAGTGAATATTAAACCGGCACACAGGAAATGGACTCTGGGCGCCCCTCCCCTCCATACCCCGACTTCCCCAGGGGAGGTGCAAAAGGGAAGCCGTGAGGAGGCTCTCCCAAACCTGAAGCCCCAACTCCAGCTCATTCTGAGGACAGGGATTCTTTTTTGTGGCTTGGAGCCTTTGGAGAATCTCAGGAAAGCCGCAGGCCTTCTTAGAAAATGCACAAGTGCTCTCACAATTCTAGTTTGTAATTCAGTGGGTTCATGGGCCCTGAGTTAAGAATCTGTAGCTTAGAAAATGAGGTTCTCCCTTTCTCTCTTTTTAAAATAACTTTATTGGGAATTCACAATACCATATAATTTACACATTTAAAGTATGCAATTCCATGGTTTTTAATATATTCACAGAATTGTGCAACCATCACCACAGTAAATTTTAGAATATTTTCACCACCCCCAGAAGAAACCCTGCACCCCTTAGCCAACGCCTCTAATCCCCTGCCCCCCAATTCTCTCCAGCCCTAGGAGACCATTAATCTACTTTTTATCTCTAAAGACTGGCCGATTCTGGACATTTCATCTAAATGGAACCGTACAGTAAGTGGTCCTTTGTGTCTGCCTTCTTTCACTTAGCATAACGTCTTGAAGGTTAATGTTGTAGCATGGATTAGTACTTCACTTTTTTCTTTGCTTGCTTTCTTTCTTTTTTTTTTTTAAAGAGACTGGGTCTTGCTCTGTCACCCAGGCTGGAGTGCAGTGGCACGATCATAGCTCACTACAGCCTTGAACTCCCGGGCTCAAGCCTCAGCCTCTCCAGTAGCTGGACTTACAGGAGTGTGCCACTATGCCTAATTGTTTGGGTTTAAAAGTTTTTTTTGTAGAGGCAGAGTCTCGCTATGTTCCCCAAGCTGGAGTTGAACTTCTGGCCTCAAGCGATCCTCCTGCCTCCCAAAGTGAGCAATCCTCAAGTGATCCTCCCAAGGTGCTGGCAGGAGTGAGCCACCGTGCCCAGCTCTTCATTTCTAATACTGAATAATATTCCGTATAATGAATATGCCAAATTTTGTTTGTTCATTCTTTAGTTGCTGAATGCTTGAATTGTTTCTACTTTTTGCTTTTATGAATAATGCTGCTTTGAACATTGATGTACAAGTTTTGTGTATATATGTTTTCATTTCTCTTAGGTGTATGTCTGGGAGTGGAATTGCTGGGTCATATGGAAACTTCGTGTCTGGTCTTTGAGAAACTGCCAGATTGTTTTCCATACAGGCTGTACCATTTTATATTTCTGCCAGCAATGTCTGAGGTTCCAGTTTCTCCATGTCCTCACCAACACTTGTTAGTGTTATTATTTTTTCATTCTAGACATCCTAGTGGGTGAGAAGTCATATATCACTGTGGGATTTTTTTGTTTGTTTGTTTGAGACAGAGTGTCGCTCTGTCGCCAGGCTGGAGTGCAGTGGTGCGATCTTGGCTCACTGCAACCTCTGCCTCCCGGGCTCAAGCAATTCTCCTGCCTCAGCCTCCCAAGTAGCTGGGACTACAGGTGTGTGCCACCACACCCAGCTAATTTTTGTATTTTTAATAGAGACAGGATTTCACCATGTTGGCCAGGATGGTCTTATCGCTTTGACCTGGTGATCCGCCTGCCTCAGCCTCCCAAAGTGCTGGGATTACAGGCATGAGCCACTGCACCCGGCCCTCACTGTGGTTTTGATTTGACTTTTCATGATTGCCAGTGATGTTGACCATCTTTTCATGTGCTTATTGGTCACTTGTATATCCTCCTTGGAGAAATGTCTATTCAAATCCTTTGCTCATCTTTAAATTGGATCATTTGTCTTTTAATTATCGAATTGTTTAAGTGTTCTTTATATACAAGTCCTTTATCAGATATATGATTTGCAAAAATGTCATCCCAGTCTGTGGACAAGTTGTGTTGTCACTTTCTTGATGGTGTTCTTGGAAGCACAGAGGTTTTACATTTTGATGATGTTCAGTTTATCTGTTTTTCCTTTTGTTGCTTGTGCTTTCAATGTCATAGATAAGGAAATGTTGTTTAACCAAGATCACAAAGATGTATGTGACTACGAAGCCTTAGCTGAACTTGGCCTCCGTGGTAGCCTCTGGGTCATATTGGCTAGCTGGGACTGGCGGCAGCTAGCCAATATGGTGTCTTCAGGTGAATTCCCAAAGGGCCCCCTCCCTCCAGTGTAGCCCTGAGCTGCATTCACCCCTCAACTGATGCCTTTGTGCAGGCACAACCTGCACATTAGGGGTTGCCTAGAGGACAGAGGGACACAGGCTTTCAAACTTCCCAAGGTATTGGGCTCCTGAACCTGTGAATTTCATTTGCAACAGGCTGTAGGAGCCACTTAAAAGAGGAGAGAGATGATGTGTGAATACATGATTAGCTTCATCCACAAGCCGTAACACTTACCAGGGAAATATATGATGAACAGTGATTTGGAAAACTTCACAATTTTATTGGTGGTGACAAACAGGGATACACAAGAAACTCTCCTCTGCATGGCCTGTGTATTTGAAGTTTCAAATAGTGAATATGGAGCACAACATCATATTTACAGGCTTTTAAGGGGCTGAACATGGCTATTTATACAGAGAGATATCTGTACATAACATACACACGTATGTACACATACATACACACACTCTCTCTCCATTATCGAATGTCATTCTCACCACACTGGGTGGTGCCTTGGCCTGAGGTCACTCTGATTTTTCTAAATCTTATATGAGTGATGTCTTTTTTTTTTTTGAGACAAGGTCTCACTCTGTCGCCCAGGCTGGAGTGCAATGGTGCAATCTCAGCTCACTGCAGCCTTGACCTCCCAGACTCAGGTGATCCTTCCACCTCAGTTTCCCAAGTAGCTGAGACTACAGGTATGTGCCACCACATCTAGCTAGTTTTCTGTATTTTTGTAGACAGAAGGTTTCACCATGTTGCCCAGGCTGGTCTCGAACTCATGGGTTCAAGTAATCTGCCCGCCTTGGCCTCCCAAAGTGCTAGGATTACAGGCGTGAGCCACCGCGCCCAGCCTGGTGAAGTCATTTTTTCATGTATTTGTACTATTATCGCAGCTGTGATGCTCTGCAGTTGTAAAAAGAGAAATCGAGTTGTTGCTCTGTGTTCTTCAGATCTGCTGCCTACAACTCCTTAGGAAAGGTGAATCTTAACGACCCAAGTCTCTCTCTGCAGAATCCTGTTTCTAAATGTGGTAGAAAATATTGAGACAGAACATTTGCCATGGGACATTTACAGCCTTTATACAAATGTATTTAGTTCTCTTTTTCCAACATAACATTCTTGTTTTAAGATACAAGTAAAATTAATCTTTAAATATAAATGTAAATTAGTAGACAAAAATGGCTGGACATGGTAGCTCACACCTGTAATCCCAGCACTTTGAGAGGCCAAGGGAGGAGGATCACTTGAGCTCAGGAGTTTGAGATTAGCCTGGACAACATAGGGAGACCCCATTTCTGCAAAAAATTAGTCAGGCATGGTGGCATGTGCCAGTAGTCCCGGCTACTTGGGAGGCTGAGGTGGGAGGATTGCTTGAGTCCAGGAGGTTGAGGCTGCAGTGAGCCATGACTGCACTACCATCCTTTAACCTGGGCAACAGAGTGCCACCCTGACTCAAAAAAGAAAAATGTTAGTACACAAAACAAAGAATCTTTAGAATTATCTTTGTGACTAATTAGGGTGGAAGTTATGAAAGAATGTAATTCAGTAAATTATTTTTTAAATGAAAGCTTCCTTTCTTTTTGAAACCAAATGTTAAACTATAGCCTTCAGAAATGCTTAGTAGGCCAGACACGGTGGCTCGCACCTGTCATCCCAGCACTTAGGGAGGCCGAAGCAGGAGGATCGCTTGAGCCCGGAAGTTCAAGACCTGCCTGGGCAACAAAGGGAGACCCCATCTCTACAAAAAATTAAAAAATTACCGGGGTGTGGTGGCATGTGCCTGTAGTCTCAGCTACTCGGGAGGCTGAGGCGGGAGGATCACTTGAGCACAAGAGGTAGATGATTTCTCACAGTTAAAACCAATCTCCTAACCCATTAAACTCCTGAATGGGTATTACAAAGACAGAAAACTTTGCCCCCTCTCCTTAACAGATATAGTATATTTAAAAATAAAAATTGTGTTTTAAAAAGAGGAGGAGAGGGAGAGTGCTTTACAGCTTTGTCATTGAAGCTGCCTGAGGAGGGGGAGCTCAGAGGAGGCAAAGAACAAGGACATCTCTGAAGGACACATTGAATTCCGATTATGCCTGGAGTTCCCTACCTCTACCCCACTGGACAATTCCATATCTCAACACTACAGTGGATATAGGTGGGGCTGATTCCTGGCTAGGGGATGGCAGGGTGGGTCTTTCCTGAAAAAGGCATATAGTGACTTGGCAGGGGAGTGAAGGGTGGGCTGATCATCCCTTCCCCAATTTATATCATAACCCTCAAATGGTGACCAGGTCCTTTCCTTTCTTTTGAGAACACACACGGCCAGCACACAATCACCACTACACACCCTGCCACCGGTTCCCTCTTCTGACACTATTCTCCCAGGCTGTCAGCGTGTGCAGTGTGGCATCATCTCATCCTGAGATGCCGCTCCTCTGGTTCTAACCTGCAGGACACATAACCTTTTGGATGAAAGCTGGTCTGGCTGGGACACTTGTCCCTGCGTTGCTTTCCAGGGCTGATTCTGCTCAAGGCTCAGTGGGTGGCCTCTTTCTGCCTCCTCTCTGGCAGGCAGCCTCTAAGATGACTCCCAATGGTCCCCATCTCCTTGTATCCACAGCCTGTGTAGTCCCTGCCCCTCGAGTGTGGGTGGGACTTGTGACCTAACTTCTAACAAATGCAATACGACAAAGATGATAGGCTGTCACATTTCTGCTTGTGTGACATAAGATTGTGACTTCCCTCTTGCTAGCAGGCCCTCTCTGTTGCCCTTGAGCTTTGCACACTTTCACAAAGCAGGTGGTCATATCGGAGAGGCCCACATGGCAAGGAACAGAGGGCTGCTGCTGTCTGACCGACCTCAAGGAACTGAGTCCCACCATCAGTTCTCTGTAGAAGTGAATCCTCCTCCATTTGAACCTCAGATGAGACTCCGGTCCTGGCCAGCAACTTGATCACAGCCTTATGAGAAATCCTGAACCAGAGGACCCTAACAAAGCTGTATCTAAATTCGTGACTCAGAGAACCCATGAGATTATAAGCGTATGCTGCTTTAAACTTCTGTGTTTGCTGGGCACGGTGTCTCATGCCTGTAATCCCAGCACTTTGGGAGGCCGAGGGGCGCTGATCACCTGAGGTCAGGAGTTCAAGATCAGCCTGGCCAACAAGGCAAAACCCCGTCTCTACTAAAAATACAGAATTAGCCGGGCATGGTGGCGCACGCCTGTAATTCCAGCTACTCAGGAGGCTGAGATGGGAGAATCGCTTGAACCTGGGAGGTGGAGGTTGCAGTGAGCCAAGATCACGCCATTGCACTCCAGCCTGGGCAACAAGAGTGAAACTCTGTCTCAAAAACAAAACAACAGAAAAAACTTTTGTGTTTGTAGTAAGTGGTTACATGATGGATAACCGATACGTCTCTCATGTTAATCCTGTGTCCCTCTGTCAAAAAGGATGTCCTTCCCAGGTAATAGTGCATGCTCCCAGATGCTAGTAGCTGTCGTGGCTGTCAGTTATCTTCTGCAGAATTATGCTTTGCGGAGTTATCCTCTGTCCACCTTGGCCTAAGATTGGGGCTGATGAAGGAGTGCCAGGCGCCATCAAGGGCATCTGTTATCCACACTTTAGGACAGGTTCTCTGGCAGTAGGGCTGGAGGAGATGCTGTACTGCCTTCTCAGTCTGAACTTTCCATCAGTTTTCACCTCGCCCTGGAGCCTGAGGGAAACTCCAGAATGGTTTTGAAGAGACTTCTCACTGATGTCTGTGGGCCTTTTACTGTCTTCGGAAGAAGCGGTCCTGTTGGATTCGAGATCTCAGTTGTTGGGCTATAAGATTCTCATCATATTGGTAAACTTTTCCATTTCCTTCCTCAGAAATTAGAATTAGATGGAAGACACGTGGGGAGTCCAGAAGCCCAACAATCTCATTGCATAGGCAACAAAACCAAGGCCCAGAAAGGTGAACAGACACCCCAGGTCTCATGGTTGACTGCGCAGCTGGGCTGGAACCCAGAGCCCTTTCCATATCGCTCCCATGCCTCTCTGCCTATTGAATGGGCAATTTCTGACCACGGGAGCCAGGGCATGTTATGGCAATTTCTGACCACGGCAGCCAGGGACTTCCCACACTCCGGGGGTGAAGCGCAGCTGAGAACAAGCATGGGAGTGCCCGGGCTAGCGGCCCATCTTCCTGCCTTCCCTCGAGGCCCTAAGAGCGGGGAGTTCATCAGCGGCACGAGGCATCTTGTTCATATTTTCTCGGCTGGGAGGTCCTGGCAATGTCTTCATTTCCTGCACGGGAATGAGTTTTTAATCTCTGAGCTCAGCTTCACTTTGGATGGAGTGGGGGTTGGGAGCAGGAAAACCGAATCTGAAAATGTACAGCCCCTTCTTCCTGTCGTGGGTCCCTCTGACGGGCTGGCAGCGTCCAGCAGCTGAGAACTAGGGGTCCTGTCCATGCAGGCTCTGGGCAGTGATCCAAGAGGCCAGAAGAGTGGAGATGGAGCAGGGCCACTCCTTGGAGGCCCTGTCAGCACAGCCTTGGGCTCACAGTAAATGGGGCAGGGGGTAGAGGGTGGTCTTTCTTCTTTCATTTAGAACAAGCTGGAGGTGAAAATCATTTCTGCCCACCCTCCTCCCCCGGGGTGGAGCTCATTTCACCTTGTATCTTCTAGGAAGTCTCCTGACCCCCAAGGCTGGATTAGGTGCATCTCCTGGGCAGGTGGCGGGGGGCGGGGTGACATAGCACTATGTACTGCCCATCCATCCCTAGCCCTGTCAGCCGGGTTGCCATCGCTTGCTGGCATGTCCCTGACCCCACTGGCCAGACTCTGATGGGAGGCATCCTGGAAGAAAATGGGAAGGGGGTATTGGTCAGAGGGAGAAGCCAGTCCCACTGTGGTTGGAACTGAGGCCTCATCTGGTCCCACAAGGGGCCCTGGAGCTGGGGTGACTCTTTGGAGTTGACCCAGACTGTAGCAAGGAGGCCAGGCCTTTCTTTCCCTGCATTAGGCTGTGCCCTGGAAGCCACCGGCAGCTGACAGTCCGAGTAGCTGGCAGACGGGTCTGCCTCCTGAGGAAGGAACCTGGGATGAACACCTGGAAGAGACTTTCTGATTGCTATGGTAACAGATAGCATGCTACCTAACACTTAATAGGCATCCCATGAATATTTGAATATATAAATGAAAGATGGCATTTTGAGGGCCTTTTCTTCTCTGGGCTAAAAATGCCAGATCTTTCAGACTTTCTCCATGAACATGATTTTCAGTGCTTGCATCACCCTGGCTCCTGTCTGCTTTGAGAATAATCATGCCCTGCACGACACTTTGGTCCATGATGGACAACATGTACAACCGGGGGCCGAATAAGATTATAAGGAGATGAAAAATTCCCTCACATAGTGACATCGCAGCCACCATAACGTTGTATTACAACACATTGCTCACGTGTTTGTGGTGATGCTGGTGTACACAAACCTGCTGCGCTGCCGGTCCTGTGGAAGTTCAGAACATACAACTATGCACAGTACACAATATTGATCATGATGATAAATGACTATTACTGGTGTATGTATTTACCATACTATACTTTTTTACCATTTTAGAATGCTCTTCTACTTATTTTTTAAAAAATCAACTGTGAAACAGCCTCAGGCAGGGCCTTCAGGAGGTCCCCAGAAGCAGCCATTGTTATCACTGGGAGACGACAGCTCCATGGTCATTATTGCCCCTGAAGAGCTTCCAGTGGGACAAGATGTGGGGGTGGAAGACGGTGATACTGATGGTTCTCACCCTGTGTAGGCCAAGGTCTTAGCTTTTAACAAAAATATTTAAAAAGTAAAAAGCAAGTAACAATGCTTTAAAAATAGAGAAAACATCCTGCTACTCGTTGTCTTCTTCTTCTTTATTTATTCTTTTTGAGACAGAATTTTGCTCTTGTCGCTTAAGCTGGAGTATTGTGGCATGATCTCAGCTTACTGCAACCTCTGCCTCTCAGGTTCAAGCAATTCTCCGGCCTCAGCCTCCCAAGGAGCTGGGATTTACAGGCATGTACCACCACTCCCAGATTTTTTTTTTTTTTTTTTTTTGTATTTTTAGTAGACACGGGGTTTCGCCATGTTGACGGGGCTGGTCTCGAACTCCTGACCTCAGGTGATCCACCCACCTTGGCCTCTCAAAGTGCTGGGATTATAGGTGTGTGCCACCACGCCTGGCCCTACTCATCTTCTTATGTCATCTCTCCCCACCCCTCACCTCACCTTACCTCCACACCCTGGCTTGGGCTTTGCTTGATGTTCACATGAACTAGTTTTCACCATGAACAAATGTTAATGGACAGGGAGGACCTGCAGTGTTGAGGTTGGCACCCCCTCGGCACCGCCTGCCCGTGGCAATGCCCCGCGCCTTCCTGTTGCTTTGGGATAACAGGTGCTTTGTTTCGTGCCTCAGGCCAGGCTGCGTGGTCTGGCTGTGACTCTGAGGTATTTTCTGTCTGTCACCGCAAGTCAGTGTTTGAAAGGTTTTAAAAATGACACTGAAACCACAGCCATTCACCAATGACTTTGAAGGTGAGAATGGATCTTGGGGACACGAGGCCTGTCACTGCATTGGGAATGAGGGTGTCCTGGGAGTGATCACCTAAACTCTGCTTCTCCACATGGGTTGATCCCTCCCTTTCCCCTCAAGCCACACGGTCTGAATTCTCCCAACTAGAAGGGAGCAAAAGGAGCCAGCTGCTGACTGACATGCTCACAGAACGTTAAGACCCCTAGCAGGGACCTTACATGTGTGTTGTGTTCAGAGTCAACTAATGTTGACCCGTTGCCGTGTGCTGGACGTGGGATTGAATGTTGTCTCATTTTTGGTTACAACTCTCTGAGATAGAGCAAGGGTCATTTTCCCATCTCGCCAATGAGAAAACTGAAGTCCAGCCAGGAAGGTTGTGTGGCTTTGCCAGTGGCAAATCCTGGACCAGCCTCTTGGCCTGTGGATCTTTGCTCAGTCCTGTGCTCTGTCTGCTACGTGGCTCCTGGCCCCAGGAAGGCAATCCCGACTGCCCACAACTTCGGGGCCACTGGGAGTAGAATGTCCTGCGTAACCCGGATGAGATATGGAAGGGGGCAGGAGAGCCATGGGCACATGACAGATCTGAGGAGCTGGCGGTTTCCTTCCTCTACCACGTGAAAATTTTCCAAATATGGAGAGCCATCTGTTGATGATGTGAGAATTGAGCAACTTCCACTCTCATCATTAGCCTGGCAGCTTTGGAAAGTGAGTCCAGAAAGAGCCCCTGTGGATCATAAAGAAAATTTAAGCCGTATGTTTCTCATTCATTTACTCTTAAGTCATCAAAATGTTGGTTTTAAAGAGGCTTTTGATGTCCCACTCGCTTTCTGCTTTTTTGTGGGGGGAGAGAGAAAGGAAGTCACAATTCTCTAGCTGTAAATTGCCCATTTTGGGGAAAGCTGGAGATGGATCCAGGACCCCAAGTACTGGAAGACTGGAGGGACCTCCAGGCAGGGGTCTGCTTTAGGAACACAGACAAGGGTACTTGTTGTCATTGCACAAAATGTACATCGAGCACTTAGCACGCGTTGGGTACAGTAACAAGCACCAGGTAAAGAACTCACGATCCTCTGCTGTGAGTAGTAGCAGAAAGTAGGGGAGCCACCCATCTGAATATGTGATCGTGCCATTCCCCTGGAGGGGACTCTGCGGACCACAGTGGTCTTCTGAAGCAGCAACACCAGGAAGAAGAGACTCTGGCTTGGAGAGGTCCAAATGCCCGGGATCCCTCTACAGCAGGTGTCGTCCTGCAGCTGGGGTTTGAACCTAGGCTGTCTTGCTCTGGAGCTTGCGTTCTTAACCTCTACTGCCTCCAGGAGGAGGTGGAGGTGTTCCCTAGGCAGGGAAAAGGAGGAAGAACCCTCAGGCGGAGGAAGGGACACCTGAAAAGGCCCCAGGAAGGAAAGGGCGTGACCCATGTAAGGAACAGAAAAGTCAGTGTGGTGGAGGACAGGAGACAGGCCACAGGGGAGGCTGGAGAGGGCCCGAGCGTGAGGGCCTTGGTGCCCAGTCAGGATGTGGTCTCTAACAAGAGCAGAGGGAGGGGCCGGGTGCGGTGGCTCATGCCTGTAATCCCAGCACTTTGGGAGGCCGAGGCGGGCGGATCACGAGGTCAGGAGATGGAGACCATCCTGGCTAACACAGTGAAACCCCGTCTCTACTAAAAATACAAAAAATTAGCCGGGCATGGTGGCGGGCGCCTGTAGTCCCAGTTACTTGGGAGGCTGAGGCAGGAGAATGGTGTGAACCCAGGAGGCAGAGCTTGCAGTGAGCAGAGCTTGCAGTGAGCAGAGATCGCACCACTGCACTCCAGCCGGGGTGACAGAGCGACACTCCATCTCAAAAGGAGCAGAGGGAAACTGCTGGACAGTTTTCAAAGCTCTCCAGGGGATTCGGATATGGATTCAGGGTTGAGAACCTCTGGGACTAAGGTGGCAGCAGTTGAAGCAGGAACAAGTGGACAGAGTTGAGTTGAGGAGTATCTTAGACTTCAATTTATAGGATTTGGTACAACTGATTGCATGATGGAAAGGGAAAGGGGAGGTATTGAGAGAGGAAAGGGGGAATAGTGAGTGAGTGATGGACATTCGTGGAGAACCCCAGAGATGGGCTCCAGGGGCCTCTGGCTTTTAGGAAACTGCTATGCTAACGCTCCCATTAAGCGCCCCAGTTTCTATCTGAATATGTGAGCTCAAGTGTGCCCTGAAGATTTTCCAGGCTTTGAAGTCCAGATCACTTTTGTCCTAAGTAGTATGTTTACAACAAAACATTGGAAGTGTCACAATCCAGATATAAATAAAATGCTGGAGTTTCTGAATATCTAATTCTGCTGGAGAATGTCAGGGCATGCACTACAGAGGAAAGGGCATTTGATTAGGTTATTTTTTCTTTTATGTATTTTTTTTCTTGAGACAGGGTCTTTACTCTGTCTCCTAGGCTGGAGTACAGTAATGTAATCTCGGCTCACTGCAGCCTCAAACTCCCTGGGCTCAGGTGATCCTCCCACCTCAACCTCTTGAGTAGCTGGGACTAGGTGCATGCCATCACATCTGACATATATATATATATATATATATATATATATTTTTTTTTTTTTTTAATAGAGACAGGCTTTTGTCATATTGCCCAGGCTGATCTCAAACTCCTGGGCTCAAATGATCCGCCTGCCTCGGCCTTCCAGAGTGCTGGGATTACAGGCGTGAGCCACCGCGCCCGGCCTGAGTAGGTTCTTTTTTTTTTTTTTTTTTTTTTTTTGAGACAGAGTCTCGCTCTGTCACCCAGGCTGGAGTGCAGTGGCACAATCTCCGCTCACTGCAAGCTCCACCTCCCAGGTTCAAGCGATTCTTCTGCCTCAGCCTCCCAAGTAGCTAGGATTATAGGCGCCTGCCACCATGCCCAGCTAGTTTTTGTATTTTTAGGTAGAGATGGAGTTTCACCATGTTGGCCAAGCTGGTCTTGAACTCTTGACCTCATGATCCACCCTCCTTGGCCTCCCAAAGTGCTGGGATTACAGGCGTGAGCCACCGCGCCCAGCCCTGAGCAGGTTCTTAAACGACATGCAGAAGTTCTCGACTGAAGAAAGAAGGGTGGCCAGGCTGGGTGGCTCACATCTGTATTCCCAACAGTTTGGGAGGCTGAGGCAGAAGGACTGCTAGAGGCCAGGAGTTTGAGACCAGCCTGGGCAACATAGCAAGAACTGGTCTCTCCAAAAAATTTTAAAAATTGCCAGGTATGGTGGCATGTGCTTGTAGTCCTAGCTATTTAATACTTAAGGAGTTTTGTTTGAGCCCAGGAGCTTGAGGTTGCAGTGAGCCATGATCATGCCACAGCACTCCAGCACGGCCAACAGAGCAAGACCCCATCTCTTTAAAAACGAAAGAAGAAAAAAAATTGTCCTGAGCATGTGCGGGTGCCAGGTGGGAAGTTCAAAGTGGCAGTGATAGGCGTGTAGGGAGAATGATGGGAATGAGCCTGGCCAGAGGGCTGGGACCAGCCGAGAAGAGCTGTGGAAGCCAAGTAGAGGATTCCATCCTTTCCCTGGCACCACCCTTTAACTTGTAAATTTCCCTCCCCCCAAGACCTGGTCTTTTGTCTTTTGTTGGGGGCCTCTGAACATAAGAGAATCCTTAGAGCCAACAGGCCTTTGGAAGTTAGTGTAATCCATCCTCTTGTCCTTAGGGAGTACTAGGCCTAAGTTGTCCTGGACATGTAGGAAACTTTCCTGTGTTTTAAGCATTTTAAAGAAGGAGATCGTACGGGCTCACTGGGTAACCCTTGGTTGATCCAGGAGCCCTGACCCTAATTCTTTTCTTCTGTAGTTCTGACTCATTTTTGTAGAGTCAGAGGAATGGAGACAGTCATGATTTGCTGTAATGAGAGATCCCCAAATTCTTACAAAACTGCGAATGAAAAACATTATTGGACTCCTGCCATGTGAAAGGGTCTCTGCAGGTTGGGATATAAGAAATTGGAAGACACATTCTTTGACTGCATATATAGACATAAGGAAATAAGAAAGAAAGCCAGTAACACAAGGCAATATATACTAAGTGTCAAATAAAGTCTTCCTTGATTTTTTTCTGCCTGTTCCCATTGTTCCTGGTCCATACCTCACCTCCCAGAGAGCAATTATCATATGACATTGCAATTGTTTGTTTTCATGTTTGTCTCCTCAGAAGACTGAGCTCCTTAAAGTAGCACTGTGTCCTTTTCCTCTTTGCATGAATCCCTGAGCCCTACCTCAGTATCTAGCTTATAATATGATACGGTTTGGCTGTGTCCCCACCCAAATCTCATCTTGAATTCCCACATGTTGTGGGAGGGACCTAGTGGGAGGTAATTGAATCATGGGGGCAGGTCTTTCCCATGCTGTTCTCATGATAGTGAATGAGTCTCACGAGATCTGATGGTTTTGTAAGGGGGATTTTCCCTGTACAACCTTGCTCTCTCTTTACCTGCCGCCATCCACATAAGATGTGACTTGCTCCCCCTCACCTTCTGCTATGATTGTGAGGCCTCCCCAGTCATGTGGAACTGTAAGTTCATTAAACCTCTTTCTTGGGCCAGGTGCAGTGGCTCACACCTGTAGTCTCAGCACTATGGGAGACCGAGTTGGGTGGATCACCTGAGGTCAGGAGTTTGAGACCAGCCTGGCCAACATGGTGAAACCCCGTCTCTACTAAAATTACAAAAAAATTATCTGGGCTTGGTAGCACGTGCCTGCAGTCCTAGCTGCTTGGGAGGCTAAGGCAGTAGAATTGCTTGAACCGGGGAGGTGGAGGTTAGAGTGAGCTGAGATCGTACCACTGCACTTCAGCCTGGGCGACAGAGCGAGACCCCTTCTCAAAACCAAACAAATAAACAAACAAAAAACTTCTTTCTTTTGTAAATTGTCCAGTCTTGGGTATGTCTTTATTAGCAGCATGAAAACAGACTAATACATAATAGATGCTCAATAAATGTTTGATGGATTAATAAATGAATGGTAAAGACAGTTTTCTCATAGAAATTCGAGACTATAGGGACCACTGTGAGCCAGAATGCTCAGAAAATGTTTGACAAAAGCAGTGAAGCATTCTACTATATGCCCAACTTTTAGTGTTGGGAAATGAGAGCCAAAATAATGTAGTTAGAAAGTGGTAAGTTGGGCAGGAGAAAGGCCTCTCACAACCAAACTGTAGCTAATGTTTTCCAGGTGGCAGCTCATGGCCTCTGTTCTCTAGCTTGACACACAATGGATTCTGGGACAAGTGGCCAATGCATTGTTCCAATTTGTGACCAGGTGTGGAGCCACAGGGACCTGGGGTCCATCCTGGGCATTCCCTTGGGTGTGGGAGCACCAGATGTTGCTCTGGTTTTTCTGGAGGCTCCCAGAATCCCACTGTCTCCACTAGAGACTGTGCCCCCTTCTGAGTTGGTCCCTTTCCCTCTTGCTCAAATTAAAACAGCTAATTTTAGACACTTCCTGATTACTCCTAGCTGGGTCTCATTAGCAGATTTAAAACGTTTGGAACCTCAGATGGAGAAGGAACAACGTTCATTGGTTCTGGTCTGTTTTCCATCTCTACATTGCTGTTGATGTTGGCTGCCTTGGAGAAAAGCAAAATGAACTCCCTCCTAAGAGTGTGGACCACAGGCTATTGGCTGAGTGCCTGAACCAGTGGGTGAGGGGTGAGGGAACACATGTCCAAAGGAATATGACCACCTCTGGTGGCAGGCACATGTTTTGCTCATAACACATCTCAGAAGTGCATAAACAGTCATTTTTCATTTGTACATTTATTCAACATTTAAGGATCACTTAGCATATTCCAGGTTCTGAACTGTCCCAAATCCCACTTAGCATACCCAGGTTATAAGAATACAAAAACATTTAATGAATGGTTCCTGCTGGCCAAGAACTCACAGACGGGGTGCAATAGACAAGCATATATGATTGCCAACCCACGGGATTCATGTGGAGGTGTGCAAAGGGCACTGTGGTAGAACAACACTGACAACAGAACATCTTTATTGAATATTTATGTCCCAGGTCTAAGGATTTTACACGTGTTAATTCTCACAATAACCCTATGAGCATAGAGAAGGACCACCTAATTTAGTAGGGAAGTGGGAAGCAAAAAACAGGTACATCTGGGACGGCAGGGCATTTAGGCAGATGGAATGGTGTGTAAAAGGTGTGGAGGCATCTCGTACAAACAGAATTTGGGGATCTACCTGCCTCTTCCTCCAAGTATTTTTCTCTGTCATGGAGGAAAAGCTTCCTGTAAATATCTTGCAGTTGCTAATGCCTGTTGACTGTGAGATGGATTTCAAACGCCTCCAGGGCATTCTTATTCCTTTAAAGACAGTCTCCAGCAAGAGCGTTGCTTTCCCTGATAGGACTGGGGTCATATGAATCCCCCACCCTCACTTTCACCATTTCCCTCTTTCTCGCTCTTTCTCTGCTCCTGTAAATGATCTCAGTAGTGTTTTTACTTTTAGTCCAAGCCTCCTAGGATTTTTCTTTTCTACACTAACCAGCTCATTTCCCAGTGGAATGGATCATTAGAGTCTCTCTCATCTCATCTCTTTGATCCCAGTCATCCTGGGACTGTCCCTAAGCAGGATCCATAACCAAAAGTCTTATCCAGCAAATTCAAGATAAATTATTATCATCATCACCACCATTATCATCATTATCAGCAGCAGCAGCAGTGTCTGCACATGGCCTGTGCTGGACACCACACAGAGTTCAGTGTTCCCTTCTGTCTGACAATCTGATGCCAACCTCAGGATTTACACGGGGTCTAAACCAAAGACTTACATGGCATCCAAATTCTAGCATGGGACTTGCAGGAGGAGGGGAATTGCCAGCGCGATTTGGGTCACAGTGGAGATTTCTGGACAACTGAGAAAAGTGATCCTGGAAAGATACTAAGGTTACGCATAGTGACTTCCAATCTGAAGTCAGACGGCATGAGAATCATGGCACTTCCTGCCTTCACTGATACTTTTCAAGGACTTGACGCTCCTCCTTGAGTTCAAGACCAAGGAAACATGGCCTTCCCCTCTCCTGCACATCCTTTGCCCTAAATCATAGAAAGGGAAGTTCTAAGCCCTGGCCTGCAACAAAGGAGTTAGTGAGCCCCGAATCTGGCCTCAGAGAGGACAGGATGGTGCCTGGTGAGGAAGCAGCTTCCCTTCCGCCTGGTGTCTTGGCTCCATGGAACGATCCTCTCCAGAGCACTTGAGGCCTAGAGTCCTTCTGAATGGAAACAAGAGACTCGTAAATCCCAAAGCCAGACTCCCTTGGAAGCTCCTGGCTCGGCTCTTGCCTCCCGGGCTCCCTGCCATGAGGAGCATCTCCCAGACTGCTCTCCCTCTCCCCCAGCCGACTGCACGCGCTGACTTTTTGCTCTGGTCGGGGGCAGCCTGTGCCCTGCCTGCCCGGAGGCCTCCAGCCTGCTTGGGTTACCATGAATGAGCATGTTTGGGCTGAATGGTAACCCTCAAGTTTTTCTGAAATTTGGGGTCACTGGGTCCTGAGATGCTGACCTAACATTTTGGGGAAGGTTTGATAAACTGGGTTTCGAAGAGGCCCCAGACAGCCGTCCATCCAACCAGTGCGGGTTACGAGACGAGGAAATCCAGGCAAAGTCCAGTTGAAATCAATCTGTTACCTCCCTTCAGCGGAGGCCCCAACACCCAGGCCCATCCGTTCCCTCTGGGGCCCCATCCCAGGGTGTTGATCCCACGCCAGCTCCAGCCAGCTGCCCAGGAGTCTGTCTCCTGCTCTGATGATGGGGCTCCCGCCCCTCCTCTCACTTCTTCCTTTTCCAGTCAACCTTGTCCTTCATCTAGAGGTCATGAGCAGAGACCTCCAGGTGCAGCCCGTGCTGGGCTAAGGGAGTCAATCCCACACTGTCAGGCAGATCTGTCGAGAGAGCTTTAGGGTTTTTAATTAGGAGGGCCAGCTGGGCTCCTTCTTTAGTCCCCTACTCCACCCCCCAGCCTGGCTTGTAACTTGACTTGTTAAGATGGAACCAAGGGAAGGAGGGAAAGGAAGAGAAGGGAGCATGAATTACTAACCTCACTTCCTCCCTGTGTTTTAAAAGTCACCTTGTATCCAGTCTCCTTACTTTTTTTTTTTTTTTTTTTTTTTGCGGGGTCGAAGAGGCGTGACAGGGTCTCATTCTGTCACCCAGGCTGGAGTGCAGTGGCATGGATCATAGCTCATTGCAGCCTCAAACTCCTGGGCTCAAGTGATCCTCCCAAGCAGCTGGGACTACAGGGCATATCTGGCTATTTTGTTCGTTTGTTTGTTTGTAGAGGCCAGGTCTCCCTGTGTTGCCTAGGCTGGTCTCAAACTCCTGGCTCTGAGTGATCCTCCCACCTTGGCCTCCCGAAGTGCTGGGATTACAGGTGTGAGCCACTGTAGCCGACCATTTCTTAATTTATTGAATCCTGGTGTCTTAGGTGTTTAAGCGTCCTCAGGGCTTGCAGGAGAAAGTTTCTGATTAAGGAAATGGATCCGTGGAAGTTGCTGAGGATGGAGTTTCTTTCCCTTGTGTTACAGCTGACCAGTCATGGGGCTAGAGCTGGAACTCAGACATCCCCTCTCCAGGCTTGACTGACAGTAACCAGGTAAAAATAATCTACGGGGCACCAGAAGCCTTGGGGTCTGGTCATGCTCAGGCGCTAACTTGCAGGGTGACCTTGGGCCAGATTTTCCTCCTCTCCAGGTCTCAGTTTTTTCATAGGAGTAGAAAAATTTTTCTGCTTTTGAGGCCATTCCATTTAAGCAACTGCAGGAAAAGGAGTGATTATAGTAGTAGCAATTCAGATCAAAGGTGGAGAGGTCTTAAAAGGATTTGGTGCTGGGCTGGACTATAGTGTTTTGATTTAAATGTGGTAAATGCTAGGAGAGGCTGTTGGCCCTGGAAGGGCTCAGGGCTGATGGAACAAGAGCTGCTGATGAAGAAGATGGCTGTGACGGGGACAAGCACATCGCTGCAGGCCCTTGGTCTATTTTATTTATTTATTTATTTTATTTTTGAGACGGAGTCTTGCTCTGGCACCCAGACTAGAGTGCAGTGGTGCGATCTTGGCTCACTGCAACCTCCATCCCCCAGGATCAAGCAATTCTCCTGCCTCGGCCTCCTGAGTAGCCACACCTGGCTACATTTTGAATTTTCTGTAGAGACAGAGTTCCGCCATGTTGCCCAGACTGGTCTCAAACTCCTGACCTCAGGTGATCTGCCCACCTCGGCCTCCCACAGCATTGGGATTACAGGTGTGAGCCACCGCACCTGGGGCCCTGTGGTCTGTTCTTGAAGATTCATTTCCTCTCTCAGGGCAGTTCAGAGGAAGCTAGAGTTTGAGGGCACAGAGCTCTAGGAAAGGGTTTCCTGATTACCGGGCAAATCTGAGACCCCTCCCTCTGGGGCCTCCCATTCTCTGCCTGGTCTCCCGGTCTGCCTGTTGCTCTCTGTCGCCGGGTACGTCTGCCCCTCTTGGGTCTCACTGTCTCGGGGTCTCACTCTGTCTATGGGAACCTTTGCCTTTGGGACCCAATTACTGGACCCTCTAGGAAAGTTTAATTGAATATTTGTATTGAAAACAGGAGCCAGGGCCCCGAGCCTGATGGGAGGAGACAGGGGGAGAAGAGGGGAGCTGTGTTTGCTTTTCACTCCGGATTAGAGACCTTTATTTGTGCTGAGAGCAGAGATTGGGCCTGGGGATAATGAGTCTGAAGTTTGTTTTCTCCCTCAGGCTGCCCCTCCCTCTGCCTACTCTCTCTGCAGGGAAGGGGTTAGGGCAGAGGGGCCGGGAACTTGTCCGAGCTGCGGTCCGCTGGGCATTCTGTGCCCTGGGGCCCCAGCCTGGGTCTCAGGAGCTGCAGCTGGCCGCAGCTATGCCTGACATAGGCACGGGCTGTGCCGGTTTGCATACGTGCACTTCAAGCCGCGGGTGCTGGGTCATGAGTGCCTCCTGGGAAGACCCTCGGCCAATGCGTGTGCATCTGGGTGTGTGAGAAACGTGCTGTTGTTGAGGACAGTGACTGCTGAGTACATCTGCTGCCAGGAGGCTAAGGCGGTCACATGGGAGTGTGATTCATTGAGGCCTGAAAAGTGCCATCAATCTCACTCTTTCTGGAAGGCATAAGATGCCATTCCTGTGAGCTGCTCCGCGCTCCCCCGCACTCCTCGTGGCAGGGACCTGAAGTTTCTTGGCCGTGCCGCCCCTGGAAAAGTCTGCCAGTGAGCGGGGAATTAGCCAGGCTCCTGCTTCCTCCGAGTGAACACTGTAGCAATCCTGGGGTCCCATGTCTTGCCCATCGCCCTGAGGCCCTGTGCTCGTGATTGCTTTTGATCTGAGCAGAATCTGCCTGTGTGAGGCTGGGCCACTTGTCCTGGGTCACACAGAGCTGGGGATTTGTGGGGAGGGCACCCCGATCGTCCCAAGGGCCTGATGGCTCTCCGGCGGTGGTCGCGTTCCTGCCAGGTGTGAAGACCTGCTCAAGTCCACACAGCCCACTCCAGGCCGAATAGGGAATTCAACCCAGGTTTGTTTGCCTCCAAAATCCATACCTTCTCCTTAGGGGCTGGACAGCAGAATCAAGGGGGTGGGCAGCCGGGGCTGAAGGACCCCAGTGGAGAGAGGAGATTTGATTCCTCTGGCTGTTTTTCTAAAGGAAGATTGAGAAGAGGGCCAGGAGATTCCTGGAGGTGATCACAGCCGCTGCACCTGGCAGGTCACTCACAGTGTGCAGATGGAGGCAGCAAGGCCAGTGTCTGCCTCAAGCCTTCCTTTCCCTTCTCCCCAGCCGCCCTCTCATGCTCCTTGCCCCGCCTTGCTGAGATCTAACAGCTGCTGTTATTGAGTGTCTGCTGTGTGCCTGGCCCATTCCAAGTGCTTCACATAGGTTACACATTTCACTCTTGCTACAACCACAGGAAGGAGTTTCTTTATCCTGATTGTAAGAGGGGAAAATACCATCTCACACCAGTTAGAATGGCGATCATTAAAAAGTCAGGAAACAACAGGTGCTGGAGAGGATGTGGAGAAATAGGAACACTTTTACACTGTTGGTGGGAGTGTAAACTAGTTCAACCATTATGGAAGGCAGTGTGGCGATTCCTCAAGGATCTAGAACTAGAAATACCATTTGACCCAGCAATCCCATTACTGGGTATATACCCAAGGGATTATAAATCATGCTGCTATAAAGACACATGCACACGTATGTTTATTACGGCACTATTCACAACAGCAAAGACTTGGAACCAACCCAAATGTCCATCAGTGATAGACTGGATTAAGAAAATGTGGCACATATACACCATGGAATACTATGCAGCCATAAAAAAAGATGAGTTCATGTCCTTTGTAGGGACATGGATGAAGCTGGAAACCATCATTCTCAGCAAACTATCGCAAGGACAAAAAACCAAACACCGCATGTTCTCACTCATAGGTGGGAATTGAACAATGAGAACACCTGGACACCGGATGGGGAACACCACACACCAGGGCCTGTCATGGGGTGGGGGGAGGGGGAGGGATAGCATTAGGAGATATACCTAATGTAAATGACGAGTTAATGGGTGCAGCACACCAACATGGCACATGTATACACATGTAACAAACCTGCACATTGTGCACATGTACCCTAGAACTTCAAGTATTAAAAAAAAAAGGGCAGGGGGAAACGGAAGCACAGAGAGGTGGAGTGACTTGTTTGCTCTGTTAGGTGCCAGCATCTGCTTCCAGCTCGCCCTGCTTTTGTTCAGCGTGCAGCCCTGAAGCGGATGCTGCCAACCCTGCTGGGTCCCCACCCCACGCCGCTCCAAAGGGGCCTAACTGTGGTCGGCGGGGCGGCATGGGTAGGGTCACCATTCTCTGATGCTATAGGTCAGAAGAGGCAAGCTTAGCCCCACTTTGGACGGAGCCTTCTTCCTCCTCCTCGCCTGGTTGCTGCAGGGTGACTGGGTGTGGGGACTGCAGGGCTGTGAGAGCCCTTACCACATCAGAGCTGGGTTCGCCTCCTGTCCTCAGATGCCCCCTCTGTCCACACACCCCTCTCTCACATGGGCCACTGTTCTCCATGCCCTTTCCTTGGGGCAGTGATCTGTCCTTTGTCAGCCAGGCCGCCTTGGGCCTTGGGAGAGGCTACCGGGAAGCAAAGCCTTGGTTGGCTGCAGTGAAGTGTGGAAGGGGAGGGGACATGCACAGTTCCCGTGTGCCACCCTTGCCTGGAGGTGATGGCACACCAAGGCACTATAGGACATCACGGGCGGTCCTTTCACCTGGCAAATGATCCAACTCATTCTGAAACGACTGCCTCCGTTCTGAAACTCTTTTCCTTCTCTGTATTTATACGCGGGTGAGATGAGGGATGCTGGAGTAAGTACACACCGAAGTCCAAGGGGACAGGGAATCTGGGGAACTGGGGGAGGAGAAACTGAATCACAGACCCCAGAGCTCAGGACCCACCTGTGATGCGTCCCATCCACAGGCCCTGCCGTCCCTGCTCTCCCAGGCTGGCCAAGCCGAGCTTCAACTCACTGCTGAGGCCAAGCAAAGCTGAGAGGATGCTGCGCTGGCTCCCTTGCAGTAAACGGTAGTAGGAAAATGCAGCTGTTTGTGTATAAACTAAAGCTTGTTACAGTCCTGGAAGCTTCCGACTTGGGGGCCCACAGGCTTGGAGTGGAGAACATTGTGGGGAGAAAAATCATGTGTGAGCTGTTACTGCTGGGCCCTGAGGCTCTGCGGCCCTGCCTGGCCCTCCGTCCTGCTGCCCCGACCTGCCCTGCTGCCCTCCCCTCACTCCACCAGACTCCAAACACAGCCCAGCTGCAGGAACATCAGCCTCTCATTATGTTCCCTCCACCCCTGCACAAACACAGCAGGTGGGGCGTGGGGCGCAGTGGGCGGGGGCAAGAGGCCAGCATGGGATTTGGCCTTTCTCAGGGTGCTGAGAAAGTGTGCCGAGGCAGGGGCCGCCGAGGACACAGTGGAGAGGTGCCCTCTGGGCGGCTTACCATGTGCCGCAGCCCAGCTGGGATCAGACCCCTGCCATCAACAGGCCTGAAAGAGACCCCTGCCCCGTGCAGGGCCTGCAGAGAAAGGTTGAGGATAAGGGCCACTGAGGAAAGCTGCAGCGGTACGGGGGCTCATTCCATTTTGACATTAACTTGGTATGCAAATAACATGCAAATTGGCCCTTTATTGTGTCTTAGTCAATAGCCAGGCATTTTTTATCTTTGGCCTGCAGCTTTGGTCTCAGCAGATCTCAGCAGGTCACCAGGTAGGAGGGAGAGGCTGTCAGCTTTAGAAGGAGGAGGCTGGGAGGGGAGGAATCATTACTTTCCTCTGCCCAGTAGCTGTTACGCCGAGGGGGGTGCTGAGGGGGCAGTGGTGGCAGATAGGCCCTGGGGGTCCCTCTCGGCGGCCTGCTGACTTACAGGCTGGATGTGGTGGGGGCAGGCGAGGGCGGGAGGCTGTGCTGAGCCTGATGGATGGGCCCTGGCGGCAGCTTTGGCCGCCCCGCTGGGGCCAGGGGCCCAGGCTCAGCACGGGAAGGTCAGGCTGAGGGTGCAGGGAGCTCCCGGTCGCTTAGAAAGGCTGCTCATGGGAGGTGGGTATCAATTTCCCAGCTGAAAAGCTGTGGGGAGGGAGGAAGAACAGACCCCATGTGGAAGAGAAGTTACACTCTGGGGGACATGGCCAGAGAGGTCCATCTTGAGTTGTGTTTCTATCTTGTTAAAGGTGAAAATTCCTGGGTTTTGTATGGGTATGGGTGCATGTGTTGAACTTAGTATGCAGGCAAAGAAGATACTGCCTTTCTTATCACCGTCTTCTGCCCTACCCCACTCCCTGCACTCACACACACACTCACCCACTAAGCAAGACACCATACACAGTCATACAAGACACCATACACACACAGTCATATAAGACACCATACACACACACAGTCATACAAGACACCATACACACACAGTCATACAAGACACCATACACACATGCAGTCATACAAGACACTGTATGCACACACGCTCACACGCAGTCATGTACTCACGCAAGACACTATACACAGACGGTCTCTCGCACACTCATGCAAGATACCATACAAAAACACTTATACAAGACACCATACACAGGTGCGCGCGCGCGCACACACACACACACACACACACACACACACACACTCATGCAAGATGCCATACACAGACGGTCTCAAACCCACACACTCTTGCGGGTTGCTGTCCACACACAGACTCACACAAACACTCACTTGTGCAAGACACCATACACACAGGCTCTCACACACATATTCCTTTCTTTTATTAAAAAAATAGAAACCTAATTTTCATGGAAACCTGCCACTTAAGTGACTCAAGTGTCTGAATTTCCATTCTGTAAATAATGTAAATGCACATGTCTCCCCCCAGTCTGTCTCTCCTGTGCCCCACAATGCAGTGCTTGAATTTCCTCCCACTCAGACTCCCAGAAAATCCACTCTATCCTATGCAAGCTCCACACCCCTCCCTCCTTATACATCCAAGGATGTCGGGATGGTGTGGGGGGCAGTCCTGCTCATTCAAAACTGGGACTCAGCTGCCTGTCCCCAGAGGCAGAGACCGCCACAACCGTCACCAAAGGCTGTTTACTTACCTCAGGGACATTCTAGCCCTGAGCAAAATCTGCATGTGTCTGAACTGGAGGTGGGTTGGCAAGTGCGTGGAGGTGGTTTGGAACTTCTGTGGGAGCCCAGGAAATAGCTGCCACTGTCTTCTCCATTCCCCTTCCCTGCCTGGTGGTCGGGTGTGCATCATTTGCTAGAAGCCCACCCAGTGGCCTGGAAGCCTGGGGACTTGGCCTGCTTGCTGGGGAGAATCTTGCTCCACTAAGGTGAGTGCTTTCCAGGACTTTGGTTGTTGGAGGGGTGGGGGGCACAGGTTGAGACCACACTGCTGGAGCAGGGGCCAGCCAACAACTTGTCAAACTGGCTGCCTCCTTACTTCATCAATTCCCCTGTCATTTCCCTGGGATACCTTGAGTTTGACCTCAGTGCAGGGAGCAAAGTTCTTTCTTTGTCTCCTAATAAACAGCCTCAGTGACTGCTGGCCTCCAGCTGTTCTGTGGCCTCTGTGGCTCCACCCGCCTCACCCGAGAGGCCCTTTCTCCCTGTGAAGTCTCATTAACTGGAGGCTTGGGGCCAAAGGAGGGCTCTGGCCGGCCACCTCTCTCCTTATTAGTGCAATCATCTCTGTCTGGCATGATGGCCAAGCTCTTCCTAGAACCCTCTCTGCTCAGAGGCTCCTCCTAGGCTGCTGGAAAACCCTGCCCTGGGTCCTCGGAGTGACCAGGGCATTTCTACCCTGAAGCCATTAGTGCCAAGTGGCGCTGTGTATGGGGGTTTACATAGATCTTTTCAGGGCCCATAGGAAGGCAGCTATGATGGATCAGGTCCAGGAAGGTGGGTCTCTCAGTGCAGCCTCCCTGAAAACCAGCTCTGGTCTTCTGGTGGCGTTTGCCCATGGGAGGCCTGTTGACTCAGGCTGCCCAGAAGACATTTCTCTGTGTGCAGCGGTTCTGTTTCCTGGCATAGCTCTCTCCCCTGCTCCAAATGCAGTGCAAACCCTGAGCTGGGGGAGAACAATCTCATGCAGAAACTTGGGATGTTCTCTGCAGGTGGATTTCTCCCTGGACATCTGAGTGGGAGACTGGATTTTAGGCTCTGCTCTGTGCAGGTTCTCTCGCTTTTGCTCTGCCAAATCCAAAGTGCTTTCCACTTCCTTTTTCTAGAAACAGTTGTGTAGTGGTTAAGACTCAAAGATGTGCAGTCTGGGCTGGGCACGCTGGCTCACTCTGTAATCCCTGCACTTTGGGAGGCTGAGGTAGGCAGATTACTTAAGGCCAGGGGTTCAAGATCAGCCTGACTGACATGGTGAAACCCTGTCTCTACCAAAAATATAAAAATTAGCCAGGTGTGGTGGTGCACGCCTGTAATCCCAGCTACCTGGGAGGCTAAGGTGGGAGGATCACTTGAACCCAGGAGGCAGAGGTTGCAGTGAGTCAAGATCATGCTGCTAGGCAACAGAGTGAGACTCCGTTTAGGAAAAAAAAAAAAAAGATGAAAGATGTGCAATGTGACAGGCCTGGGTTCAAATCCTTATGCTGCCACCTATTAGATTGGTGAGAGAGGAAAGTTTCTGAACCTCTCTGAGCCTCAGTTTCCATATCTGGGAAATGGGGATAATGACAGTAGCGCTGGCCATAGGTTACTGAGAGCATTGCAAGAGAGGATGCGTATAACGCAAACAAGATGAGCTAGATTACTGAGGACGAACGTTGCGCAATTGTGTGTAGAGTCTTAAGGAGGATTTTGCTCTTCCACATGGGCCAGGAATTACGTACTGTTCCTTCTTGTCTCCCCGCAGGGAAGGTCTAAAATAGCCCAGAAAATGTATTTCAGTGGATGAAGGTATTTCTCTTTTTAAAAAGGACATGCAAGTAGAAAGTCTCAGAAAAAAATACTCAAGGCCCTGGTAATATTGAGAATATTTGGGAACAGGAAGAGGGGCTAAGTGGCCCATGGCAGAGATGGGAGGAATACTTTTCTTTATGTCCTTTTTTTTTTTTTTTTTGAGACGGAGTCTCCCTCTGCCACCCAGGCTGGAATGCAGTGGCATGACCTTGGCTCACTGCAACCTCCTTCTCCTGGCTTCCAGTGATCCTTCCACCTAAGCCTCCTGAGTAGTTGGGATTACAGGCACCTACTACCATGCCCCGCTAATTTTTGTATTTTTAGTACAGGTGGGGTTTCACCATGTTGGTGAGGCTGGTCTTAAACTCCTGAGTTCAGGTGACCTGCCTGCCTCAGCCTCCCAAAGTACTGGGATTACAGGTGTGAGCCACCATGCCTGGTTTCCTTATATGTCCTTTTGACTCTTGTTTTATGTCTGCATCATATGAAACCAATTATAAAAATTAATAAAATTAAAATTTTAATGTTGGAAACATAACAAAGTAGATGTACTGGGGGATAAAGTTTTTCAGGTGTTCTTAATACTTGAAACCAGGTATTTGGCTAATAAAGTCAGGCAAAGGGCTAAATCGTGAGGGATTCCTCGGAGGAGAAAGACATGGAGATCGGGGGACATAGGGGCCAAGGCCACTAGGACGTCCTGTGTCTCTGTTTGGGGGAATTTCCTCAGCCGGGTACTTTTTGCCCAAGTGCCTTGTCTCAGCGACTATTCCATGAGCTGGACACGAGCCCGCAGCCTCCGTGTGCTGTGAGCGTGGCTGTGGGCGGGGAGGCGGGAAGACGCAGCCGCAGCGCCCGGGCCCTCTCCGTGGGGCCTGCCTTTCCCCTGCGGGCCTCGCTCACTTGTTAGAAATCTCTCTTTTCTTCAAGGCTCACCTCAGATATCACCCCTCTGTGAAGTGCCCCCTGTTCCTACCAGATCAGACTTTACCCCTCCTATCCTCTTCCGTGTGTTCTGCTCATTCCTCTTTCCCAATTCTTTCCCCTGTGGTGTTTTACATTCTCTTTATTTGTTCGGATGCCATTTCCCCTGTTAGCTCTGAAGCCCGTGGAGGACACAGGCTGTGGCTCATTCACATCTGCAAGTTTCACCGTTCCCAGCCCAGGGCCCGAGACGTAAGTTCTCCATCCACGCTTGGGAGTGCATGAGTGGGCGAGTAAGCAGCCCTGAAATGTCCTGAATCTTTGAACCTCAGTTTTCCATCTGTAAAATGGGGATGGCAATCATGGAACCCACCGTGAGAGATCAGCTGGGTTGTGCTAGGGAGTTCTCTTACTACACCGCTGGCCCTGATGGATGTCCCTAAATTTACGCAGTCCTTGCTCTCATCTTGAGATCACAGGTGTCCTTGAACTTCCTGTCCTCTCTGCTGCACACAGAGCTTGCCTTCCTCCCATTCTCCACCTGGCTTCTTGATGCCACATGTCATAAGCTTAGCCAGCAGTAGGCTGGGCCTAACGTTAGGGCCATCACTCCCAGACACAGAATGGTCAACCCCGAGGAATCAGCCCTCGGTGCCTCTGCCCGATCACCGCCCTCTCCACAGAGCTGCAGAGCCCAAACTCGCCTTCCCAGCCGGGCCAGAAGGAAAAGGCTTTCTGTGCCTGCCCTGGCCTGCCAAGCCTCACAGAGGTTATGCCACTTGAAATGCTGACCTTCTGTCTTCCCTTCTACCCCCTTTTATTTTCTACTTTATGCTTTTCCTCCTTTCTCACTTACTCTTGCTTCCTCTTCTCCAAATTGTTAGTTCAAAACAATAGATAAGTGCGGAGCCGCCAGCAAGGCTGCATGTATGAGAGGCGCTGGGGAGCAAGGAAGGAACAGCCATTGGTTTCGCTGATTACCCGTTGCTGGCCCACCTTCTCGTTCTGCTTCCAGCAGGAGCTCATGGGTCCTGCTGAGTGAGAAGGAGCTTCTTTTTATCGTATCAGTCATTGCTTCCTGGTCCTTCTAGCTCATACATGCCTGAGATCAGACCAAAGGAAGTCCAGCTCTTGGTCCAGGTCTCTCCTTATGAGCTGCACTACCTCCTAGGAAAGAAATGAACTCAAGGGAGAGCAGGGAAGGGCCCACTGGAGTAAGGGTCTCACTGCAGTTCTTCAGTTAGCAGAACATTTCTGTGTAATGCATAGAAGGGACTTTATGTTTACAGATGTACTCACCCGACTCGGATGAGATCATGAGTCCTTTCCTCAGCAAGAGGACACCTTTTCCCATAATACAGTGCTACAAGCTGCGTCCCCCATAGTACGGCAGGAAGCGAGGCATCTTGGGGTTGGAGGTGTGCAGTACAATGTCATCAGAGGTGGGACAGGGCCCATCACAGGGCTTTCTTCCCTAGTCACGGAGCAAACACAGTCCCCATGGGATGGTAGAGATACAGGGAAGAGGCTGCAGCCATTGACAAGTGGGTGCGCTTTGCACCCACTGCCACGCCCTGCAATCTCCTCTTCCCCTGCCTCAGCTGTATCTTCCACAGTCCTCAGCCCTAGTGGAAGTGTCTTCAGATTTATATGGTGCTATTTACTGGCGCTCTGCCAATTAGTGACACTTTGAAATTCCCTTATATGACGCACTGCTGCTCTGACAATAAACAAGTCATTAGCTGGGTCGGAGGGCAGCTTCCAGCTGGTTTTGATTCATTGTTTCTGAACCGGCTCAAGAGGCTCATTAAGATGCAGGGTCTCCAGTCCAAGGCTTGGGAAACCCTGAAGCTAGAAGCAGATGGGGCTTCTGCACAGCTAGGTACTGGGTTGCTGTTCACCTGCCCTTCCCTTCTGATGCCCCATGAGACTCATCCCCCACCACTGTAGGGGATACTAATTGCCACCACAGTGTCACCCTCCTTTCATAAGATACAGACACAGGACAAAGGCCTCAGTAGGGAGTAGATGTGAAGGGACAGCAGGGAATGGTGAAAGGAGGCTGGGTGGAAAGGAGAGACCTGGGTGCTAGAGGAAGGAGCGGCACGGGAGAGCTAGAAACTCCAGTGGGTGATCTGGGGTGGGGAAAAGGTGGCGGACATCTGGGCGAGAGCCCAGCCCATTATGTCCAGTTCATGTTCTTCACTTGCAGCTCCAAAGGCTGTGAGACCTGGAAGGGATCTTGGACAGCACCCAGGCCAACCCCTCATCTCCATTTTACAGATACTCAAGAAAGACGAAGTGACTTCCCAGTTCACTCAGCTCATACATGCCTGAGATTAGACTAAAGGAGGTCCAGTTCTTGGTCCAGATCTCTCCTTATGACCTGCATTAGGTCCTAGGAAAGAAACAAGCTCCAGGGAGAGCAGGGGAGCATCCTGCTCCAGGCACGTGCTCACTGCTGCTGTTTCTCCTCTTCCCTGTGCTTGCAACCCCTCCTTCCATCATGCCTCATGCCCTTGCTGGCTTCTGGATTCTGCACGTATAAAGGAGTCCTGTTTGGGTCTAAGGATGTCGAGTATGTGAATGGCTAAATAAGAAGGCTCATTACAGAGCACCATGCTAGGCACTGTAGGAGAAAAAAAGTGCTTGACATTCATGACCTGGAATGGAAAGCACAGTGAAAAAATTACCACTAAGTAAACATAGAACGTAAAGTCTGAGTCGTGAGCTCCACCAGCTGAAGCCATGGTGCTATTCCATGAGGGACATCAGGATGGATGTAGCTCTAGGTGCTAGGCATTATGGTTTTGATGCTGCCCTGGGGGCAGGTGACATGATCTCTAGTTTATAAGAGGAAGATAGCTAAAATTGAGACCTATGCAAAGACTGGGACCCTGTAAGAGATATAACCTCAGACAAACCAGGATCAAAAAAATACCAATCACAGGCTTAGGGTAGGGACAGTTAATCTTATCCTGACTGGGACTCTAAATAGAAAAAAGTCTTCTGTGAGAAATAGAAGCTGCAGGCCTGAACCATATGTGACTACAGTGTCTGAATTTCCACTGCTGGAATTCCCAAGCTGAGAAATTAATATAAAAATAGATCCCAGACCAGTAAAACTCATGGTGTATCAAGAGAAGGAAATACACAGCTATTCAGGAGGAATGTGCCCCAGAGCAACAGCATTTCACAGCAAAATCTGATCCCCTTTGAAGTTGCCCAAACAATAAAAAAATTACAAACCCACATCAGGAAATGATATACTATTAGAGAAAGTCAGCAAACATATCAAACTAGTTTAGCATTCCAATAAATAAAACAATGTAACAATCTGAAAGAGACTTTAAAATAACTATGTTTAAAATGATTAAAAAGGTGAAAACATAGAAACATAAAGAAAATATAGGATATTTTGGAAGAAACAGGCAAATTTGTTAAAAAACAAGAACTTTCTAGAAATAAAAAATATAGTCATTGAATTAAAAGCTCAATAGATGTGTCAGACAGCAGATTAGATGAAGCTGAGCAGAGAATTAATGAACTGAAAGATAGATCAGAGGAAATTACAAC
Organism: Homo sapiens; assembly: GCF_000001405.40. Classification (NCBI taxonomy): domain Eukaryota; kingdom Metazoa; phylum Chordata; class Mammalia; order Primates; family Hominidae; genus Homo; species Homo sapiens. The sequence continues at coordinate 126,152,345 of NC_000011.10, read as the reverse complement.
AAATGTAGCATGGAAACAGGAGAGAGAAAAAATGTGGAGGAGAAGCCAAAAAGGCATAGAGGATAAAATGAGAGGATCCAAATTACCTTTACAGGGAGTTGCACAGGAGAAGAATATAGAGAAAGGGACATGGCAACGTTCAATTTTCCAGAACTGATGAAAGGACACTGTCCTCAGATTAAAGAAACATTGGGATTTCTGGGGGAAAATACATAAGAATAAACCCACAGAGATATGGTAGAGTGAAACTGGATTCAAGGAAATACAGCCAGTGTGTGGAGGGATTAAGGAGAAAGGAGAGGTTAAATTTGTCCAGGAATATCTGTGAAAGTCCATGGAAAACTGAGACTTGAAGGTCAAAGAAAATTTTAAGAGGTTGAAAATATGGTAAGGCTGATGAGATTTAAGAAATAGGAAGAAAATATGAGGTTTCAGGCTCTCTGATTAGTTTCTAAGTAGGTTTTAATGCAATTCGTTTTGAATTAAGTTACTCTTAAGACTCTGGATACCTATTTGTAAACTAAAGGTTTCAGGGGAAGCTCTCCTGGCCTGCACATTTATTTCAAACCTAGTCTCTGTTCTTCCCAGTTGGGTCCCCTGCCCTGTCCATGACTCTTCAGTCCTGGCTAGGCACAAGTCACCCAGCTGATCCTATTCCACTCGAAAAACCACTCGTAATCAACAAATTGCCCTTTGAGGCCTCCCCTTCCTGTTGGGGGCTGAGTTGAAATTGGACTATCCAACCTTCCTCCCTCTACCTGTGGTCCTTGGGGCAAAGAAAAACCCTGCTCTGAAGTGGACAGCAGGGGCATGCCCTACTGCATCTGTGCCTGGTTAGCAGTGTCAGTGGCTTCAGAGGAACAGAAAAACCTGGGCATGGTAATTGGCTCATGAAAGCTGCATGTTGCTGGAGCGGGCAGGAGGGTCTGGAGAGGAATGGGCTTAATGGGAAGCAAATGCTGCAGAAGAGCCTGTGCACACCCTCCCCCAATTCACGGCCATTAGCATTCCTCAGACACCTGCAGGCGCTTGGCCCTAGCTGGGCATGGGATGTGCCGGCTCCTCCCTGCTGGCGCACAGAACAGAAAGATGAAGTTTGGTTCTCATTAAGGGGGCAGGGGTGGATGCGAGACAGGAGAACTCTTTCTTGTATCTTTTAAGAGCACGTGCTTTTCTTTGGTTGTTGTCAAATTCTGCTTCACCTTATGGTTGTTTACGGGTTCAGAGAAAGAGCACTAGACTTTGGGTTGAGTACCAGATCATCCTTTCCTAGCTTTGCAACCATAGAAACAGCACCAAATCTCTCTGGTCCTCAGCCTCCTCCTGGTTAGGAATAATGAAGGGATAATTCCTACGAACAGGGTTATTTTGAAGAATAAATAAGGTAGACCATTTGAAGGCACCGGGCAGAGAGGTATTATGGAATGGACACTCAGAAAATTTGAGTTTCCTTTATCCCAGATCATAAGTACCTTTGGAGAAGGAATGGTGTCTTATTCATCTTTGTAACCCCCAAGGCGTCTGTTGTGGTGCCAGACACCCAGAGTAGAAGACTGAGTCAATGGGGGTGCAGTACCCCCGATGCTGAGCTCCCCCACCCTCTCACTGGGACAGGACAAAGGTCAGCTCAGAAGCCAGATGCCAAGAAGAAAAAAAGACCGGGTCCTTGAAGAGTCATTGAAATGGGCCTGGTGGCAAAGCAGCAAAGGGGCAGGATGTCTATGAGGCCACTTGAAGAACCTACTCCACCTGGGTGCTGGGGGACGTGGTCCTGCAGGAGGCCAAGGGGACTGCACCAACAGAGGGACCAGCCCTGTCCGGGGAGGGACGGCATCTCCCTCTCCTCCCATCCCACGCTTGCAGGTGCCGGCTTCCGGAGGGTGCCGTGGTCTCTGGGGCTGGCTCCCTTCAGCCGCAAAGACCTCTCTGGCGGAGGCTTCCATCCACCTGCTCTCCAGCTGCTGCTGGTAGAGGCTTGGTTGACTTAGGCATCTTCCACGCATCTTTAATCTGTCTTCACTCAGTGCCAAACATCTGCGGAGGGGATCTACTGGCTGTTTATTTTCTGTTTGTCTTGGGTGTGACACAATCTCTATTCTTCACTTTAATGGCTCTTCTCTTTATTATTATTGTCTCAACCCCTCTATTTATTTGCTTTCCCCGAACACCAACTACTTTCCCTCTGCTCTCCTGGACTGGCCAAGGCCCATGCCAGCCCTCCCTGCTTCCTCTCCTCCCAGCTCAGGGCCCTGCTCTCCTGGCTATGAGCCTCACTCAGACCAGATGTGGTTTCCTCCTCCTCTCCTCCTCCTCCCTCTCCCTGTCCCCCTGAGTTGCCAAGGGCTGCAGGGGGTCAGGGGAGCAGAGAGGTTCTCCACCCACATCCTGTCCTGCCCCCGCCGTCTACTTCCCTGCCCAGCTCTGTGGCCCACACTAAAGAGGGAAGGGAGTGCAGTGCATGCCAGGGTACTGTTTAGTCCCTGTGATGAGGGGTGCTGGCAGGACTCCTACCCCTGACAGTATGGTCAGTAGGGGGCCTTGGTCGCCTCTCTGCAACACAGCTGCACTGGAAGGATTTGGCACAGTCCATGCACACTCTAGATCACTGATGGTGTCAAGGCCCCTCGCTTCCATATTGCCCAATGAGCAATATTTTACAACTGTGCTTTTACATCTACTGTCCCTGCAACCTTCGCCACAGCCTGGATCCTCACCTCTTCATGCCAGAGGAGTCTGAGGTTCTAGCATCGCTCAGCTGATAAGAGGCCAAGTCAAGATTTGAATTTAAATCTGGTTTGATGTGAAGAATGGCCAATTGGCTTAAACACTGGGGCCCGACTTTCTTGACCTGGCCTGGTCTGACCTGTCCCAACACCTGGGAATAAACCTCTTTTGGTGAATAGAGTCTGGGTTTGGGGGCAGCAGCCAGCCTGGGACACTTTTCTGTTTCTGGAATTATTTCTACCTCTGGCCATAATGGGTCACTGAAATTTGACCCCTGGGATTTCAGTAGAAGTGATAGTTAGAGATAATATTATGGCTCTCACTGTGCAAAGAATATAGACTCTACAAGGATACGGAATGCAAGAGAAACTGAAGGTGAACTTATCAGAGGGGAGAGTTGTGGCAAAACTTCAGACTCAATACAAAATCACCAATCAACTGTTCAACCAGGAGCAAAGCCAGGCTTGGCGGGGTCTGAGCTTTTACAATTTGGTGGTGGTGGTGGGAACTCTTTTTAAGTAAAAGAATTCACAAGTATGAACACAAATGTACCAGGATTCCTCCCAGGGCCTTGCAAGGATCCTGTGCAAAAGCCATTAGCTTCCTGGAAAATCCAGCCCTGAATAGGGCTAAAGTGACTTCAGACTGAGCACCTAGGCAGATTTTCAGCTAAAGCTGTAGTTTGGGACCAACTAGGACAGTGGTTCTCAATTCTGGTGGGCCTAAAACTCACCTGGGGACATGTTCAAATGCAGACTGTGCTTTACCCCCAGAAATTCTGCTTTAGTGGCGGGTCTGGGGAGGGGACTTGAAGTCTGCATTTTTGACGAGACCTCCAGGGGATTCTGAAACTGGACAAGTGGGAACTAAACTCTTGAGAAACATGGGGCCAGAAGTGGTGGCTCACACCTATAATCCCAGCATTTGGAAGGCTTAGGCAGGTGGATCACTTGAGACCAGGAGTCTGAGACCAGCCTGGCCAACATGGCAAAACCCTATCTCTACAAAAAATTCAAAATTAGCTGAGTGTGGTGGTGTGTGCCTGTGGTTCCAGCTACTCGAGAGACTGAGGTGGGAGGATTGCCTGAGCCTGAGTCAAGCCTGCAGTGATCCGAGATCAAGCCACTGCACTTTAGACTCTGCTCTTTGAGACTCTGTCCAAAAAAAAGAAATAAAGGGAGAGAAAGAAAGAAAAGAAAGAAAGAAAAGAAAAGAAAGAAAGAAATCCAGTCCCCACACTGTCATGAGGAATTCAGGCTGGAGAACAGGAATGTTCACCAAAGTCAGACAGCAAACAGGGGTTGAAGGTATAGCTGGGATCGGGGTCCTGTCCCCAATTTCTCGTTCTTTCCTCTTGCCAGGCTGTCTCTGATCAGACTTCACTTCCTGAAGAAGGTGAGTTATTAGCGTGGGGGGGTTTGCAAAGGGGACATGAAACTGGGCTTTCTCTAGCAGCTTCCAGAAAGAAAGAAGTCCTGGGCTGCCTGGGACTCCTGAAAGGTGAGAGACCCCATGGCCCCAGAGGCAGGGCCTAGATCCCTGGGGAGGGAAACTTAATTGCTGGCAGGTGCTGTAGGAGTGGGGCTGGAGCCCCTCCCAAAGTGCAGTGTCCATGGGACTGCAGCTCAAATGCCTTCCAAAGCTCCCAGGTCAAAGGTCACCATCAAAGCATTCAACTGGCAAGGCACTCTCATTAAGTCAAATATTGACTTGTCTCAATATGAACTTTGTTTGTTTGTTTGCTTTGGCCAGAGGTCTAGTCTAAACATGTAAATGACTCATCTGCTGATTAATGAACCTCTTCCCAGGAGTCTCTTCCTAAGACCCCTTAGCGAGCAAGAAGGCCAGAGGCAGGTAGGGAGGACTGGAAGTTGTCTCATCACTGCTCTGAGGAACAGGGGGGACAGTGGAGAACAGTGGGAATGGGGAAGATAGAGAGGCCTGGACTGATGAGAGCCACGGTCCCTCTGGTGTCTGGGGAGCCCCTCTGCAGGGGGACGCTGCCGCCAATGTCCGCTCTCAGGCTTGGGCACTAGAGGTGCTCCGAGCCGGCTTCACGCTTCTTGGAGGCAACTCCATCAACCCCACCAGGTCTGGGTCCTGCGGGGCAGGTGACAGCCTGCAGTGTGGAGGAAGCCAGCTCCCTCCTTGGACTAAAGGGAGGAGGAAACTGCTCAGTTTCAAGAGGGCTGAGGAGCCCAATAGGCTTAGAGTGTTGGAATGAGCTGCGTTCTACTGGGGGCTCTTCATTGCACAACCCCAGGGGGTGCCATCCACACAGTGTTCTAGAGTTGCGTGGCAGTGTGGCCTGCTCCTGAGAGCCCCACTGCGCACTCCTGCCCTGTTTACAGCAAGAAAGGGCAGGGGCAGTAGGGAGGGAGGGAGGGAGGAAAGGAAGGGGAGGGAGGGAGGGAGGGAGGAAGACAGGAAAGGAAGGGAGGGAGGGAGGGAGGGAGGGAGGAAGGGGCGAGTCTTCCCTGAATGCCGCTGCGGGTCAGGCTGTGGGTGGGGGCGCTCAGGTGGGCAGTGAGCGATAGAGGCTGGGCTTGGCTGGGGTTGGGAGAGGGAGGCCGCCAGAGGAGGGCCGAGCCCCTTGAAAGCTGCTATTGTTTGAGGTCTATGCTCAGAGAAGCCCTGAGTAAAAAGAGCTTGTTAGAGAGGCCCAGGCTGGAGACAAGCTGCTCTCAGAGAGCCAGTGAACCGTGCGAAATGACTTAAACTAACATCCCTGACTGCACCGGGCCGGGACCCAGGAGTCAGGGCCGTGGGCTCATCAGAAATTCATAGAAGGTGCCCCGCAGCTCAGCTTTCTCTGGCCGCCTTGTTCATTGAGCGGTTTTTTCTTTCCAGTCCCGCGGCTCTGAAAGGGAGACAGGGGCTGCCTGATGGGGAAGATCAAGTGGCCTTTGAAAACCTCTCTCGGAGTTTATTAAACCCAGGGGCCAGGGCAGGCCAACCTGGAGGCCCAGCCAGGCCTGGCTCCGCCCACCCCGGGCTCCCCAGAGGGGACCTGGCCTGTTCTCATGTCCCAAACTTGGCAGGTCTGTGCAGAGGGATGAGGGGGTGGGGGAGCGGGATCCTGAGGAAGATGGGAGGAGGTGAGGGAAGGGGCTGAGCACGGGTGGAGACCTGTGGCCCCCACAGACGACAGGGCCTTCTCTCTCTGGGCCCCCAGGACACCCCCTGCTTCCTGCTGGAACTCGTCTCTCCAGGAGCTCTCCGAGTGTTTGTGCTCAAGGTACACAGAGAGGAGAGTGGGGGGAGGAAAGGACTAGGGGGTCTCTGGGCTGCATCACAGCTTCCTGACCAAGTAAGGGCAGGAACGACGCTGCTCAGAGGATGCCTCAAGTTTCCAGAAGTCCCTCAGAGAAGGAGAGGTGAATGACCTCACCTGCCAAGGCCCAGGGTGCTCACCCAATCCCCGTCCCAACACACATCCCAGAGGGACTGGCCTTCGAGGCAGCACCCAGAACAGGGGGCTGAAGTAGACCCCTGGCACAGAACACTTCCCCGAGACTGCCTGATGACCCGCGAGGCTGAGTCCCTGCCGAGGACAGCTACGGGGGAAGGAGCCTTCCACAAACACCCAAATGAAAGCCTTCTGGGTGCCAGACCCCATCCCAGACACTGGGTACACAGGGATGAGCAAAGCAGTGGGTGTGTCTTGTTCCTGAGAAGACATGGGACCCTCTGTCATCAACATGTGTGAGTTCTTTTTTTTTTTTTTTTTTTTTGAGATGGAGCCTCGCTCTGTTGCCCAGGCTGGAGTGCAATCGCGTGATCTTGGCTCACCACAACCTCTGCCTACCAGGTTCAAGTGATTCTCCTGCCTCAGCCTACCGAGTAGCTGGAAATACAGGTGTATTCCACCATGCCTGGCTAATTTTTGTATTTTTAGTAGAGACAGGGTTTCACTATTTTGACCAGGCTGGTCTTGAACTCCTGACTTCGTGATCCACCCACCTCGGCCTCCCAAAGTGCTAGGATTATAGACATGAGCCACTGCGCTCGGCCAACACGTGTGATTTCTAAACCCCGCTGAGCCACTTCCTAGCCAGGTGACCTCAGGCAGTAACTGTACTTCTCTGAGTCCCAGTCCTTAGGGTGGGTGCAGAGCTGGTGTAGGGAGGGCTGCTAATCCACATCAAACTATAGTAACTCCTTTACCAGTTTATATCCTGGGGATCTGAGGGAGATTTCTTCTGAAAAGGTAATTCTGCTTGTTTAAAAGGTTGAGGCCGGCACACCTGTAATCCCAGTGCTTTGGGAGGCTGAAGTGAGAGGATCGCTTGAGACCAGGAGTTCAAGACCAGCCTGGGCAACATAGTAACATTCCGTCTCTCCAGGCGCGGTGGCTCACACCTGTAATCCCAGCACTTTGGGAGGCTGAGGCAAGTGGATCACTTGAGCTCAGGAGTTCGAGACCAGCCTGGCCAACATGGTGAAACCCTATCCCTACTAAAAATACAAAAATTAGCCAGGCGTAGTAGCTGGTGCCTGTAATCCCAGCTACTCAGGAGGCTGAGGCAGGAGAATCACTTGAACCCAGGAGGCAGAGGTTGCAGTGAGCCGAGATCGTGCCACTGCATTCCAGCCTGGGTGACAGAGCAATGTCTGAAAAAAAAAAATTTCCATCTCTTCAAAAAATATATATATGGCCGGGTGCGGTGGCTCATACCTGTAATCCCAGCACTTTGGGACACTGAGGCGGGTGGATCACAAAGTTAGGAGATCAAGACCATCCTGGCTAACACAGTGAAACCCTGTCTCTACTGAAAATACAAAAAATTAGCCAGGCATGGTGGCGGGCGCCTGTAGTCCCGGCTACTTGGGAGGCTGAGGCAGGAGGATGGCGTGAACCTGGGAGGCAGAGCTTGCAGTGAGCTGAGATCGCACCACTGCACTCCAGCCTGTGCGACAGAGCGAGACTCTGTCTCAAAAACAAAACAACAACAACAACAACAAAATATATATATATATATATATATATATATATATATATATATATATATATATATATGTATGTATGGTGGTGGTGTGCACCTGAGTCCAAGCTACTCAGGCAGCTGAGGCAGGAGGATTGCTTGAGCCCCAGAGATTGAGGCTGTAGTGAGCTATGATCATACCACTGCACTCCAGCCTGGGAGACAGAGTAAGACCCTTTCTCTAAATGAATGAATGAATGACGTCTTTAACCGTCAACCAAATTCATATCCCTCCTACCTCGCCTGCATTCACATAAGTCTTTTAATCTTTTCTGCCTTGTTTCATTGACAGTGGCCCCTCCCAGATCATTCCTGGGCCATGATGTGCCTCCTTCTCCCTGAACCCTCACTGGATGCCTCCAGAGAGTTCCTCTTTCCCAGCCCAGCTTTGGATTTGGAATCCAGTTCTGTCTCAACCCCTTTTTAGACTTCCCCTTTCAACAAGTTCAAAGTCCTTTACAGTTTTTCCTGAGCATCTTTTTCTCACATATATTTTTAGAGAATAAACAGATGGGAAGGGTCTGAAGATACAAACTGAGTTGTGTATGGTAGCAGTCCCTGAACCTTGCATGGATGGCAAGGTGTGAGGAATGGCCCTATTCTTTGTAGGTTGTAAGCCTCTTTCTCTAGGGCCAAGGCAGCTAACAAGAAGTTTGAAGGCCTTATCCCCCCACTCCCCCCACACCCCCCCTATTTAAGGCCAGGCCTACTTGGCCTGTTAAAAATATGGCTAGTCCTAGATCCTTGACCTAGCAATCCCATTACTGGGTATATAACCAAAGGAGTATAAATCATTCTACTATAAAAACACATGCACACGTATGTTTATTACAGTACTATTCACAATAGCAAAGAGTTGGAACCAACCCAAATGCCCATCAATGATAGACTGGAGAAAGAAAATGTGGCACATATACACCATGGAATATTATGCAGCCATAAAAAAGGATGAGTTCATGTCCTTTGCAGGGACATGGATGAATCTAGAAACCATCATCCTCAGCAAAGTAACAAAGGAACAGAAAACCAAACACTGCATGTTCTCACTCATAAGTGGGGGTTGAACAATGAGAACACATGGACACAGGGAGGGGAACATCATACACCAGGGCCTGTCGGGGCAGGGATGGGGGGAAAGGGGAGGGAGAGCATTAGGACAAATACCTAATGCATGCGGGGCTTAAAGGTGCAGCAAACCACCATGGCACATGTATACCTATGTAACAAACCTGCATGTTCAGCACATGTATCCCAGAACTTAAAGTAAAATTAAAAAAAAAAAATATATATATATATAACAGGTGCCTTGTCCAACAGATCCAGGAGCCAGGAAGGATATTGGGATGGGGAGGGACAGTGGTATTCCTTTTAGCTGACATTCTTGGAGTCAGCCAACCAAATCTGGGCTAGCAGAGAGGTTTCAGCTAATGTACCAATTTGTCCAGATTGAGGGTAACTGCCTGGGCACTCTGTTTAGAAGGACCCCAAGACTGTGTTGTTGTCATTGTTCAGAGAGCGTTAATAACTAACTCATGGTGCCTGTCATGGGCACAAGCTGGACGCATGGCAGAACTTGTGGTGTGTGTGTGTCTCCCATTCCTGGACCAAATGAAAAGAGGGGAGAGTTACAATTCCTTATGCTGGTCATAATTTTTCCTTTGAACAAAAGAATGAGAACAAATGATTTGACAACAGCCCAGGTGATTTGAATTTGAGAACTATGCCCAAAAGTTGTTACATGTGTTCACTGCGGGTTTCTTTTGGGAATGGTCATTCTTCAAGCTGGTGGGGAATTCCAAAAGAAATTAAACCTTAGTGGCTTTCAAACTATTCTTTTTTTGTTGTTTTGTTTTGTTTTGAGATGGAGTCTTGCTCTATCGCCCAGGCTGGAGTGCAGTGGCACAATCTCGGCTCACTGCAAGCTCCATCTCCCGGGTTCACACCATTCTCCTGCCCCAGCCTCCCAAGTAGCTGGGACTACAGGCGCCCGCCACCACACCTGGCTAATTTTTTTGTATTTTTAGTACAGACGGGGTTTCACCGTGTTAGCCAGGATGGTCTCGATCTCCTGACCTTGTGATCTGCCTGCCTCAGCCTCCCAAAGTGCTGGGATTACAAGTGTGAGCCACCACGCCCAGCCTCAAACTATTCCTTTACAGGCTTACAATGGTAGGCTTTTCTTTCAAAGAAATCTTACACAATGCATAAACAAATACAACAGATAAAGCTGAGCTGCTCTGGTTGAAATGGGGCCTGGGCATCAGGATGCACTACCAGTGCACCTTGGGGCCTATTTGAAAGCTACTAGTCTATTCTACTCTCTGCTTTTACGGGGGCTATTTTTATTTTATTTTATCTTAATTTTTGTATTTTTGAGACAGGGTCTGGTTCTATCGCCCAGGCTGGAGTGCAGTGGTGCCATCACGGCTCACTGCAGCCTTGACCTCCTGGGCTCAAGTGATCCTCCCACCTCAGCCTCCCGAGTATCTGGGATTACAGGCAAGTACCACCTCTCCTGGCTAATTTTTTGTATTTTTAATAGAGACAGGGTTTGGCCATGTGTCCCAGGTTGGTCTCCAACTCCTGGGCTCAAGGGATCCAATTGCCTTGGCCTCCCAAACTGCTGGAATTACAGGTGTGAACCACCACACCTGGCCAAGGGGGGCTATTTCTAAATATTTTTTGTAGAAATGCAGGACTTGAGATCCAAGAAAATATGACTGAAATTGCATAAAGATCTTAGCAGCAGTGTTACCTTTACATACCTACACACCCCACCATGATTCTGAGCAGTATCCTCAAACTCGCTCATCCTCCCACTCCCAAGCCATGAATGACCCCTGCTGGCTTATTTATTTCTTTATTGTATTTTAAGATGTCTTCATCCAGGCAGTTCCCCCACCTTGCTGTGCACCCCTTGATAATCTTGTCACATTCCCCCTCCCTCTTCATGCTCACTGCTTAATGGGCATCCCATGCCCTGGTCATTCACCTGGGCTGCTCCTCGGTGCCACTGTGGCTCCTCCCACTTCCCCAGCACTTGGCCCCCTCCCCTTGCTCTATAGGTCCACAGTGTACCTCCGATTCTCTGCTAGTTGGATGGGGAGGATGCAGTAGTAGCTCAGGGCTCTCTGCTGCAGTTCCTGGACAGCTTCTAGCTCTATGCCCAAAGCCCACTCCAACCTTCCCCATGTCCTTTTTCTGAGCTGTTCCATGCCCTTTACACGTACTCGCTGTCTGGATGCACCATCGTCTGCTTCTCTTGCCCCTCCCCTGTGCTCGTGCCCACTCCACGCCCTGAGATCCCTTCTGTCCGAACTTTCTCTTCCATTCCATCTAAGAGCTTTGTGCATTTTAGTTTCTTCCCAGGAGTCTCCTTGGATTGAGAGAAAAGAAAGTCATTTTTCCCTATCCCTCAACCCATTCATCCTTGCTTAGCACAAAGCCAGCACCTCGTGCTGGGCATCCTGCCAGGCATAGTTTATTTTGTACTCGGGCGCTGAGCTCTGGTGTCTTCCTGATTTATTTTGTGGTCTGTGTGTCTGTCCTCTGCATCCATCTGCATAAGCATGGCTGTTTGAGGCTGCAGCCCCTTAGGCAGGCATTTAATAAAGCTGAGCATGACGAGAGAAATAAATGGCTGTATTTTGCAGAGCGCAGGAGGGCTGGTGCGCACCAGCCGGGCTGGGATGGTTGGGATAAGGAGGTGACTTGTATTTCAGGCTTCTCCTCCTTGATGGGAACTTCGGGCCTATGTGAGGGGAACTTCCCGGCTTCCACCCAAGCCTCCGCATCCTGGGTTGGGGTCAGCGATGCCAGCTTTCCTGACAGCCCTGTACTAACCTCCCCACCTACTACCTCCCCAAGAAACAGCAAGGGGCTGGCTGCGGTTCAGTGCCTGTCAACCAATTCAGTGGGAAGGAAACATTAAACACTCCAACACTGCTTATTGGAGCTGGGTAAACTCAGCACACCACAGTTTACTTTGCTGTCAGAAATCCCTTAGCTTACCACAGAGCAGAACCCCCAGAGGACCAGGACTCCCAATGTCCCCCCATTCCCCACCCGCCAGGAGAGAGCTTACCTCTCCCTCTTCCCAGCTGAGACCCTTCTGTGTCCCTTTCTGCACCTCTGCCCCGCCGCCCCCTCTAGCTCTCATGCCTTCATATTTCCCCTGCCTTACTCCTCCTTTCCACCCAGCTCAGCCCTGTCCTTCCTAAACCCTCCTTCAGGCTTGGTGTCTTTCAGTAGCCAAATAAATTTCAGAGCACGGAGATGGGAGCCAGCACAGATGAGGTCCAGGCATTTTTTAAGGGGTAGAGTGAGATCAGGAGTCACCCTGTTTCTTCCCTCCCCACCCAGACTCCACACAGCCCTGGGCTGTGAATCACTGATTCAAAAGGGCCATGAAGTTAGGCAAAGGTGCAGAACTGTTATGGGGCTGGAGGAACATGCAGGTGGCATGAGGGCCATTTGGGTGACAGCAAGAGGAAGCAGCGCTGCTCACTCCTTCTCCAGGTAGGTACTTTGAGGGGTTATGAATTAGGAATGTGGGTGTCATATATTTGGGACCTAGCTTTGCATGAACTTGAACTCAAATGTTCTTCAACATAACAGCTACAACCTCCCTGGGGGCCGCCCCTGACCCCCACCTCTCCTAAGAAATTTGCAGCCTGGGCCAAGGTTTTTCTCTTTGGCTCCGCTTGGAAGTGCAAACCTTGTGGATTTGAGATGAAACATATGCTGTTCTGGAATGTGGCTGTTAGCCAAGGGAATGCTCAGAGGCCCCTGCAAAATTTGTAGCCATCTGCCTGGGGTTGAGCTGGGGGGGTTGTGACAGAGCATTTGGGGCTGGGAAGGAGCCATGGAGGCTGAGGGTACCTTCCGTTCCTCTACCCCACTTAGGACCAGTGCCTCTCTTATCATTCAAGTGGATCTCAATGTGCTGTATTCCTCCCCTGGGGAGACCCAAACCAGACTCACCCTCAGATGCCGTGGGCCGAGTGACTGGCTCCAAAGGGAACAGGTGCCAATTAGAATGGCATTTTGCATATTCTTTGAATGTTATTCATTTCCTGCCAAAAGACACAAACTTTCCCTCCTCCCTGCCCCCGTCCCGGGAACCCACAGTGTTTTCCGTTCTTCCTCTCCAGCTCTGTTCCACTCATAGTCCCCGTTTCTCTGGGGATTTTGCTGACCCTTCTTCTGGAGCTTCTCTTGGCCTCCCAGGCCCTGATCATCAATGTGGAAACCCCCCAGTAGATGCGTCTTCAGGCCCAGACTTCCCTCTTTGGAGTGGCCAGACAGCAAATGCTCAGACCCCCTCCTCCCCGTCGAACAAGCTCAGAAATCAGTTGCCCGGGAAGGCCCTGCCTGGACTTTCTTGAATAGCTGCAGGTCTAGGCTGGAAAGCCCCTGAGGAGGACTTATCACAGGGACTGGGTGTGTTGTGGGAGAGAGGCAGCTGGCAGAGGCCCCACCAAATTATGGGTTAAAGAGCTCCATTTGAAAGCATTTCTGGGAAGTTGTCAAGTGGAGATGGGGGAGGCTTAGGGAAATCTTAGGGATTGAAAAGAACCCTGGAGATGATTTCATTCAATGCTGTTTATTATTATTAATAACAATGGTTTTTAAATTCATTTTTAACTTCTGGAGAATCTAAGACCTAGAGGAAGAAGGTCGGTTCCCCGGGGTCATGGGGGTTAGCAGCCGAGCTGGATGACAAGCCAGGACTGCCAACTCCCAGTCCAGCGCTGCTTTCACAGGACACTGTCTCTGTAAGTGCTCTTAGGAGAATGTCACCATGTCCCCAGCATGCTGTGGAGGTGGCAGCTGCATCAGTGGACCTGCTGCTTCCCTGGCCTTTGAGCTCCAAGCCCAGCCTCTGCCGAGACAGTCACTGAGGACGGCTATTACCTGTCCCTCGGGTGAATCCCAGAACCACACAGGGGGTGCATCAGGCACACCTTGGGTGGAATACCAGCTTGGGTTGCTTCTCAGAGAAGTTGTTTCCCACTTTCAGCCCCTGCTACCTTATATGTGTTTCATACCACATGCTCTGCTCCTCAGCCGCGGCTAACTAGACCAGGAATAAGTACCCAAGGCCAGCCAACGTGTTGGCAATAAACAGCCATCCGGTTTTTCTCTCTTAAGAGTTTGAAATTAAAAAGCAGACTCTGTTTGGTCATAGGGAGCTCAAGTAAATGTCATGATCAAGGAGGACTTACTTGTTAGGGCCATGTTATAAAACCATAGGCAAACCAAAGTCACGAAGAGAGAAAGGCTGAGCCAAGAGACCACAGCCCAGGAGGAGAGAGAATGACGAGGCCGGGTACTTTGCTTAATTAAAGTCTCATATCCCTCATAGTTATCTCTACATCCACTTTTCATATGTGTTCCTGTGAACTGAGTTCTGCCGCTTGTGACTAAAAGCACTTTGGCCAGATGTGATGAGGTTGGGAGCATCTTCGCAAAAAGGTCCCAGATGTGATGAGGTTGGGAGCATCTTCGCAAAAAGGTCCCAGATGTGATGAGGTTGGGAGCATCTTCGCATAAAGGTCCCCCTAAAAAGCCCAAGCAATAAAAGAGTGGACAATGGCTACTAATGGCCCAGGCACATCCCCACTCTATCAAGGCAGAGCTAGGGCTTTGGAGTGGAGAATTAGGGATTGGTGATATCCAGTGGGATGTAGAGGGGAGAACTCAGCCACTGGTGGCTACTACTCCCTTCATCTTCCTTTAGGAAAATGCTCAAATGCTCTGGGGTAACCCTACCTTGAGAAGCCCTCTGCATCCTGTTTCACCTCCTTGAGAATGTGCAAATGAATGACACTCTTACCTTGAGGGGAAACCTCCAGTGTGTCCACTGCTATTGACCAGGACTATCCTCCTCTTCCCTGGAAATAACACTGTGTGTGTCTATGTGTTGGGGGATGGCAGAGGTCGGGGCTGCGGGGAACAGAGATGATGGAGGCATGGTCAGCTGATTGCCAGGATGTGAATTTCAGGGGTTAAAGGCACTCCATCTAACTTGGATCAACGATCCCAGGGCTGTTGAAGGAGATGACAGGCCCATGTGTGTGCCCACACTGGCTCCAAGCAGAGAGGAACCAGTTCTACCTCAAGACTCCCAGGCACCCCCGATCTGGAAGACAGAGCTCTATCTTGCTGCAAAGCTACATCTGCCCACCAGATGAGCAGTACCTGTAAAAACTTCCCACATCAAGCCTTGTGGGGCTAATGCCTCTTCCAGAGCCGCTGACAACAGGAAAATGATCCTAGCACTGCACTTCCCAAAGGACTCAGAGATTCTTGCCCTGGAGCCAGGAATGGGGAGTTTGATGTTGTGTTGTCCACAGACATTCCAGAAGGAAAGGGTTGCAGTAGGAGAAGGCCTGGACGAACAAGAGGAGGGACCAGGGAACAAAAGCAGATTCTCAAAGAGGTCAATATATATTGGCTAATTGCTTAATATTGGTAATAGTATTAATAACAAAAATCCCTACCATTTACTGAAGGCCTTTAGCATGCCAGGCCTCTTGCAGACATCGCTCCAATTCATTCTCACAGCCTTGCAGAATATGTATTACTTTCCCCATTCTACAGAAGAAGAAACTGCTACTCCCAGAGGGTATGCTTTCAAAGATCACAGGGCTGCCACCAAGCCTGCTGCTTCATGTCTGAGTGAAACAGAGCAATCTCCCAGATAACAGGAGACGGGTAGGTGGAAACATTTCTAAAATGGGGCTGAAGGAGAGCAAGTAAGCGCCAAACCTCGGTCCCAGCCCCTCTTGGAATTGAGTTAAAGAGAAAAGAAGAGCTAAGAGCTCAGCGTTCCTGAAAGCAGCATGGGTGTCTTTTTTAATAAACACGCCAAAGCTTGACTCTCTGAAAAGCGTGCCGTGCCTTTGAAAGTGGGCCCCTTGGAAAGCTGTGTTCTATCAGAGCTGCTATTGCTCAAAACATTTTCAGAGCCTCCTCTTGGGCAATGGCCTTCAGGGCTCACAGCACATTCCTTTGAAAATCTTCAGACCAGGCGCCGTGACTCACGCCTGTAATCCCAGCACTTGGGGAGGCCAAGGCGGGTGGATAACCTAAGGTAGGGAGTTCAAGACCAGTCTGACCAACATGGAGAAACCCCGTCTCTACTAAAAATACAAAATAGCCAGGCGTGGTGGCACATGCCTGTAATCCCAGCTACTAGGGAGGCTGAGGCAGGAGAATCGCTTGAACCCAGGAGGTGGAGGTTGTAGTGGGCCGAGATTGTGCCATTGCACTCCAGCCTGGGCAACAAGAGTGAAACTCCGTCTCGAAAAAGAAAAAGAAAATCTTCAGTGTGGCAAATCTTCCTCTTCATCCTCTGGGGCAGATTTAATTTGGGGGCAAGTGCCAGGAATCACTTCAGAGTTGAGTAAGCCAACTGGGGTGTCTTATTTGGGGTCCAAATGAAGTGCGACCCTAAGGCAGAAGAGTGCCTTGTGTGGTAGAAAACCCAGTGGAGCCCTTGGGGACAGGTTAAGAGATTAGCCCAGGAGCCCTGGAGCGAAAGAATGGCCTGCACCCTTGCAGGGGGTGCAGGGGAGGCCTTGAGCGAGATCTGAGGGCTCTTCATAGAGAGAGACACAATCAACCCTAATCAGGGCATAAGTGAAAACACACGGTCCCATAAAGTGTCCTGGGAAAGATGCCACGTTAATAAAAGAGAAAAATGCAGAGGAATGGGTGAGGAGGGAGCCGTTAAGAAATTGCAAGTGCCTATAAACTCTGCCCTGCAGCCCCCACCCCCGCCCCCAATCATGGTTCCAACTCGTTTTTCGTTAGGACTCAAGGAAAAAAATCTTAAAGAAACTAGCCCGTTTGTAGAGATAGCAGAGGACGGAGCTGGCCACCTGACTGGAGTCTTCCTCTGCTGAGCCTCTGTGTCCCCTGCCTGGCGGCTGCCCTTCCACAAGTCTCTGGTGTGACCGGCCTTGAGTTACGTTCCTCATTACATAGTACGTCTTACTAGAACTGCCGTCTGGCAGGCCAGGATGCTGGGTGCAAAAGAAGAGGGTTACAGTGGATCCGGGTGCAGCAAGGACCATTGTTTCTACTCTGGGGCATTTCTGAAACACTATTTAAGTAATAGGAGTCATTTTCTCCTTTATATCCCCAAATTGGCCTTGGGGACCAGCTAATATAGTGGCAGCTGGCCAAAGCCTTATCACATTTCCAGGCTCCAACCAAACAGGAAATGGGATTCAACTGTAGGCAGAGCGTTAGTTCTCAGGTGGGACTTCCTGATGGTCAATAATCAGAAAGCAAGCATCAGCAACAGTTCAGAGGGAGGGAGGAGACTTTGTCCGTACAGCGGAGGAACTCCCAGTTTACGGAGTAGGTTTGAGAGACACTAACATAAGCAAAAAAAAAAAAAAAAAAAAAGAGAGAAGGAATATGCCAAGGTCACTACATTGGCAAAGATTGTCAGGTAAGCATGGAATATTTAGAAATCTGGGGAAAGGCCAGGTGTGATGGCTCATGCCTGTAATTCCAGCACTTTGGGAGGCCGAGGCGAGTGGATCACTTGAGGTCAGGAGTTCGAGACCAGTCTGACCAACATAACCCTGTCTCTACTAAAAATACAAAACTTAGCGGGCATGGTGGCACACATCTCTAGTCTCAGCTGCTCAATTTGGATGGCTGAGGCATGAGAATAGCTTGAACCCAGGAGGTGGAAGTTGCAATAAGCAGAGATCACATCATTGGTCTCTGGCCTGGATGACAAAGCGAGACTCTGTCTCAAAGGAAAAAAAAAAAAGAAATCTGGAAGAAAAACAAATGAGAATGCATAGCCTAGCTAGAGTCTCATGGTATCAGTTACAGCAGTTTTAGGGAGATGATAAGTAGTCTTATAGCAGAGATGTGATGCCAGAAAAGAACTGGAGTGGCTGTGGAAATGGGGAAGGACATAGGAACGTGGTGACAACTCTTGCCATGCTTCGTAATTGTGGGGGACAGCTGAGCGGGGGAGATAGGCAGGAGAATGTGTCTTGCTGAAGTGGGGAGTTCACACTGGTACAAGTAATACCAGTAGTTTGTACAAGTGGTTTGGCTGCAGAATGGAGAGTTGTTCTTAGATTTTTGTCCTGAAAGAAGTCACCTAGGAGGCTGCAGAGTTACCTTCCCAAAGATTGAGAACTGAGCTACACTCCTGTCCTTGTGCCTGGTTGGCATGTCTGGGAGCAGTGTCTAACGGGCACTTGGTCCTTGGGGCCCCTTCCAGCTGAGGAGGTTTGACTCCTTGCTTTGAGATGATGGCGAAGCTCTTTCATCTTTCCTGCCCCCAACCCCAACTGCTGGGGGCTCGGGTCAGATGCAAAGCCGGGCTGACTGTCTTCACTCAGGAATCTGTGCTGAGACCCAAGGAACAGGAAGCAGCTGAGATGCCTCCAGTTAAT
Organism: Homo sapiens; assembly: GCF_000001405.40. Lineage (NCBI taxonomy): Eukaryota > Metazoa > Chordata > Mammalia > Primates > Hominidae > Homo > Homo sapiens. Next base: position 126,134,200 of record NC_000011.10, on the reverse strand, counting down.
ACTGCAACCGGAATACCCTCCGCAAGAAGGCTCAGCCGGGAGACCTGACAGAATCGGCATTGTTCAGCCAGACAGCCGGGAGCAGCTGCAGGGCCCCCTGGGTCTCCCTAGCACTGGGGATTGTGAATAACCTTCATCCTGGGCTCACAGACATCCTGAGGAGATCAGGGAAGTGCCAGCCTGTCTGGTACCGGGTTGGGCAATAATCATTGGTCAAAGAGGATCAAGGACAGAGGCCTTTGGGTGCTTATAATCCTACCCAAAAGAGGTCACAACATGTTGTGGAAGGACAGATAAAAGAAGCCAGGAATGAAGGGACCTGTTCAGGCAGAGGTGGGGGAAAGGGTCTTCCTATCATCACTGGAGCAGTTAGCTAAACGCTCACCCTTCTCAGCCCAAGCTCCGGATGGCATTCATAGTGCAAGAGTGAATTTGCCATTGTCTTGAAAAATTGTTCCTCCCCAAGAGGGAGCCCAACCAGGAATTACATCAAAGGATCATAGTTCTAGAGCTAGAAGTGACTCCAGTGATCACGCAATTTATCGCCTTCACATTGCAAAAGTAAGGTAGAAAAGTGAGGTAACTGACTCAAAGTCACACCCCTCATTAGTGGCAGAGCCAGAGCTTAAAACCTGGATCTCCAGACTTGAAGGCCAGTGGTCAATCCATTGCTGGTCTGCATAAAGCTACTTGACCCAGCCCTCCAGAGGCTGGCATGGGTGAAGACTAAGGAGGAAGTAGCAGGAATTGGACAATATAATGGGTATACGTAAGTACAAAGTGATCAACTTACAAATGAAATGCAAAGTTACAGGAAAATGAGCCTTACAGATTTGGGAGTAGTGGAAAGAGGACTGGACTATGTATGAGTCAATAGACCTTGGTTTAGGTTCCCCTTCTACCACTTGCTCACTACGTAACTGGGAGAATTCTACTTACTATCTCTGAGCCACGATTTATTCCTCTGTTAAATGGGGCTAAAAATATTGTAAGATTCTTATGAGAAATAGCATGTGTAGAAGTACTTTGCATCCAAGAATGTGTTAGGCAAACGTTAGCTGTTGTGGTAATTACTGGGATGATCCTAGGGTAGGTTTCTGAGTTTGGAGGCTGGAATCGATTATGGCTGGGATACTCCTAGTTCTCTGAGTTTCCCAGTGGAAGAGGGAAATCTGAAAATTGACACGAGTTGCTACTTCATCTTAGCCAGCTTCGGATTCAACAACGGGAGCTGAATTAAGCAGGGAAAGATCTAAGCCTGAATGCAAGCTCAGCCACACAATGGGGAGCCTTACCATGAGGGGTCCCAGGCTCCGGTTTCTGCCCTGAGAATCCTGGCCTTCCCTGGGAGGGTGCCTCTTGCAGAAGAAATGAAGCCTGATACCTCTCAACCTGAACAGGATCCCTTGGAGCTGTCAGGAGTGGGAGGCATGGAGTCAGGAGAACAGAACAGGAAAGGGGGCTGCCAGCGTGAGGCCCACATTCTTTAGCCAAAGCCACTTGAATATGAAGGGACAGTGGGACCCACAGCATCCTCCCTCACAGGCCTGGTGGCACCACCCTTGACTTTTGATACCAGGCTTGGGTGCAAAGGTGTGTCTCAGGCATTAAACTAGAGAGTGCAGCCTGGGATACCTGGAAGGGGAAGAGTTTGGAGGTCTGTTGTGATCCAGCTCAATGCAGCAGCTTGTCCTAGGTAAGAGCCCTGCTGTGCGGGCTGAGGTCATTGCTGGCACGAGCTCCCCACTCACTGCAGACGCCTGCAGTCTGTTTTAATATCTGCAGCAACCACATTCCTGAGCAGGGTGGGTAAGAGCCTTTCTGGACAAGACTGCTTTCCACCAAAAATTATTCCAGTTCACCAGAGGCAGATATTTGAGAGAGAGCTGGATTTTTTATTTTTTAAGGAGGAAAATAAAAATTCAGAGAGAATGAGTAAAGGCAGGAACCAAGAGGAGAGCAAGGTCCTGAGGACCGGGGAAGGGAGGAGGGACCTAGGGTCGTGAGGGAGAGAAGACAGAATATACAGGCAGTGGGTGCTGGGAAAGAGCTCTCTCTTTGGATCTAGCCTGTCTAGGCCTTTCTTAGGTCCTGATGAGTTTACCTGTTACCATCACCATTCATTCATTCATACACTCAACTGACACTTGACTTCCACTCCATATGCCAAATGCTGAGCTAGGAAGACAGAGAGGTTGTATTAGCTATCTATTTCTGTGTAACAAATCCATAATACATCATGGTTTAAAACAACACACTTTTATTATCTCACAGTTTCTGTGGGCCAAGAGCCAGGGCACAACTTAGCCAGGTCCTTTCTTTAGAATCTCTCACAAGGCTGTAACCAAAATTTTGGCCAGGGTTGGCATTTCGTCTGAAGGCTCACCTGGGGAAGGATCCACATCCAAGTTCACATGTTTGTTGGCAGAATTCAGTCCCTTGATGGTTGTTGGACTGAGGGCCTCGGTTCCTAGCTTGCTGCTGGCCAGAGGATGCTCTCAAATCCTTGCCACGTAGGTCTTGCCAACATGGCAGCTTGCTTCATGGAGATATGCAAGCTGAGAAGGCTGGAGAGAGGGTCAGCCAGCAGAACGGAAGTCACAATCTTTTGAAACCTGAGGAAGGAAGTGACATCCCATTGCCTTTGCCATATTCTGTGGATTAGAAGCAAGTCCCAGGTTCCACCCACACTCCAGAGGAGGGCTTTACACAAGGGTGTGGAGGCTGGGAGACAGAGACCATCAGGGACCATGTTAGAGGCTACTTGCCCCCAAGTCAAAGTTGTTTTTGGCCTTCGGGTAACTCAGAGACAGCAATAATGACAATTATAATAGTAGTAGCAGTACAATAGTAATAATAATGGCAAAAGCAATGCATTGAATACTTACAGTATGCAGGGGCTGTACTAGCTTGTCATATATATATATAAATATATATATATTTGCTTATCTAAATAGAGGGGTATCACACACACACACACACATATACACCTGTATATACATATTTGCTTTTAGTTCCTTTTTTTTTTTTTTTTTGAGATGGAATCTCGCTCTGTTGCCCAGGCTGGTATGCAGTGGTTCAAGTGATTCTCCTGCTTCGGCCTCCCGAGTGGCTGGGATTACAGGCGCCCGCCATCACGCCCGGCTAAGTTTTTGTATTTTTAGTAGAGATGGGGTTTCACCATAGTGGTCAGGCTAGTCTTGAATGCCTGACCTCAAGTGATCCACCCACCTCGGCTTCCCAAAGTGCTGGGATAACAGGTGTGAGCCACCGTGCCTAGCCTGCTTTTAATTCCTAAGTAGGTATCATTATTATCCTCTTTTTAGGCGAGGGAACAGGGTATCAGAGAGAGCACAACAGTGAGAGATCTAGGAGTTTTTAACTCCGATTTATCAGACTTCAAAGGCTTTGCTCTTACTCTCTTCATGTACATGCCTCCCAGATGAATGGCAGTCTAACCCGAAAAGTGCTGTAATGGTCCCTCTGTTTAGGGGTACGGTGGAAGGCTTCTCAGAGGCAGTGACATGGAGGGAGCCCCCTGTAATAACAGCAGCAGGACCCGAGGGGGAGTTCAGGGAAAGGAAAGGAAAGCGACACAATCCTTTGCTCTTGAGGAGCCCTTGAGGCTCAAGTGAGGGCCAGACCCAAGGAGAAGCCTCAGGGCACTAGCTGGGAGCAGCGGCAAGTGCAAGCGAACAGCTGTTGGAGAGCTCCTAGGAGAATGTAAGCCAGTGGCTGTTTAGATTAGTTTTCTAATTGGCCGAGTGTTAGCAAAGCCTCTTGTGTATACAGTGGGAATAGTTAATCTTGTCTATTTGTATATCCACTCATGTTCTGTCACTCCCTGATCTTCTCAGCTATCTGCCTCTTACTGTGGGTTTTAAGCCAAGAGAGGGTTTAAGTCCATGGGACTCTTTCTATGCAGCCCCTAGAACCCGTGGGCAGCAGGAGGAGAGCCACACAGTAGAAAAAGGTTCAAGTGCTTCCCCCACTCCATGCTGCCCTTGTCCCCACAGGCCTGCCTGGCCATACAGCCCCACTTGTCCCCAGGTGGCCTCCCTTCCTGCAGTGCTCATCTCCCCAGCACACCACTCCAGTCACTAGAACACATACATTTGCACAAAGCAACCATATGTCACCTCGCAGCTTCATGACAAACCTGGAAGTCAGGTTTTATTATTCTAAGTGAGAAACCAGGAGAGAGGTTAAGCGACTTGCCCAGTGTCACTCACACAGCTGTGTGTGGCTGAGCCAAGGTCAAAGCTGGGTCTTGTGCTCCTTTATTCTCTCGCAAGGGCTTCTGGTCTGGCCCGTCCACCCCACACACCATGTTCACATGTTCATCATGCAATTCCTTGCTCAGGAAGCCGTAAAGCCTCCTCCACTGACTGCCGCCGCAGCCACAGGCTTCTGCCTCCCTTCCAGGGCCCTTGAGTATTTGCTTCCCTTTCCTTGCCATGAACCCATCTCCCCTCTACAGTGGGTTCCATGCTAAGAAGGCCAGGTTCCCAGACTCCCTGAGACATCCCAGGTTTCTCAGTTCCCTCTCTGATTAGACTGTTGCTAGCTTTATTTTTATTTATTTTTTGTTTCATTTTGTTTTTAAGATGGGAGTCTTGCTCTGTCACCCAGGCTGGAGTGCAGTGGTGCAATCTCTGCTCACTGCAACCTCTGCCTCCCGGGTTCAGGGGATTCTCCTGCCCCAGCCTCTCGAGTAGCTGGGATTACAGGTGCCCACCACCATGCCAGGCTAATTTTTGTATTTTTAATAGAGACGGGGTTTTGCCATGTTGGCCAGGCTGGTCTCGAACTCCTGACCTCAGATGATCCACCTGCCTCGGCCTCCCAAAGTGCTGGGATTACAGGCGTAAGCCACTGTGCACTGTGCCCATCCTGTTGATAGCTTTAGATTGGGGACCAAGATATAAACATCTCCCATCACACGCCAAGCCCAGGCACATGGAAAACGTGTGTGGCTTATTGATAATGAAGAGAGAGAAAGATGAAGATAAGGTAAGGGGGACTTTGAGGGATATGAAGGTCTTCTTTCAGATGCAGAGTCCTCCCCTCTGACTGAGGGACCTCCTGCCTAAGACATTATTCCCTTGCCTCCCCACATGTCTATCTTCAGACTCCAGGTGTCTGTTAACGATTTTCTTCCCTTCATGACCTGAGTGTGGTCAAAACATCTCTTTGTAGATGTTCCAGGCTCAGCCAGTCAGACATGCACTTAAACGTACAAATTTTTGGAGACATGGTGAGTGGAACAGGTGTGGTCATAGGTCACAAATGGGACATAATGGCAAGAAAAATGTCCACTGTTCAATAGCATTCAACACATAAGACTGATGCTACCAGATTTGTTTTGGGGAATACCATTCAGAGAATTTAAAGAAATGACTATACAAATGGGATAAAAGGTAGTTAGAGAGGTATTGACTTCCCCAATCTCTTACAGATCTTATAAATAGCCATAACACTATTGATTACACACTTTCTGTTTGCCACTGTAGTAAATGCTCTATAAAAATTATCCCATATTTAGTCTTGAAAACAGTTCTATAAGATAGCGTAATATTATCCCTGTTGGAAACTGTGGTTCATAGAGATTAAGTTGATTGTTTAAGACTACACGTATAGTGTAAAAGTCAGGATTAGAACCCAGAATGCCTGACCCTAGAACCCTTGTCCTTAATCTCTGATACCAAACGGACGGCCTCCATGTTTCCCTGTTTCTTTGCTGAGAGAGATTCATTAAAAATGCCTTTTGCTCCTCTCTGGCTGAGACTTGCAGTAAGAGGGAGAGAGAAGAGAGAAGCCCCACATCGGGGCTCCTCCCACTTTTTAAATAGGGGGATGGGGTCTGGGTTCCTTCTTACCTAGCATAGTCCTCTGCCTTAAAACTTCGCAAAAGTGGGCAGCTGGTAGAGTTGCATTTTTTAAATGCTCCAGGCTGTGTCTTCTTATCTCAGAGAGGCTTGATTTACTTTCCTCTATCTTTTCCCAGTCCAGGGCCCCGTGATGGATTTCACCTTGGACATTTGCCTTTGGAACGGTTGCTCCTTGCCAAGAGCACTCCCCCAGAGACAGATGGAGAAGGAGACAGCTCCGTGGTTCCCGTTCTGGGACTGGCCTTTTGCCTCCTGCCTCCCACAGCTCAGGTGGAGAGAGGAGGGCCCTGCCCTTACCGACTGGAGAGCATCAGGTAGGACTGCTGCTTAGCAAGAATAAAACTGAATTTCTGCAGATTTGGCCTGGGCCTGCTCTCACTTGAGATGTGTCAGGGGAACAGGAGAAGAGACAATAATAGTAAAGTGGTATCGACGTAGCGTTAATACTTTCCTCTTTGTTATGACTATTCGTATGTCTTTTCAAATTTAATCTTCACAGTAACTAACTGAAACAGCTTTTGTGTTCCCTTCTCACAGATCAAGAAACTGAGGGTCAGTGAGGCTAGGATGACACGGATGTGGAGGAAGGGCTGGCTTTCCAGCCTGTCTTCTGACATTAAATCTGTGTGTCTTTTATGATGCATCAAGGAGGAACGCATCTCCCCCATGGCTTCCTCTCACTTTTGTTTCTTCAAAAGAGATAGAGTGTGGCTCAGATTAGGGCAGCTCATCCTTTTCCAGTGGTGGATGCCAAGGGAGAGAGTTTAGCCTGAAGGAAGGGTTGTCGTGCTGAGCCAAGATCAGGGTCTACACCAGGCAGACTCGAAGTGGGAAGTCACACTTACAAGGGAGCGGGTGGCCAGCCAGCCCCCTTTGCTGTGCTTGGAAGAGAATAGCAGTGAAACAGTCTCTCCACAAAGCACTGGGATATGGTTTGACTGTGTCTCCACCCAAATCTCATCTTGAATTGTAGCTCCTATAATTCCCACATATCACGGGAGGATCCTGGTGGGAGGTAATTGAATCATAAGGTCAGATCTTTCCTGTGCTGTTCTCATGATAGTGAATAAATCTCATAAGATCTGATGGTTTTATAAAGCAGAGTTCCCCTACACAAGCTCTCTTGCCTGCCACCATGTGAGACGTGACTTTGCTCGTCATTTGCCTTCCTCCATGATTGCGAGGCCTCCCCAGCCATATGGAACTGTGAGTCAATTAAACTACTTTCTTTTATAAATTACCCAGTCTCAGGTATGTCTTTATTAGCAGTGTGAGAACAGACTAATACACATTTAAATCTTCAGTAATCATCATGCTCTGGGTAACACACAGTCACATAAGACTAGAATTCAAGAGAAAGGAAAGAAAGTAGCATTTTTGAGGTCTCCTGTGCAGTAGGCATGGAACTAGGGAGTTCACATATTTTGTTTGATTTTCATAACAGCCTTATAAGATGGGCTTTACTATCCTCATTTCAGAAGAGATTGAGGCCCAGAAAGATTAGATAATTTGCCTGTGGTCTCATTGCTAGTAAATAGTGGAGGTATAATTCAAATCCCAGTTATCTGTCCCTGCATCTGTTAGTAAACTAGAAGCTGGTCTTTCACATGTCTCCTGGAGAGTAGGGAGGTCTCTCTTCCAGAACCCAGGACAGTGCCTCACAGACCATAGCTTAACCTGGTAACTTCTACTTCCTAACCCATCCCGCACACATCCTGAAGATGTAGTGGGGCAATAGGTAGAGTTAGCAGAAGGAGTTCAGGTTGTTAGTCAGAAAGAACCCCAGAGTTCCCCTCTGGCTTCATGTCAATCTTTTTTTTTTTTTTTTTTTTGAGTTGGAGTCTTGCTCTGTTGCCCAGGCTGGAGTGCAATGGTGCAATCTCGGCTCACTGCAACCTCTGCCTCCCAAGTTCAAGTGATTCTCCTGCCTCAGCCTCCTGAGTAGCTGGGATTACAGGTATGCACCACCATGCCCGGCTAATTTTTGTATCGTTAGTAGACACGGGGTTTCACCATGTTGGCCAGGCTGGTCTTGAACTCCTGACCTCAGGTGATCTGCCCACCTTGGCCTCCCAAAGTGCTGGGATTACAAGTGTGAGCCACTGCTCCTGGCCATCAGTGTTTAAAGACAGGCACTGTGCCTTTTTCACCTTTGAGTTACTGGTGGCTGACAAATAGCAGGGGCTCAAGAAAGGTAAGCTACTGACTTTAACTGAGGAGACTTGTTTTTTTTTGTTTTTTTTTTGTTTTTTTTTTTGAGATGGAGTCTCGCTCTTTCACCCAGGCCAGAGTGCAGTGGCGCTATCTCAGCTCACTGCAAGCTCCGCCTCCCGGGTTCACACCATTCTCCTGCCTCAGCCTCCCGAGTATCTGGGACTACAGGCGCCCGCCACCACGCCCAGCTAATTTTTTGTATTTTTAGTAGAGACGGTATTTCACTGTGTTAGCCAGGATGGTCTCGATCTCTGAGAAGACCTTAAGGTTAAGATATGAGAACTTCAAAATCATAGAAGCTACAGTTGCAGATTGGCCAAAAGCATATAAATTCACTGGACACAACCCAGTGAAAAATAATGAGGAAAGGGGAATTGGGCAATTGGATGGAAGGCCTGGAAGTAGCTGCTACAGAATGTGCATCTGCAGGGATTCAGGAGACCCGGGTTCTAGTCCCAGCTCTGCCACTCACCAGCTGGGGGATCTTGGGCAAGGTGCTTCCTCCCTGTGAACCTCAGTTCATTTATTTGTAAAGTGAAGGATGGGGGCCGTATTCTAAGATCCTTTTGATTCCCACATTCTGGGAGTTTTGAATCATTACTTGCCTAAACACCTTCCCAGATTCCTGGGGAAAAGATAAAGAAGGTTGTTTCTTTTTAAAAGCTTATTTTTAAAAAAATTGACAAGTAAAACTTGTGCCTATTTATGGCATATAACATCATGTTTTGATATATGTATACAGGCCAGCATGGCTAATTCAAACTATTGAACATATGTATTATTTGACATCCTTATTTAATGGTGGTTAAGAACATGTAAAATCTACTCTCTGAGCAATTTTAAAATATAAGATATATTGTTTTGAACTGTAGTTGCCCTGATGTACAATAGGTCTCCTGAACATATTCCTCCTGTCTAACTGAAGTTTTGTGTTCTTTGATCAATATCTCCTCAATCCTCCAACCCAACAGCCTCTGGGATCCACCATTTTACTCTGTTTCTATGAGTTGGACTTTCTTACATTCCACATATAAGTGACATCACGCAGTCTTTATCTTTCTATGCCTGGCTTATTTCACTTAACGTAATGCCCTCCAGGTTCATCTGAGAAGGTTGTCTCTAGAAACAGAAAAGAGTTTCACCTCCAACCAGGGTGACAGGAGCAGTCCTACCTGAGAGCCAGAGATGGACTTGATGGCATGAGCCAGATCTTTTCAAGTCTGGGGGTGTTGCTGGTTTGAAAGTGGACATGGTACCCCATTTCTAAACCTCAGGCTCTCTGGACAATGCAGCTCAGCCTTCAGCTCCACCAGAGAGGCTGCAGTGTGTGAAGACAGCTCATTCTGCGGGAGGAGGAAGAGCAGAGAAACCACCACCCTATGGGTCGTTCTCAGATCCCTCGTGTGCTGGCTGTCTCCCACCCAGGCTCAGTTTGCACTGCTAATCTGTTACGTCTTTCTTGGTAATTTAGCACTTTCAGACAGTTATTGTTAGATTCTGTTTATTTTTCTAAACCTCACAAAAAAACCCATAATACAGCAAGGGAGAGTGGGAGGGGGAGTTTTTCTAGAAATATAAACTCAAGATTCAAATGCTCTTCCCCATCTGCAGGGCAGCTGTTGTGGAGCCTGGTCCATCCTGAGCACTCCAGTGTTCCATTTCAAGGATCTCTTCCTGGCTCCCCTCCCACCAGAGAATGTGGCCTTGGGATCAAGGCGTGGAGAGCTGCCAGCTACTGCCACCTGCCACAAAGCCTCATCACCCTTGCGTATCTCTCTCCCCTCTCCGTCCTCGGCATGGGGTCACATTGTGGGTCATTATTTCCTTTCACCAAGGTATGAGCAGAGGGAGAGAGGGCTGGAAAAAGAGACTCTCCCTTTGCTAACTGATGAGGGAGAAGTATGGGGTCCAAGTGGGCCTGCCCCTTGCCTAATTTTTGCCCAATTTTTTGGCCTCTGGAGTCCCTGGTAGACTTCTTAACTTCTTGCACACAAGGTTACCATGTGTCTAATTGCTCAGCTCCAGTTAGAGTGGTGGAGGGAAACTGGTATCAATGAATGAATGAATGAATGGATGGATGGTTTAATGACAGCTTGGAGAACCGACTGGGGTTTGAGCAAGAAACAGGAAGAGAAAGCCAACATCTTTTAGCTCACCAAATACTTTCATGCCCCTTGGGAGGAAGAAAAATGGATATGGGAAATGCAGAGCATGGAAGAGCTTAAATTGAGCATAAAGGACATAAAACTAGATAAGTAAGATCAGAAATAAAAGATGAGTCATCATCGAATCCAAACCTTTACATTTTCAGCAGAGGGTGCCAAAACCTCAAGGGGATAGTGACTTCCTTAAAATTACAGAACCAGAGTGAAGACTGGGGTCTTTTGACTCTTTTTTTTTTTTTTTTTCTGTCCCTAACAAAATGTTGCTCTTTTCTTCTCCATACTTTTATATTTTCAAACTCATTTATTCCAGAAAATTACCTGCCTTCTAACCTGGAGTTCCTCTTTTTTGATCTAAAGAAGTTATCCAAACTTACCTTGAGCTTACTGTCCTTGAAGCCATTTTGGCCTTTGTTTTGTGGCCTCAAGGCTGCCCTCACTTAGAAAGGATGAGTGACGGTAGCAGAAGCCAGCCAAGCAGGGCCAGTTTCTCCCAAGGCTGGCCCCATGAAAGGTTTGGCTTGGGTTCTCACCAGGGTCCACAAGTCTTGCCTCCTAGAAGTTTGGTCCAGTGGTCTGCAGTCCTGGGAATTTATGCCGTCTCAAACAGAGGTTTTCAGACCTTGCCTGATGATCCAGGGACTGGAACTGAACACACGTTGTACCTCTTTATAGCAACTTGGGTGTCCCAAACAGGACCCATCACTTCCAAGTCCCAGGCTAGGATTTTCTAACCAAGTATGTAGTTAGAGGAAAATTTAATCCACATGTATCTGACTCACTGATCTTTAAATCATCCTAGAGTTTGATTCTGGGAATGGTTTGATGTGTACTCTGCTTTTTTTCAACTTTTGGATTGGTGCACTGGCCAAGACATAATAAATAGCAACCCTGAGAGAGAGAAGGAAGCTTCAAGTAGAGGCATGACCTGCAGGCTCTTCCCTTCGTCCCAGCTGGAGACAGGCGCCCAGCAGGAGTAGAGAGTAGGCCAGAAGCCCAGAAATGTGCCTTAGGTTAACCTCACCCTCAGCCTCCTCTTCTGCTTGTATTTCTGGGATGCAGAGCCCGACTAGGGAAAAATCACTCAGCCTAAAAGATGGTAACACCACAGATTTATGGCATCTGATCTTTGTTGCACCCTCCAGGGTACAAACTAATCCCAGCTTGTGATTCCTACTGTCATCTAAGGTCATTCCAGGCCTTTTCCACTCTTCTGGAGATCTCGAGCACTTTTTTTCAACAATTTCTCATTTTGAAAAGAAAAAGGAGTCCATCAGGAAAGAATTTCCTCCATTGCCTGCGACGCTCTACAAACCTCCATGCCTCAGCCACCCTCGTTTTCCATGAGGTCTCCCTGTCAGGGCTGGTTCCTCAGATCTCCCCCCAGTAATCCTCCTTCATGAAAACCTCAGAGTCTCAGAGTCTGTTTCCGCTGATGTGAGCTAAGAATGTTTCAGGAAGAGGGGTATGTCATCGGGATCCCATTTCTTCCTGTGTCCTCCGGGACCTTGCTCTAAGGTCCTCTCTTTCGTCCTGAGACTTTTCTGAATCTTTAAGCTCCACCTCTCCTTAGCCATACATACTCATTCAAGTATTTCCCGTACTAAAAAACAAAATGAAACCTTCCTTCCACCTGAAGTCTCTATGACCCCTCATGTCTTCTCTTTTAGTCAAGCCTCTCGTAAGTGTCCCCTGTTTTTTCTCCCTTCATGTCACATTGACTCCACAACGCATTGTAGCCTGGCATGCACTGTCATCACAGAAATGCCCTCTGTGGGTCAGGCACGGTGGCTCACGCCTGTCATCCCAGCACTTTGGGAGGCCGAGTTGGGCAGATCACCTGATGTCAGCAGTTCAAGACCAGCCTGGCCAACATAGTGAAAACCCATCTCTACAAAAATATAAAAATTAGCTGGGCATGATGGCAGGTGCCTGTAATCCCAGCTACTCAGGAGGCTGAGGTGGAAGAATCACCTGAACCCGGGAGGCGGAGGTTGCAGTGAGCTGAGATTGTGCCATTGCACTCCAGCCTGGGTGACAGAGTGAGACTCCATCTCAAAAAAAAAAAAAAAGAAAAAAAAGAAAGAAATGCCCTCTGTGAAGTCATCAGGGACCACCTGTAGTCACATTTCAGTCTTTTCCTTACTGGACTTGTCCAGCAGTGTTTGACATCATTGACCTTCCCCGCAGTCCTGACATGCTTTGCCCCTTCGTGCTGCGTGACACTGCTCTTTCCTGGATCTCTTCTACAACTTTCTAAGATTCTTTTCAGTCTCCTTTGTGGGTCCTCTTTTCTCCAGTAGATGCATGCACATTGGTTGGGATTTCCCATGGCTACCTGTGGCTATCCAATGCTGTCTTCCCTCCTCCCTCTGCACACTCCCCACTTCCAGCTAAGCTACACCCTCATGCCCATGACCCCAGATCTGCATATCCAGCCAAGGACTTTGTTCTGAGCTCCACCTTAAGTTCTCTGAGACCAAAGCAGGACTCTTGCTTCCCTCTGAGTCTGCTCACATTTCTGAAGATCCGATCCTGGAGAAGGGTGTCAACATTTCCCAGGCCTTCTGCCTCATTCTTAACACCCAGTCTGTCTTGCCAGGTTTCCTGCTTAAGCATGCATCTGCCCACCTCTAGCCCACCCCCCCCAACTCTAGCCCACCTCCCCCAGCTTTTTTTTTTTTTTTTTTTTGAGATGGAGTCTTGCTCTGTCACCAGGCTGGAGTGCAATGGCGAGATCTTGGCTCACTGCAACCTCCGACTCCCAAGTTCAAGTGATTCGCCTGCCTCTACCTCCCGAGTAGCCGGGATTACAGGCGCCGCCATCTCGCCTGGCTAATTTTTGTATTTTTAGTAGAGACGGGGTTTCACCATGTTGGCCAGGCTGGTCTCAAACTCCTGACCTTGTGATCCTCCTGCCTTGGCCTCCTAAAGTACCGGGATTACAGGCGTGAGCCACCATGCCCGGCCTCTAGCCCCATTTTGGCTTCCTTAGATCAGGCTCTCACTTCTTGCTAGTCTCCCAGCTGGTTTCCCTTCAGCCTGTCCTGACCATAGCCGATCCATACTACCCATAGCCCCAAGAATGGTCTTTTTATAAAATAAATCTTGTCCATCACTCCCTTACTTAAAATGCTTTAGTGGCTTCTCATCACTCAGGGTAAAATCTAAATTCTTTAACATAGCATTAAAAAATCCTTTATGCTCTGGTCCCATCTGTCAGCCGAACTTCATTTCCCCCGCCAAGCTCTCCTCTTTAAGCCATAGCAGCACTGCCATTCATTGTCCGAACTCCCAGAACACAGCAGGCTTTCCTGTGACTCGATTTTTTTCTTGTGTCTTTGCATTTGCTCCTTCTTCTACCTACACTGCTCTTTCTCCACTTGTCCACCAGAAAACCTCCTATTCAGCTTTCCAGGCTCAACTCATGCCCTGTCTCCTCCTGGAGGCCTTCCCTGATTTCTCAAGGCAAATTCGAATGCTGTTTCCCCCACCTCCCCCTTCTGCATTCTGTACCTGCCTCCACTGCTAATGAGCATACTCGGCTGTGATTGCTTATTTGAAGTAGGAGCCTCTGCCCACCCCTGGAAGCCTAGACCTGTTGAAAGCAGTGTCTACACTTTTCATCTTTGTATGTCCTATACAAAGTATAGGGCCTGGCATATAATAGGCACTCAATAAACTTTTTTTTTTTTTTTTTTTTTTTGAGACAAAGTCTTGCTCTGTTGCCCAGGCTGGAGTGCAATGGTGCAATCTCAGCTCACTGCAACCGTGCCTCCCGGATTCAAGGGATTCTCCTGCCTCAGCTGCCTCAGTAGCTGGGATTACAGGTGCATACCAGTGCACCTGGCTAATTTTTGTATTTTTAGTAGAGACAGGGTTTCACCATGTTGGCCAGGCTGGTCTTGAACTCCTGACCTCAGTTGATCCACCCACCTCGACCTCCCAAAGTGTTGAGATTATAGACATGAGCCACTGCGCCCGGCCTACATTCAAGAAACTTTTTGTCGTTGTTGTTGTTGCTGTTTTTGAAACGGAGTTTCGTTCTGTTCTCCTAGGCTGGAGTGCAGTGGCATGATCTTGGCTCACTGCAACCTTCGCCTCCTGGGTTCAAGTGATTCTCCTGTCTCAGTCTCCTGAGTAGCTGGGACTACATGCACCCACCACCATGCCTGGCTAATTTCTATATCTTTTAGGAGAGATGGGGTTTCCATGTTGGCCAGGGTACTCTCAATAAATGTTTAATTAGTAATCATGCCTAGCTTTTATGGAGCACTTTCAACGGGGCCAGGCCAAGTGCTAAAGCGTTTTAACATCCCTTACATCACCGAGTTCACACAATCACCACTACCAGATGAGGTAGGTGTCATTATCCCTGTTTTAAAGATGAGAAAACTGAGACTGACAGAGGCTAGGTAACTCTCCCAAGCTAGTAAGTGGCACAGAAGAGTCACGAACCATGTTCTTCCCCATGAGCGCCTGCTGCTATTTGCAGGCAGTTACACAGGTAGAGTTTCAGGATGGCGAGTTCTGCGTCTGCTCTAAGGAACTGCCTTGCACACAGTCTGTCACACCCCAGGCCATTTAGTGTTTCCCTGTACCTATCAACTCAGGCCTTGAGGCCTGCACTTGGCAAACAAAATGTAGGCATTCCCTCTTCAGCCAGTCTTTGGTCCCATATCAAAGTCTTTTCTTGCCAATAGGGTCCCATAGTTGCTGCCCAGACCCTTCCTAGATTTGCTGCCCGATGTCCTAGTCTCCTGGCTGTGAGTTCAGCCTCCTGCCCATGCAGACTCACAGTCAGCAGCGCTCTGTAATGCTTGATTTCCCAGCCTTGTCTAGCCAGTAGTTGGTTGCAAGCCTTTAGTTCTGAGGAGCAGCCCTGGTCCACAGCCTTGGCTCTGAGCTGACCGCTTCCCGTGTAGCCCCAGGACTGTCAGCCTGCCAGTCCCCTGCCCCTGTGCCCTCCTGGCCTTGCTCTGAGTCTCCTGGCCCTGAGTGCCGTGTCTGCTCACATGGACGGCAGCTCGGGCCAGACAGCCAGAGAAGACAGAGAGGTGAGGGGACATGTAGAAAAGGCCCATAGTGTCTCCCAGCGAGGGCTATGCGGGTCTCCAGGAGTCCGGGCGAGACTGCCTCCTCAGGGTCCTCACCCCCACACCTGCGACCTAAAAATGCACGCCTCTGTGCCTCTACAGCCACCAGCCGGCTTTATGGGCTTTCTGACTTTGTTTTATTCCCCAATATTTTGTTTTCTTTTTAAAAATATATATTTTAATAGTTTTGGGGGTACAGGTAGTTTTTGATTATGTGGATGAGTTCTTTAGTGGTGATTTCTGAGAGATTGGTGCACCCGCCACCCGAGCAGTGTACACTGTACCCAGTGTGTACTCTTTCATCCCTCACCCCCTTCCCACCCTTCCCTGCAAGTCCCCAGAGTCCCTTCTACCATTCCTATGCCTTTGTATCCCCATAGCTTAGCTCTCACTTATAAGTGAGAACATATGGCTTTGTTTTCCATCCCTGAGTTACTTCTCTTAGAATAATGATCTCCAGCTCCATCCAAGTTGATGCAAAGGCCCTTATTTTGTTCCGTTTTATGGCTGAGTAGTAGTCCATGGTGTATATATACTACATTTTCTTTTTTCTTTTTTTTTTTTCGAGACGGAGTTTTGCTCTTGTTGCCCAGGCTGGAGTGCAATGGCATGACCTCAGCTCGCTGCAAACTCCGCCTCCCGGGTTCAAGAGATTCTCTTGCCTCAGCCTCCCAAGTAGCTGGGATTACAGGCGTGTGCCACCACGACCAGCTAATTTTGTATTTTTAGTACAGATGGGGTTTCACCATGTTGGACAGGCTGGTCTTGAACTCCCGACCTCAGGTGATCGGCCCACGTCGGCCTCCCAAAGAGCTGGGATTACAGGCATGAGCCACTGTGCCTGGTCTACCACATTTGCTTAATTTGCTTGTTGGTTGACGGGCATTTAAAAGGCTCCTCTTTTTTTAGAGGTAGGATCTCACTATGTTGCCCAGGCTGGTCTCAAACTCCTGAGCTCAAGCAATCTGCCCACCTTGGCCTCCCAAAGTGCTGGGATCACAGACATGAACCACTGTGCCCAGTCCCCAGCTCCATATTTTTGCAATTGCGAATTCTTTCTGTGCTTTCTTCTTAGCCTCCGTTAGTTTCTCACTATGACAAAGTTACGGTGCAAGTAAAAGAAATATGCTCTTGCCTGACAGGATGAATATTCTGCATTTAGCTTGTATTGCTATTTTATTGAATAATTATTGTACCTGACTACAATTATTATATTAACAGTACTCTCTTGACTGACAAGATGAATTTTTTCATTCAACTTTTATTGCTATTTTAATGAACAATTATTGTACCTGACTACAATTATTATAGTAACAATATGCAGTCATTGAATAAGGCTTGGGCTTTGGAAATATACAAAGTACAGATTAATCTGAACAGTGAAACTTTTAAATGATAATGCCTCAATTTTGTAGGTCGTTTTTATTATAATGCACTTTCTCACATATTCTGCTTCAACTCCGTAAATATGTTTTTTCCAGCTTTAACAAAGGGTGGGATTTTAAATCATGCCATCTCTGTCAGTCACTGTTGAAGGCAAGGGTGCTAGTGCTGGCGTCTTTATATATGCCATCTTATTAATCTTTACAGCAATCATGAAAGAGGGGAATTTCCCCCACTTTATAGAGAGAAGAAATGAGGTAAATTGCCCAGTCCTCCACAGCTAATAAGAGAAAAGCTGAGATCTGAAACCAGATCTGCCCGAAGCTCAAGCTTTGATGCCTCTGCTGTGCCACTCTGCCGGATGCCAGGCCTGTCTTGGTCTGTAGCTGTCTCTCAAGGCAGGAATGGATGCTACCACCACCCCTGCCTCGGTGCGCCTGCATTTTCTTACGTATTAAACACAAATTCCTGGGGGTAACTTCCAGTCTCTTTGGCCTAAGTGATTTTTCCTGTATTGTTCCCCTAGATTTAATACAGGCCTCCAGGTAACTGACATTTTCATCTGACTTCTTGTTAGGGATACCTGGCACTTACTGCAGGGCTGGCAGTCTCAAGACGCCACCCTTCCCAAGGAGAGGGCAAGGATACCTCCTGGGAAGCTCCCAGGGAAGGGTAAAGGCCAGCAGGACCTTGCTGAGAAGGTCCTTCCAGGACTAAGCGGGAGGCTTTACTGCCCAATTGTCATCTCTGAATCTGCCATCTGGGTGGTGTTTTCCCCCTTAAACTATCCCGGCCCCGAAGGGACACAACTGTGAAAAGAATCCAGAGGATGGGGGGAGGGGGGGCCTCTGTGGGGAAGTGGAAAGGATTTGGGGCCCGAGTTCTGATCTGTGAGGCTCTGTGAGGCCTATCCTTGGGGTTCGGGTCACCCCCTGCTTGCGGGAGGTTTTGCTGGTTGAGCCGGTGACTGGATCATGTCGAAGGTTTTTTTACTTCTGTAATGTTCCAAGTGTCTAGAGTCTCATTCCGGTGGTCCCCTCAGGATGAGTGGCTCCTAACAGAGCACCCCCCACCCCCCCCGGGACTGGTGGGCTGCCTGAGGAAGCTCCAAGCCTGGGTCCAGGTCTCTGTGCACCTGAGGCCCCAGCTCATCCCCACACCCAGGCAAAGGGTGACAGTCTCAGGCACTACTCTGATGTAGCCTGTTTGAGGCTGGGGCCCAGTGGGAGCCGCACGTGGGACAGGGAGCAGTCCCCGGTTCCAGGAAAGAGCACGAGCAAGTGTGTCTGAGTGTGTGTAAGCGTGTGGTGTTTATTTATTCTAGGAGCGGTTGCTAAGTCAGACGTGTTTGCCAGCAGAGGGCTGCCTGAGTGCTGTGTTTGTTTACTCAGCACAGTGCAGGGAAGGGTGATCGGACAGACAAGTGCAGGCTACAGCCGTTTGGTGGGGGGCACATAGCGTGAGATGAGAATTGGTCTTGGGGGCCGTCTGGCGTGGTCCCATTCTATGGGTGCTGCTGGCTGTTGAGAGCTGCCTTCCGGGACACAGGCCCTGCCTTCTTTGATGTGCCAGCGGCTCTCTCACTGACCCTCCTCCCAAGCAGGGTGGAGCTGCTCATTACCCCACAGGGCAGTGGGCCCTCCTTCCCTTCATGGGGCTGGGGGAGGGTTCCTGGCTACGGGGTCTCGGGGGTCCCTGAGAGAAAGTGGATAAAATGTGGGCAGTGGTATGAGGAGGAGACAGTGGGTTCTCAGTCCCATTCCTACCCTGTCCAAGAGCTTGTCCACCCTTAGTTAGGCTTGGCCTTTCCAACGGGCGATCACATCTTACCAAGACTGAAGTCCACTGCCTCCTAGTCTCCTGTCCTCAGTCTTCCAGGTTATAGATTGGTTATATATTCCCTATCTTCAGGAGAGAGTGAGAGACAGAGAGAGAGAGAGAGAGAGAGAGGAGGAAGGCAAAACAGAGACCCTCCTGACTCCCTGTCCACCCTCAGCCACAGGCCAGAGGTAGGGACTGGCTGAATTTCAGGGTCAGGACTTCCCAGCTGGGTGGCCCCAGAGGCCTCTGCCTCCCTCTTCCTGCCCTAAGGCCCCAGCACCACGTCTGTAAGTCTCTGAGAGAGCCCTGGCTCCCCCGACACAGGCTGGCTGGCAGCCAGGGGTGGTGTTCTGGCTCCTGTACCAGCCAGATGGGGTGGCAGGAAGGCCCTGTTAATCCCCAGGGAGAAAGCTCCTTGGCAAACAGAAAAAAAGTGGCTGCCGGCACTATGTCCCTACCCTGGGACCATGAAACACCATACCCCGAAGTCTTTGGGGCAGATTTTGTGCCTCTGTATTCTGCCCACACCTTCCACGGCGCTTGGGCTGGAGTCCCAGCTGGGGCTATGGAGTAGGGAAGGGAGACCGGGTTCCCCCTTCTCAGGTTAAGGCTTTTCTGTAATGGACAGTTTGCCTCTGCTTCTCTCAAACACCCTAGGGAATTGTGAAGACAGGGTGCAGGCAGGCACTAGGCCCTCCTCTGGGCTCCAGCCATCTAGAGCTCTTATTTGCTCTGAACTTTCCTGATAGTGTTTGGAGAAGCAACTGGGATTGTCTGGGTCCTCCTTCTACCCCATCACTCCACCACCCACCTCTGCCCCCATCATCCCCCACCCCCACCACACACACCCAGACTTCTGCCACTGAAGCTGCCTCTTCTGCTGGTGTGGCAAATAAGTGTGGAGAGAGTGAAACCAGATACAGAGAAGGCAGCCAGCTGGGGAGGTGGTGGGTGGTGTTCTGCCGACCAGGCCTCCTGCTGTCCTCCCCCGGAGCCAGGATGGTGGAGGTCCTGGGCCCAGCCTCGGTCTGCCTTTTCCCCTGCATGCCCAGCTGGTGTGCCACCTGTGAGGGGCTGACAGCTCCTTGCTCCTCCAGTGGTCTTGTCTTGGTCCTGGGTTTGGGGAACAGGATTCCCTGAGCCAGTCCCTCCCTACACTTGGCAGTTACTGGGGAAGCTGAGCACCAAGGCTTGAGCCATTTCTTGCTTTCCCTACCTGTCTCTGTCTCACCTCCATCCACATTCCTTGCAACATGGTACCAAAGTAAGGCTTTGAACTTGGGATGAGTGGGGTGAATTTCACTCTTCCCAACAGCAAAAATGGAAGCTAATCTGGTTTCATCTCAGTTTGTAAGATCCCTAGATTCCCAAGGGAGCTGGGAAACCTCACTTGGGTCTAAAAGGTCATTTAAGGGCCGCTTCCAGACCTGGCTCATGCTCCCGATTGGTGGTGGGGGGTGGAGGGGTGCTGGCTGGGATTGTGGTCACTGAAGAGGGTCAGGAGCAAGGGTCATTGGGTAGAACGGCTCCCTTTGTCCCACTAGGCCACGAATTGGTTCTGGCATTCCCAAGGGGAATGCTCCAAGCCAAGTAAGGGCCACTGTGTCCAGGTGGACCATTCCCAAACCCATTTCTATCATGGATCATTTTCCAGAAACTTTCCAACATGGGAAATCACAACTGAAGCTGGTTGTTTAGATCGGAAAATCTGGGTGTAGTGTCATTAGAAAAACCAGAGTCTCCTCACATGAACCTTTGCCTGCAACCTCTCCCTGGCCTGCCTGCTGCTCTCTGCCTGAGTCACAACAGCATTCAACAGCTTGGACACAGAGCTTTACAATGTGCCAAGTGCTCCCACGTGCCCTGTGGCATTTACTCCGCCTAGCAGCCTGGAGAGATAAGTTAGTGTTAGCTCCACCCAGCAGAGGATGGAAGCCCTGGGAAGTCACCGGCCTCACTGAGGTTGTACAGGCAGTAGGTGGCAGGACTTGAAATCTCGCGTCCTTTCCACGGAATCTTTTCTGCCAGCAACCCAGAGAGTGCAGGGGGAATCCAAACAGTCTGGTGGGCACCAACTGTCTTGGCTGGCTTCCAGCTGGGCCTTTAGTGGTGACTTTGGCACGCCCGCCCCCCCCAACCCTCTGTCAATCTTTAGGAGCTGGGGGAATAGGGGGTGCTTTCTAGGAGGCTCTGCTCTCTTCTGAGATGTCCCCCTTACTTCCTTCCATTCTCTCAGGTGTGGGAGTCACTTTTCTGTGTGAATACCAGGCCAAACTTGTCCTTTTCTTCCTTTTCTCAGAGTCACCTGCCCCAAAGCGCCCCTGTTCCTCCCTCCCTTCTCTGCCTCTTCCCCCGGGATACCTTGCCCTTGCTTCGGGAGTGGAGGCAGTGTTGCCCCAGCAGAGGCACCGGCACTGCCAGGGTGTCCAGCTTTGCACACGGCCTCAGGCGCCCTCACGTTAGCTTTGGCTTCTTGATGGATCTTGAACTCCCTTGGGATGCTTTGTGGGCTCCTGAAGGACCTCCCAGGATGTCCCCTCTGTCCTCAGACCTGCTATGTGACCTCAAACAGGAATTCAGACTCTTCTTGGCCTTCGCGTTCCAGAGCAGAAGGATATGGGTGCCCAAATCCAGACTCGGAGAGGCAGGAGTGAGGTGAGAGGCACAAAATACACCTTTTTTTTCCTGAGCAAAAATCTGCCTCAGGTCCACTCGTTTCCCAAGGGCAGCCGTGCCTTTCACCCGACAACCCGAGGACCCGCAGCCCCAGCCTCTCGGGGAAGGTGAATGTGCAAAAGCCAAGTTTATCCTGAGTAATGCAACGAATACACTGGAGGGGGTGGGGCCGCGGAAGGTTTTATCCAGAACACATGTTATTGCCACTATTCTAGTTATCTTGGATATTTCCTGCATGTTTGTCACCATGGCAACTGACAGCATGAAGCCTGTTTGCTGGGCCCTGGGGTCTGGCGCGGCAGCCATGTGGTGTCAATTTGGCCCTCTCTGCTTCCCCCAGCTCCTGTCTCTCTGTCATGCTGCTTTTGGTCTCCGCCTCTGTCTCCCCGCCGCCTGTCTCTGGGCTTCTCTGTTTTCTTCTTCCAGGAAATAGCTGCCCCTGCATCCCTCGGTGACATAGGTATAGACAGTGTCCAGCTACTGCCACCCTAAGCCTCCCCTTAGTCCACACAGACAGTCTGTGACTAAGGGTGTTCCAGAATGGATGGGAAACTTGTGTGGCAGGGGATAGGCAAGAGATTGGCCTTCAGTGGAGAAAGGGCTCAGCCCGGCTCTGGGCTCATGGTTCAAAATGAGCCCATGCTACCTACTGCTAGGCTGGGGGCTAAAGATCCCTTGAGAAGGTGGGTTTGGGAGACACCAGTGAGGAGAGATGTGGGCTTCTCATCCTGATGTTTCCTGTGTGTGGGAGTGAGGGGTCTCCATCACTCAGATCCTTCCTTCCCTAGGCTTTTGGAGAAGACATAGGTAGAATGGCAGAGAGGGGTCTCAAATTCACAGAAGAGAAGCCAAGGAGAGAGGAGCTTGACAGCTAAGGGGCAGTGAGGTCTCTCGGCATTATGGGCTGCCTGGGGACCTCAAATCCCCAGTCCTTTCTCCCAGGTCTCTGGGATGTGGCAAGGACAGGGTGTGGCAAAGACATGGCCAATGGCAGTGTCCCTCCATGGGGACACCAGGCAACAGGGAGGGTGTTGACAATAATAGCCTGCGAGGGAGCTGTGCCAGCAGCTTGGAAAAAGCACCGCGAGCAGACAGGCGACTCCATGGGAGATGAGGGCATCTTCTGGCCCCTCTCTCCACCCCCAGGTCTGGCTTCCCTTCATTCTGGGAAGCCCAGGACTGGGCAGTTGCCAGCCACTCTGCTTCAAGTTTTCTGCATCCACACTGCAGAGGCCTTCCCAGGCCACCTTCCCAACCTCTACATCTGTCATGTGCTGTTTCTTATCATGCCCAATCCCCAGTCCCCACGCAAGGTAGGCCTGGAAATTGTCATGCAGCCAGAGCCCCAGGCAGGGCTGGCACCCACTGCGGGACTGCTTGGAGGAGAGAGGAGGGGCTAGGGAGGTGGAGTAGGGTCCAGAACCTGCCCTGGCCACAGCTCCTGCAGGCTCAGCTCCAAGGCATGAGGGAGTCTGGAGTGAGACAGGAGAGCTGGGGCGAGGCAGCCATCATGCTGGGCCCTGAGAGGACCGGCCCCGGGGCCAGCAGCCCAGAGGGTGCTGCAAATCAGCCTTCTTTTGGGTCAGCATCATTCCAAGGAGGTCCAATTCTCTGGATGGGACAGGGCATTGGGAAAAGTCAAAGGGCAGCCGCAGTGTGGCTCTGGGGCTCAGTCCCTTGCGTGCAGGGACCCTGTGGGTTCTGGGAGCCACAAGGGCCAAGGGAAGGGACTGCCAAGAATTGGGTGGTGTGGTGGGGCTCGAGTCGTATTGGAAATGCTGGAGTCTGAATGTTTGTGTCTCTCCAGAATTCATGTGTTGAAACAAAATCCCCAGTGTGATGGTATTGGGAGGTGGGGTCCCTGGGAGGTGATTAGGTCATGGAGGCAGAGCCCCTGGGAATGGGGTTAGTGCACTTATGAAACAGGCCCCAGAGAGCTGCCCTGCCTCCCTTACCATGTGAGGATATAGCAAGAGGCCACCATCTATGAACCGGGAAATGGGCCCTCACTAGACACTGAGTCCCTTTCACAGGAGGCTACACAAGCCTGACTGAGCGGGGCTCCATTGGGCTGATGAGGGAAAGGAAGCTCTCCCTCCCAAAGCTCTGGAAGATACTGAAACCCAGGCAAAGAGACAACCCAAGGCTGCTGTGTTGTAGAGGAGAGTCACCAAGGACCCCGGGACCCAGAGTGTGGAGGGCATAGATGCAGGACGCAGGTAGCAAGAGCCAGTGTGCAGCCTTGGATGGTGCCAGAGAGGCCTGTGCATTGGACAGATAGCTGAGAGGGGCAGCAAGCGTTCTGGGCAGGCGTCAGGCAGGCTTTGCTCAGGGAGGCTGGCTTTGACCTACTTGTGCCTGTGGAGCTGGGCATGGAGCTGCCAGTGGGCCAGACTGGGAGAGACATGCCAGGTCACCCCAGCCTCAGGGACAGTCCCTCTTTCCAGTGCCAAGGGTCCAGCCAGAGTCTCCAGCTTTACTCAGAGTCTAAGGCAGTAGACGTTAGTCCTCACACTGCTCTGTTACCCAGAATGAGTCAATGACCTTCTATGGGCCTCTGTTTTCTGTTTGACTAATGAGGCTGGGGCGAGAAAGAACTGAGTTGCAGAGGAGGGAGTGGGTGCCCCTAGAGAAGGAGGTGGGCCTTGGAGGCTGAGAAGGGCAGTGAGGTTTGAGACGGCTGCAGAGGGCTCCAGAGACAGGCCTCCAGCTCACACCTCGAGGGCGAAGAGATTCTTCTGGAGTGGAGAGGAAGAGCCTCTGCACCCATCCCCATCCTCCCAGTCCTCCCCACGGAGACCACAACTCAAGACCCAGCTGTCCCCTCCCAGTGACTCAGGCTTTGGCTGCCCTCCTGCCCACATCCAAGCCCTGTCCAGTGCCCCATAACAGGAAGGGCTGTGGTGTGAGAGAGGAGGAGGGAAGGCTGCCCCGCCAAGGGCCTTCATGTCCAAGGAGCCATCTAGGTGGAGGAGTCCTTTGCACCCTCCTGGCCGTGTCACCCTCTGCCACCTCAGAAATGTGGGTTTGGCCTGAGGTGGGACTCTGTCCTCCTCCCTCTGCACTGAGCATGGAAGGCCACTTGTTTCTCATTAGCAAACTGCAGGATGTCACCACCATAGGGTGGATGTGCATTTTTGTCCTCTTTGCTGGAACGGTGGGGTGTGTGGGCTGAGCCAGGGACAGGGCAGAGGCGGTCAGAAGAGCTGACCAGAGCCTTGTGGGACCCAGGGCAGGGGCTGTGGTTATATGGGGCAAAGCTATTTGGAGGCCACAGGACACCACTGTCCCTGCTAGAACCAAGGGCAGCTATGCTAAGATTTGGAGAAGAGGGAAAGGCAGAACCAATGGCACTGTGGTTGTGATTTTTGGCAATAATTGTGGGCATTGATAATCATAACGGTAGCATTCATTTATTGAGGACCAGCCAGTGCTAGGTGGTTCATATATATTATTTCTTTAATTCTCTCAATAACTCTGTTTTACAGATGAGAAAACTGAGGCTCAAAAGGGTAAATAAATGACCTAGTTTTCACAGCAATTAAGCATTCAAACCAAGATCTGCACCCAGGTTGTCTGATATTTATGACTTTTCTTTCATTATGCCACATTGCCTCCTCTAGCCCAGTTGTTTTTTTTTTGTTTTTTTTTTTTTTTTTTTGAGACAGTCTCACTCTGTCCCCAGGCTGGAGTGCAGTAGCGCAATCTCAGCTCACTGCAACCTCTGCCTCCTGGGCTCAAGCGATTCTCCTGCCTCAGCCTCTTGTGTAGCTGGGATTACAGGCACCTGCCACTACATTCAGCTAATTTTTGTTTTTTCAGTAGAGACAGGGTATTTTTTGTAATTTTGTATTTTCAGCATGTTGGCCAGGCTGGTTTCAAACTCCTAACCTCAGGAGATTTACTTGTCTTGGCCTCCCAAAGTGCTGGGATTATAGGCATGAGCCACTGGGCCTGGCCTCTAGCCCGGTTCTTCATCTTTTTGTGCCATGGATGCAGTCCGAAGTCCATGGGCCCCTTCCTAGAATAATTAAAAAAAATAGATTAGATTTACAAAGGAACCCAATTATATTAAAATGTGGTTATCAAAACATTAAACACATGTGTGATATAGTAATATATGTGCTTTTTAACTAACACATGAAATAACAAGATTTCTGCCAGGCACGGTGGCTCACGCCTGTAATTCCAGCACTTTGGGAGGCCAAGGCGGGTGGATCACCTGAGGTCAGGAGTTCAAGACCAGCCTGGCCAACATGGGGAAACCCTGTCTCTACTAAAAATATGAAAATTAGCTGGGCGTGGTGGCAGGCACCTATAACCCCAGCTACTCGGGAGGCTGAGGCAGGAGAATTGCTTGAATCCGGTGGGCGGAGGTTGCAGTGAGCCAAGATTGTACCACTGCACTCCAGCCTGGGCGAAAGAGAAAAATTCTGTCTCAAAAAGAAAAAAAAAAAAAAGAAAGAAAGAAATAAGATCTAATAACTACCATAATTTCAAAATAGTGATGAATGTAAATACTATTTTGTATTATCAGCAAAAGCTGTAATGTGATTTTTCTTAACCTTTCTTTTTTTATTGTTATACTTTTTTCTGGGGTACATGTGCAGAACGTGCAGGTTTATTACATAGGTATACACGTGCCATGGTGGTTTGCTGCACCCATCAATCCATCATCTACGTTAGGTATTTCTCCTAATGCTACCCCTCCCCTAATCCCCCACCCCATGACAGGCCCCAGTGTGTGATATTCCCCTACCTGTGTCCATGTGCTCTCATTGTTCAACTCCCACTTCTGAGTGAGAACATGTGGTGTTTGGTTTTCTGTTCCTGTGTGAGTTTGCTGAGAATGATGCTTCACCCGTGTCCCTGCAAAGAACATGAACTCATCCTTTTTTATGGCTGTATAGTATTTCATGGTGTATATGTGCCACATTTTCTTTATCCAGTCTATCACTGATGGACATTTGGGTTGGTTCCAAGTCTTTGCTATTGTGAACAGTGCTGCAGTAAACATACGTGTGCATGTGTCTTTATAGTAGAATGATTTATAATCCTTTGGGTATATACCCAGTAATGGGATTGCTGGGTCAAATGGTATTTCTGGTTCTAGATCCTTGAGGAATCGCCACACTGCCTTTGGCAATGGTTGAACTAATTTACACTCCCACCAACAGTGTAAAAGCATTCTTATTTCTCAACAGCCTATTTATCAAACAGTTGTTTCCTGACTTTTTAATGATTGCCATTCCCATTGAAAAGCTGTAATGTGATTTATATTGGTAACAATGTCATAAGTACTGACAATGCCTATATTCTTAATTGAAGGAAATATTTAAGTTAGACAGTAGTGAAAATGAAGGTGTACGGATTTTCCCATCTGAGGTCACAGACCCCTGAACTCTATCTATGGGCTCCAGGTGAGGAAAGTTGCTACAATTTGTGTGCAGCTATTGGGTGGGTTCGTTGGAAACCCTCTCTTTTTTGTCTGGTTGGAGGGAGTGTGCAAACCACTTCCAGTGTGGGGAACGCTGTGCCAGTTGGGGACATCTTGAGTGAGTCTATGCCCCACCGACTCTGTCCGTGCCTTACCTGGGATTTAAGTTGCCAGATTTAGCAGACAAAATGACAGAAGACCCAGTTAAATTTGACTGATGCTTTTTCAGTCCATGTCCTGTGCGATATTTGAGACATACTCACTGTATTATTTTTCTATTGCTCTGTAACAAATGACCACAAACCGAACAGCCTAAACACAAATTCCATAGCTGGAAGTTCTGCACGTCAGCATGGCTCAGCCGCGTCCTCCGCGGAGAGTCTCACAGGCTGCAGTAGAGATGTCCAGGGGCTGCGCTCCTTTCTGGAGGCTCTGGGATGTGTCGGCTCCCAGCTCATTCAGGTTGCTGGCTGGATTCATTTTCTTG
This sequence comes from Homo sapiens, assembly GCF_000001405.40. Taxonomy (NCBI): domain Eukaryota; kingdom Metazoa; phylum Chordata; class Mammalia; order Primates; family Hominidae; genus Homo; species Homo sapiens. The sequence continues at coordinate 126,107,033 of NC_000011.10, read as the reverse complement.
TGGTTGGAGGGCTGAGGTCCCTCTTTGCTTGCTGCCTCTCAGCTGAGGCTGTTCTCAGCTTCAGAGGCCATCCACATTCCTGGCCAGGTGTCTCCAAGCTATCTCCAAAAGCACGTTTCTCATCTCTGACTTCCCCTCCACCCCGGCCAAAGAAAACTGCTCTTGAAGGATTCCTGAGATCATAGTAGGCTCCTCCGGGTCATCTCTCTTTTGTCACATGACATAACAATCGCACTAGTAACGGCCAGAAACAAGAGTCATGGGACTGCCCTACAAGTCTGCTTGCCACTTACACTAAACACGTATGGGCTGCTTCTCTGAAATGAAAACTGCACTTGCCATCCCTGCTGGGATTAGATGCGCTGTGGACCTTGCCTCATGACCTGGGGCAATTCTTTTCTCGTCTGGCCCTCAGTTACCCCCTCAGACAACTCCACTGAATTATTTAAAATCTGCATGTATGGACTGGGCACCAGCCACCACGGGGCATGACATGTACATGACCCTTTTTCTGCCTTTAGGGTCTCACAGTCTAAAGGTGGAGACTGAAATACACATAAGCAAAAGGCTGAGAAATACGGTGCCAGGCTGGGCACAGTGGTTCACCCCTGTAATCCCAGCACTTTGGGAGGCTGAGGTGGGCGGATCACTTGAGGCCAGGAATTTGAGGACAGCCCGGGCGACATGGCGAAACTCCATCTCTACTAAAAAGACAATAATTAGCCAGGTATGCCACCTGTAGTCCCAGCTACTTGGGAGGCCGAGGGGAGGGGATCACTTGAGCCTGGGAGGTGGAGGCTGCAGTGAGCTGAGATCCCACCACCGTACTCCAGTCTGGGCAATTGAGCGAGAACCTATCTCAAAAGAAAAAAAAAAGAAAAGTGGCCTGATGGCAGAGATGGGGGCTGAGGGTGAGGAGACGGATAATCAACAGGCCATGGAGAACAGCAGAGGGAGGGAGAGTGGCTGCTATTCAACTGGAGAAGGGACAGAGGGGAGACTGGAACAGCTCGCAGGTGGGTGTGATTAGGACAGAACCTCAAGACTTGGACAGGAACAAGTGGGGAACAGCAACAGCGAAGGCCCGGTGGCGAGGGGTCCTGGTTCCCCCTGGGAGTGGTATATGCAGCCGAAGGATAGGGTGCCTGGGGCCTGGGAGTGTGGGGAGAAAGGAGGAGGGGACACAGTTCTGAGAGAGAGGTGGGGCCGGCCCGGAGGCCTCAATAGCTGCAGGAGCAGGAGGGTGCGAGAGTCCACGATGGCCACGGTGCTCACGTGGGAACAGAGCCACTGCAGCAAGGATACAGCTTCCTCGGCTCTGGCAGGAAATAAGGTCCTGTGGACCAGGCAGTTGGGAGACAGTCTTAAGTGGTGGACAGAGCTCTGGCCAGAGACAGGAGTCCTGGGTGCTGGCTTTGCCAGTTACTCATGGCGGGACTCTGGGCATGCTTGGAACATGGGAGTCCCATCTGGGAGCCAGTGTGCTTGGAGCAGAGCAGGCAAGTGGCACAGTGCGTGCAGCAATCACACAGGGCCTCGTGGGCCACTAACAGGACTCTGGCTTGTATCCTGGGAATGGCTGCCTTTGAGCAGAGCCCTACATGAACTGATTCAAGCTAAATGGAGAATTGCAGCTGCCCCGTGAACAGCCCATGTGCCCAATGCTGCCGGGCAGCCCGAGTGGAGCGCGAGAACTGCACCAGACGCTCCCTACCCCAGAGACTTGCCGCGCACCTGGGAGAAGCCACAGGGCAGTGTGTGTAGTGCTCAGAGCCAGGGCTTTCAAAACGGAAGATCCCAGCTCTGTGGGCTTGATGGCCTCAACAGTGACATGGTGCTGGTAGCACCCTACATGGTTGGGTTATGGTGCATGACAAATTGCCTGCACAGAGTAGGCACTGAAAATAATAGTAGCTAGTTATTTACATAATAATACAGGGTAGCAGAGCTCCTCATGAGAGGTGCAGGTGCTGGTGTTGGTGGTGCCGGAGGGACATAGGCTAACCTCCAAAGATGGCAGGACCTGGAGTCTCAGGTAGATGAAAGAGGAATGGGAGACGGAGCCCCGGACCTGGCAGGAAGAAGCGCAGTGCGTTCTCCACAGAGACACGAGGGTGAGGCCAGCATGAAATCTCAAATGGAAGCCTCCAGAAGCTGGTGGGGGTTGGGGGGAGATGCAGGAGAGGGCATGGACCGGTGCAGAATTAAGCTGGTGAGGAGGCCAGATTCTGAAAAGCATGAATGTGAGTTGTCTAATTGGAGGTGACAGGGAGTGGGAGAGGGACCAGAGGCAGTGGGAGGGAGAGCATGACAGACCCACAGCTGGGCTCAGCTCTTTCCCATCCCCGAGAAGAGTGGGAGGGGTCAGAGGAGGGGACCTCAGCAGGTGTCCAGGCATCCGGGAGCCCGGACTGCTATGCAGGAGGAGGTAGTCCTGTTTCTTCTGAAACCTGATCTTTCAGGCAGCTGTCCCCCTCAGCCTGACAGAGCAGGGCACATTCTTTCCCCAGGCATCATTCTCACCGGCCTCCCCCAAGGCTGGCTCTTTGAAAAGACAGAGCCCGGTTGGGGAAAGGAATGGAAATGGCAGGGCCCCCACGCATGTCCCAGGGAGCCCCTGAGGGGAAGTGCCCCTCTGGTGCAGGCAGCCCCTGACTTTCTCTCTTCCCACCTTAGAGTCTGCAAGCAGAAAGCCAAGGCCTCTACATTTGGGTCTGTGCAGCCTCTTAGGCTCTAGGCCAGTGATTCCCAGCCTGGACTTACCCAGTTCCTAAATGTCCCATAGGTAGCAAAGGAGGTTGGAGAGCTATTTTAGTGTTTATGAAAAATCTCCTAGAAATCATATATTTCTGCACTAGAGCTAATTTCTAGTCATTCTTCTGATAACAGCGTCAATGGCAACCCTCTAGGAAGCTTTCCTACCTGTGTGAGTCAGGTAGGTTCCCAGCCGGAACAGTCGAGTCCTGCAAATGGGGTAACTGAGGAGAGTTTAAGAAGGGACTATTGACAATGTGTTTGGCTGGATTAAAGGACACCAACAAGGGGTGATGAAACAGCTAGCAGCAGCAGCTCAAGTCCTCGTTCCACCATAAGTCCACAGGAACAAGGGAAGGGGGTAGCTACCAGAACTTTGCAAGACCTATAGCTGTAAGAAGGGGCCTCCTGACAGGCTCTGTGGCCTTCAGTAGAGGACCACAGCCACAGCAGCCCCAGATCCATGGTGGCTGATCAGGGAGGAAGCTGACCTCCTCCCCCTCCTGCCAGGGAATCCCACTGGCAAAAACTCAACTGGAAGAGACAGGGCAGAGGAGGGCGGTTGGCACAGTCCTTCGAGTGAGCCTGGGGCATGCAGCAGGGTGGGTGCAGGTGCAGAGTGCGTCTGGAGGGACAGAAGGAGAACATCTAGCCCACCTCCCAAGGCTGTGACCCCGGAACCCTGTGCTTGCCTGGTATGTAATGCTGTATTGTGATTGGCTGTTTCCTTGTCTGTATCTCCTCCAAGACTCAACTCTCCTGGAGGGCAGGGGCTGTGCTTTGTTCACACATACTCAATAAACTCCATTGGGTAAAATAAATAACAAGGCTGCTCAGATTCACCGTAACATCACATTTCTCTGCTTGGGATGCAATTAAATCATCTCCATGTGGAAGCAGCGGTTATCTTCTGCCATCAGCAGCTTCGGATTACCAGGTCTGTAGGCCCAACTAATAAAACACAAGCCAGCAAAGTTAATTAGTCATTTAATGAATTCAATTTGTCTAGCAGACAAAAATCCTTCAACACAAGTCATGAGGCGAGAGTGAGAACAATAAAAGGAGTCCTCCCTGCTGAAAATCTCTGAAAACACCCCCTCAGCCATGAGGGCTGGGCTATTTCGAGGGTGTTCACATTTCTTGTGTAACTCAGAGCAGGCCAAAGTATGGTTCTCCCAGGCCAACCAAGCCCTCAATTTCAAATACATCTTTGTGGAGGAGCCCCTATGGGTCTGCCTGCCTCTCTCGGTCTCTGCTGCCCCTATACAGCCCGGGCCACCAATCGATACCTCCAAGCTATCCGCTGCCTAAGAAGCACCAAGAGTCTCACCACCTTCCACCCCTGGCCAGCCTCACCTCCTTTCTTCTCTTTGCCCAGTACCCCAGATCTCATCATGCTTCTGCTCAAAACCTCATAATAGCTTCTGGTTTCACTTAGAAGGCAGTCCACGTTCCTTATCCGGCTGGGCTCCTCCCCACCCACTTCACAGTTGCACTTGGGCTGTCAGCCAGGACTGTTTCCCTGCCTCCTGCTCCTTGCTAGGACTGCGGGTCTCAGTTTCAATGTCATTTACTCAGAGGAGCCTTCTCAGAGTCTCCTGTTCTGTTCTCACGATGGCCTGTGCTTTTCCACCTCAGTGCTCAGTACAACTGGGAAAATTCACTGCAACTCATTGTGCGATTAAACAGGGCCTGCCTGTCCATGCTGCTGCGAGCTTAGTGACAGCAGGTACCTGGACTGCTTTCTCAACTGCTGGATCCCCAGTGGCCTGGTCAGTTACCTTCACTACACATTTGTTGGACAAATAACAAAGTAAAGGTCTTTCCTGGAATGCCAACAAGCTTGCTGGGGAGACAAAAGCTGACATATAAAACTCTTCAGAACAGCACAGGGTGATTTGGGTATAGCTATCTCCAGATACCTTGGCCCTTGTTCTTGGAGTTTTAGGAATTCAGAGAAAGGAAGAAAGGATCTGAAGGACCTAGTGAAGACTCTCCTTGAGGCCACTCATTTCAGGGAAGCGAAGGGAAGAGGGTGGGAGAAGTAGCTTTTGTTGTGTACCCAACAGACCAGAAATCTATAATACAATATCTTTTTCAAGCCTCATGATTGGCTGAGTTTTACAAATGAGGAAATTAAGGACAGAGAAGTAAAGTAAGTCATCCAAGGTCACACAGCAAGGAGGTGGCAGAGCCAAGAATCGACCCAGGCGGGTCAGATTCAAGCTTGCGTTCCTGTCACTAGGCATAGGACAGGAAGTGGGGTGGTAAGATGTCACCCCTAGGCCAAGGGGGCAGTGGTTTAAATGGGGGCTCAGGTCAGAAAAGCATCCTATCTATGGTAATGCGGGAACCTGGCTTTGTTCTGATACTGAACTCAGATCTGAGACGCCACCCAGGTGTATGTTATATGGGTTCTGAGAGGTCCAGCAGCAAGCAGGGCAGTTGGGCCCACCCCAGAGCAGCTGTACGCCCTTGGAGATGGCCTGAAATTGGCCAAGCTCTGGAATGAGGGTCTGGGCATTGCTCCCAGCATCTGACCTTGGAAGGAAGCAGAAGCAGAGCTGTGGTTTTGAAGATTTTCCTTCCCCAACGGAGACCCATTGCAGCCTGTTATGAAGGACCCAGCACAGGTAGAGAGAGCCAACAAGGTGGAATGGGGGGCTCTGGCTTGGTGAGATGGGGGAGGAGAAAGAGGGGTCACTCCTGCCAAGCTGACCTCAGCTGGGTAATGTGATCAGCCTGTCATGGTTCTGAGCCCTGATTTGGGAAGAACAAAGAGGCCAGGCCCCTCTGCCTCCTCTAGCCCAGGAATGCAGCTGGGGGCCAGGCCGTGACCAATGGGGAATGCAGGTTGGGAGCGCAGCGAATGCAGTTTGTAGAGCAAGGCTTTCATGCACTGATGGGAGCCCCACTCACAAAGCCAGGCTGACATGCCCCCGCGCTTCCAACTTTGATATCCCAGCCCCGCCTTGGGGGAGCCGCACATCCCCAAGCTGTCTGTGCCCAACTGCCCCGCTGTGGCCCTCGAGTGATGATGGGGTGAAGAGTGGAGAGCTCAGATCCCAACTCCCCTCAACCCCACCAGGATTCCTAGACACCAACATCTCCTTGTCCGTCTCTCTCCACCTCGGGATGTCTGAGGAATGGACAGGGGGAAACAGCCTCCAGCTCCTGAGGGCTGAGAGAGATGGATGGAGAGACAGAAAGATGGACCACGAGAGAGGCCGCGGGCCTCAGGCAGCCCCTGCTCTGAGCAGGTCACAGAAACTCCTTGAGGCCACCCACTCCAGGGAAATGAATAATGTTAGAGGTGGGGGTTTCACTCCTGGCTTGGACATCTGAATACTTTCTGCATTCCAAAGCTGCTAGCTCCCCTTCTCCAGCCCCAGTCTCTTTTCCCACTGGCCGATTCACTCAGTGTGGGGTCCTTCAGGACTGCCCTTTTCTGCCTTCTCAATTATCCACTGCCCCCTCCCTCCTGGTGTCTCTGTGCTCCTGCGCTTCCTCTCCTCCTGGGTGTTAATAATGACAGTGCTTTACAGTTTACAAAGCACAATCACCTGCAGTAACTCGTTTGATTCTTATAGGAGCCCTGTGCAGCAGGGACTCTGATCCTCATTGCATGCAGGAAGAGAAGAAGGAAGAGGAGGTGGAGGCTTGATGAGGAGGTGGTGGCCTGTGATGGCAAGAGTGAGATGGGGAGAATGTCCAGCGGGAGAAGTAAGGGCCAGGAGCTTGAAGGAACTGTGAAATAAAGATATTTCACCTTGAATGTATCCATGTTTGCCTGCTTTATCCTGGCTCCCTGAGGAAAGTTTGCTCTCATAAAAAGACCTGAAAAACACACTGAAATGCAAATGACTGAGGACAGCTTTCAAATGGTGCCTCTCAAAGAAGGTAGTTCTTTATTACAAATGCAATCTCGGCGAGGAGATGCTGGAGAATCTCTACCTTTAGAAGAGTCAATCAAGTCAAGAAGATGGAGCAAAGGGCTTCCCAGAAAGGTCCTTGGCCTTCCAAGAGTTCAAAGAGTCCCAGCCAGAATTCATAGAGAGGTGAATGTGAGAAAAGAAAGCCCCGAGTCACTCTGATTTCCTCTCCCAGCGACCCAAAACATTAGAAGCAGAGGCACCTTACAAATGATCTAGACCTTTGGTTAAAAACGAGATTCTCTATTGTCTCTGCCACTTGCATTCTTTCAGGCCCTCTGGCAGCTCCTAGGTTTTTGTCATCCCAGTTTCCTAATGAGAAAACAGGGCTTCCCTCTCCTGGATTCAGTGAGAACATTCCCAGCAAAGGATTCTGCATTGGTCCAGCTTAAGGGGTGCCCACCACCCCAGGACCAAGCACGGCAGCCCCGCAAATAGAAGACCCGGTGGATGCCTGGACTACAGGGTAAAGGATGCTGACAAGGAGAGGGTTCCCCGTGAGGAAAACATCACAGACACCACCCCTGGGTGGCTAATGAGCTGGGCAACCACCCCAAGTTGAGTCACTACAAAGGGAACTTTCGCTACAGCATTGTTTGTAATAATGAAATTTTATAAACTATCCACACGTTTATCAACAGGGAAACAAGTGAATACATTGGGATGCCTCTTAGGAAATTCTATGCAGCCGTGGAAAAGATTGAGGTAGAACTGTACATCTCTAGATGAAAAATCTCTATAATATAGTAAGTTTTTTTAAAAAGCATGCTTCAGTCATCCGGGCGCAGTGGCTCATGCCTGTAATCCTAGCACTTTGGGAGGCCGAGGTAGGCAGATCATGAGGTCAGGAGTTCAAAACCAGCCTGGCCAACATGGTGAAACCTCGTTTCTACTAAAAATACAAAAAATTAGCCGGGCGTGGTGATGGGCCCTTATAATCCCAGCTACTCAGGAGGCTGAGCCAGGAGAATCGCTTGAACCTGGGAGGTAGAGGTTGCAGTGAACCAAGATCACACCATTGCACCCCAGCCCAGTGACAGTATAAGACTCCGTCTCAAAAAAATAAATAAAAATAAAAAATAAAAAAGCTTGCTTCAAGGCAGTCTGCACAGTATCATCTCATTTATGTAAAATGAAGCAAAATAAAAGCCTATGTTTTTATAGATTTATGGACAGTATTTAAAATTCATTCTTTAAAAGCTTGAAGGGCTATACACCTCTATATTCATGGTTTTTTTAAATTTTTAACAAAGGCATATATTGCTTTTGTATTAAAAAATGAATAGAAATGAAAAGGAAAAAGTCTAATGCTTGTATTTTGTGCTAAGGAATACGCAGTACAAAGAAATTAAATGACCGGCACAAGATCATATGCAGAAAAATAAGTGATATTTAGACCCCGATCTTCTAACCGCCCAGGAGGTGGACTTTCTTTAAGCATCCGTCTGGTCTAGGTGCAGGGATGGGAGGGTCGTGAGGCTGCCAGGGGAACCCAGGCCACATGGCAGCAGGGATGTGTCTGTGAGGAAGGAGCAAAGCCTGAAGTTGAGGAAAGGAGTGGGTGTTGATCCTTTCTGCATCTTCCTGATGCCAGGGCCTCTTCCTATCACTCCCTGCTCTGCAAGCTTACACTGGCCAGAGGACACAGACATCTGAGGGCCAGGAATGGGTTAAGCCAGAACCTTCTCTGGAGAGGAAAAGGCCTTACTCTCCTGGAACATGGAAGGAGCTCAGTGGCTTCTCACTCCTGAGAAGTGAAGAGGCTCAGGTCTGAATCAATTAGAGTCTCTATCTAAAATGTAAACCAGGTTCCCAACCAAACGCCCCTTTTCCCTCATCCTGGTCTTGTAGTCTCATGAAGAAAAAGAGAACCTTTGGAACTGGTGCCCTTTGGAGGCCACAGCTGTTTGCTCCGTGGGGGCCCTGCCCTGAGGAGAGTGCTGGCAGCTCCGCCAGTCCCCTTCCTCACTCTCACGTTCCACTGACACAAACCCACCAGCAACCCGATGCCCAGGCTAACTCCTCCTCACTCCAGAGCCTCTGCCCAGCACCCTAGGCCTCTGATAGGAGTCATGCGGGGGAAATTTGGGGAGTAGAAGCCCCCAGCACTAATCTCAAACGCCTAAGATGCCCCCACCCCTACCATGTCTTCACAATTCAGGGTACCCAGATTTCTAGTGTCCCTCCAGCCAAACATGGTTTTGATTCCATTACCCTCTCCACTGTTTCACATTTTCTGGATACCCTCCTGGTCTCTGCACCATAAGCTTCCCTCCTGATCATTCCCTGATATGCTGTCTCTTTAGCTAGTCTCGCTTGCTCTGAAATCTGATGTGAAGGCAATTCTGTTCCAGTATTTTCTGGCTAGGTGACCTTATAGCACTTATGGCAAATTTATTTTTTAGGGACAAATAATAATTGTGTGTATTTATGGGGTGACAACTTTCTTAATATTCCTGTCTGGGCTTCAGTTTCTCATAAGAAGGGAATTAAAGTGAGGAATAACTGAAGCAACATATTGCAGCCCAGGGTGGAGCCAAGTGTCAGGCCCCTTTCCTGGGGCTCCTCTGTGCCTCATTCTGGCAGTCAATGAAGGGAAATAAGGAGCGGAAAACGAGGAAGGAGCTGGGGAGAGGAGACCACGGGGGAGCTGAAACCAGGAGGAAGTGTTTGCTGTGGGAGAAGTCGGGAATTCTGGCTGACAACAAACCTGGAGATGGGCTATTCCAGAGGAGGACGTGGTCCGAGCCATGGACACCAGGCCAGGAGAACAGGCCAGTGCACGGTGAAGCGTACCTTGAACCTGACAGTGGCTGATGTGGCCGAGTGGTGAGCTCTGAGGTTAGATCACCTTAAGCCAAAATGTGAAGCAAAGGTTTTGAAGCCTTGGCTCATGGTGAAAGCAATTTGGGGGAAGTAGTGGGAGAGGAGGGCTCTACCACGTACCACCCACTGTGAGGCCTGGAGCAAGAACTTCTCTAACTTCTCCATCAGAAGTTAGCATAAGGGCTGGGCACCGTGGCTCATGCCTGTAATCCCAGCACTTTGGGAGGCTGAGGTGGGCAGATCACCTGAGGTCAGGAGTTCGAGATCAGCCTGGCCACGGTGGAGAAACCTGTCTCTACTGAAAATACAAAAATTAGGCTGGGCGCGGTGGCTCACGCCTGTAATCCCAGCACTTTGGGAGGCCGAGGTGGGCAGATCACAAGGTCAAGAGATCGAGATCATCCTGGCTAACACGGTGAAACCCCGTCTCTACTAAAAATACAAAAAATTAGCCAAGCATGGTGGCGGGCACCTGTAGTCCCAGCTACTCTGGAGGCTGAGGCAGGAGAATGGCGTGAACTCGGGAGGCGGAGCTTGCAGTGAGCCAAGATTGTGTCAATGCACTCCAGGCTGGGCAACGGAGCGAGACTCCATCTCAAAAAAAAAAAAAAAAAAAAAAAATTTGCTGGGTGTGGTGGCACATGCCTATAATCCTAGCTACTTGGGAGGCTGAGGCAGGAGAATCGCTTGAATCCTGAAGGTGGAGGTTGCAGTGAGCCAAGATCACGCCATTGCACCCAGCCTGGGTGACAGAGCGAGACTCCATCTGAAAAAAGAGAGAGAAGTTAGCATGAGGTGGAAGCCCCAGGCAGCGGCTTGAAACTGTACTCCAAGGAGGAATTCCTGCAACGTGGCCAGGGCTCCATTTCTTCATATTAGGCTTATGGGCCCAAAATATGTTTGAAAACTCCATTGGGTGTACTGAAAACAAGGCCAAATGGTGTGAGAGGAGGTCTGTGTATGAGAAGGGCTCAACGAGAAGGAAAAACATCTAGCGAGAATGAAAATGAAGTAGTCATTAGGACTGGTGATGGAATGACCCAGAAACAGATGATCAAGACCCTTCCAGTCTTGAAATGAAGGCCAAGGTGGGCGAAGAGCACAGGTTCAGGGTCGGATCTCCTGTTTTTTTGTTTGTTTGTTTATTTGTTTTTGTTGTTTTGTTTCGAGACAGAATCTCACTCTGTTGCCCAAGCTGGAGTGCAATGGCACGATCTCGGCTCACTGCAACCTCTGCCTCCCAAGTTCAAGCGATTCTCATGTCTAAGCCTCCCAAGCAGCTGGGATTACAGGTGCCCGCCACGACGCCCAGCTAATTTTTGTATTTTTAGTAGAGATCGGGTTTCACCATGTTGGCCAGGCTAGTCTTGAACTGCTGACCTCAGGTGATCCACCCTCCTCGGCCTCCCAAAGTGCTAGGATTACAGGCGTGAGCTACCGCAACCAGCAGATCTCCTGTTTTGAGTCCTGGATGCAACCATGTGTCTTTGGGGTGGCTCCTTTCTATGCTTCAGTTCCTTTATTTGCAAAGGGAGATTAAAAACTCTGTCCTTATCGGGCTCCATGTAGCTTAATTAGCAAATGCACATAGAGACAGAGACAGTAAGGTATTAACAGAAGGGTTGGGACACAGAAAAGTATAGTCAAGAGGAAAGGCAGAACCAGAGAGGAGCATGGAGAAATGTCAGATCCTAGGCACAGGCAGGGGAACATGTGTAGGTGTGGCCACCTCAAGGACCTTAAACACCAGCTTCCTCCCCTCACCCCAGATCTGTCTCCAGGACAGTGTTGTCAAAGTCACACTCACCCCAGGACAGACATGTGGCCTCCTGCGGGAAGGGTTCTGTTCTCCCTATCCTAGCGCTTTTTTTGTTTTTCTGAATGCTTCTATTTGCTAAACACTGTGCTGAGAGCTTCACATACATTATATTTTATAATCCTCACAATATCCCAGGAAGGCAGATAGGTATGATTTAGTAACTACATTTTACAGATGTGCACACTGCAGCAGTTACATAGCTAGTAATTGAAGCCAAAAATCGAACACAAGTCATTCCAGAACCCAATATTGTTACCATTAGAGGATTCTGCAAGTCCTCCTTCAGGCTGCCCTGGGGCGAGGGAAGGCTCCAAAGGAGAACCCCAAGCATTCACAGTGGCCTCAGCTAGTGTATGATGAGTTTCCATATGCTGAAAATAGTGTCTGGCAGATCATAAAAGCTTGGTAATTATGTATTTATTTTTATTATGATTACTATTATTCTTATATTGGGGCTGTTTCCTGGGAGGCAGTCTAGAACAGTGGAAGTTAAGTTCAAGTACTGGCTTGAACTCCTGGTTAAACATGCCAGATGATGTATACTCTTTAACTCCATTCTTCCTGAAACCCCATTAAAACTAAACTAAAGTGTATTAGTTAGGATTCTCTAGAGGGAAGGACTCATAGGATAGATGTAGATATGAAAAGGAGAATATTAAGGAGTATTGACTCACACGATTACAAGGTGAAGTCCCACAATAGGTCGTTTGCAAGCTGAGGAGCAAGGAAGCCAGTTCGAGTTCTAAAACCTTAAAAGTAGGGAAGCTGACAGTGCAACCTTCAGTCTGTGGCTGAAGGCCAAGAGCCCCTGGTGAACCACTGGTGTAACTCCATGAGTCCAAAAGCTGAAGAACTTGGAGTCCAATGTTTGAGGGCAGGAAGCATCCAGCATGGGAGAAGGATGAAGGCTGGAAGACTGATATTCAATATTAACCATCACATTAAAACACAACAAAAAATATTACAAACTCACAAAAACTACGGGAAAGGAGATAAGAGCAACACAATTCTGGAGGCTAGGAAGCACATTTGACAAGTACCATATTAATAAGTTGGACCTGTCTAAGCAGGCCTGAGAAAGTTCAATCCTAACTCAGACAGGAACATCCTACATTATATCTCAGAAGCCTCAAAGACTCAGGAATGAGCGATATAAGATTCTTCTAGAAAGGAGAGGGGCAAAATTGGCACTGAAAACAAGATTTGTTAAAAGGTTGCTCAAAAAGTGGGTAGATGCCATGTCCTCTCCCCTGCTCCACACTTCCATCCTACCAAAGGCTAGACCTCTGTTCTCTAGAGATGATAAAATAGTTTCAACAGTTTCAATGGGACAGGAGGCACAATTTGCGACACATGAAGACATGGAAGTTAAATGCCAGTTTAGACCACCAGCCTTCTTCCACTGAATGGTAAAAGTTAGGCTTATATTCTCTAACAGGAGATAAAGTTTCCCAGAGAAACTTTGTCAAATGACATCAAGAGTTTCCCAAGGGAATGGCCCAGCTAGATTACCTGCAGTGAAATCTACACTTGGCAAGCTCTGCCCATCCAGTGGTAAGTACTACCACACAGCTGTTTGGTACCCTGTTCATAAGCAGTCACTAAGAAGCACCAGGCGTTTGAAAAAAGCTTCTACCAGCAAAAGGCCGAACAAACAAACAGAAGACAACAAATCTTGGAGAAAACAAAGACTATGCATGGGGAAGAAAACTCTTATGTACTTAGAAAGTTGTAATATTGCATCTACAAAATCAAGAATGGGACGCTAATAAAAAAAATATTGGCCAGGCATGGTGGCTCACACTTATAATCAAAGCACTTTGGGAAGCCAAGATGGATCACTTGAGCCCAGAATTTTGAGACCAGCCTGGGCAACATGGTGAAGACCCATCGCTATGAAAAAATACAAAAATTAGCTGGACATGGTGCTGCGTGCCTGTAGTCCCAGTTACTTGGAGGGCTGAAGCAGGAGGATTTCTTGAGCCCGGGAGGTTGAGGCTGCAGTGGGCTGTGATCATACCACTGGACTCCAGCCTGGGCAGCAGAGTGAGACCCTGTCTCAAAAAAAAAGAATGGAATTACTGGGGAACAAAAAAGAACTCTTGGAAACTAAATATGATAGGATAAAGTTTTAACAATCAATAGATGATTGAAAAATAAGTGGAGGAAATTAATCAGAAAGTAGAGGTAAGAGTTAGGAGAGAAGAAAAAAGAGAATTATAAGATGCATTCAAGAAAATATTCAAATTACAGGAATTCCAAAAAGAGATAATAGAGAAAATAGAGGTTAAAAAAGTAAATTAGGCTGAACATGGCAGCTCACACCTGGAATCCCAGCACTTTAGGAGGCCAAGGTGGGAGGATCACTTGAGGCCAGGAGTTCGAGATCAGCCTGCTTAATATAGCAAGACCCCATCTCTAAAAAAATAAAAAATAAATTATCTAGGCATGGTGATGGATGCCTGGTGTCCTAGCTACTTGGGAGGATGAGGAAGGAGGATCGCTTGAGCCTAGGAGTTTGAGGCTGCTGTGAGCTATGATCATGCCACTGCACCCTAGCCTTAGTGACAGAGTGAGACTTCATCTCTAAAAAAATAAAAATAAATACAATTCAATCAATCAGCCAAGCAAAGTGGCTCATACCTGTAATCCCAGCACTTTGGGAGGCCAAGAGGGGAGGATTACTTGAGTCCAGGAGTTTGAGACCAGCCTGGGCAACATAGTGAGACCCTGTCTCTATTTTTAAAAAATATATCTAAAAAATCAACTGATCAAAGGTATAATTCATGAACATTTTCCTAGTCTTAGACGTGAGTTTCCAGAATGAAAGAGCCCATTAAGTGCCCAGAATAATCAATGAAGAAAACCAACACCCAAAGAAAGTAAATTATGACATTTCAGCATATTAGCAACAAAGAGAGGATCCTACAAGGTTCCGGAGAAAATAAACAAGTTTCATACCAAGGAATCAGAATAGCACTGGAAGCTAGAAGACAATGGAGAAAGGCCAGCTACTTCCGAGGTAGAATTTTCTACTCACCTAAACTCCCAATCAAATGTGAGGGCAGAATGGAGACATTTTCAGATATGTGCCATGTGTCCATATTTTGTCTGTCATGCACTGTCTCAGGATTCCACTGCAAAGGATATGCTCCACCAAGAAGGAAGACATGTCACCCAGCACAAAGAGGACCCCGAAACAAGGGAACGGGAAGCTCCAATAACATAGTAAAGGGAGATCTCAAGCCACCAGCTTTGTAACAGACCCTGGGAACAACCAGTGCAGACTGGCCCAGCCAGAAGATCCAGGGATGATCTCCTGGAGAAAACGAGGCAGATAGACTAAGTCATCTCAATATTTGAGGGAATTGAAACGAGATTACTCAATCTGGGGAGAGTTTGGGAATACACCAGCAATAAATATACAGAAAACTAAACAAACAAAACCAAACGATTTTTAACTCTAGGAGGAAAATTTCGCAGAGGGAAAATAATCATTGTACACTCACGACTTGGCTGTGGGTAGCGTTTATGTATTCATGATAAAGTAAATATTGAATGTTGATCTAATGAAAATTACGATCTAATTATACTCGGGAAATGGCCAGCTGAGTGGGGGCGGGAGCTGCGTGCGTCAGTGTGTGGCAACGGGATGTTTTGGCAACGGAGAGAGAAAGAAATCCTCCCCTTTCCTTTTTTTTTTTTGAGATGGTCTCCCTCTGTCGCCCAGGCTGGAGTGCAGTGGCGCAATCTCGGCTCACTGCAAGCTCCACCTCCTGGGCTCACGCCATTCTCCTGCCTCAGCCTCCCCAGTAGCTGGGACTACAGGCGCCCGCCACCATGCCTGGCTAATTTTTTGTATTTTTAGTAGAGATGGGGTTTCACCGTGTTAGCCAGGATGGTCTCGATCTCCTGACCTCGTGATCCGCCCCCCTCGGCCTCCCAAAGTGCTGCGATTACAGGCGTGAGCCACCGCGCCGGGCCTGAAATCCTCCCTTTTCCTAACGAGAAATAGACAAAGGCCTAACTTAAGAAAAATCTAGGAAATGGTTAACATTGGAAAATTAAGCAGTAGCGATATAAGCTTGCTATTTAGCAAAGAAAGTAAAGAATCCGTTCAAAAGAGTTGAGAAAAGGCTGGGCCTGGTGGCTCACGCCTGTAATCCTAGCACTTTGGGAGGCTGAGGTGAGTGGATCACTTGAGGTCAGGAGTTCAAGACCAGCCTGGCCAACATGGTGAAACCCCGTCTCTACTAAAAATACAAAAAAAATCAGCCGGGTGGGGTGGCGCGTGCTACTTGGGAGGCTGAGGCACGAGAATCACTTGAACTTGGGAGGCGGGTTGCTGTGAGCTGAGATCGTGTCACTGCACTACAGCCTGAGCAACAGAGGGAGACTCTGTCTCATAAAAGAAAAGAAAAGAAAAGAAAAGAAAAGAAAAGAAAAGAAAAGAAAGGGTTGAGAAGGTTACTCCTGAGGAGCAAGAATTGGTGGGGAGAGGGGGAGTGATGGAGGGGGCTGTTGCGTTTCTTATCAAGTCTTGCAGAACTCTTGGTGTCTTTAAACTATGTGCTTGAAAATTTCTGATTAAGAGAATGTGATAAAAGATACAAGGAGGAACAGGAGGAGGAGGAGGAAAAAAAGAGGGAGAGCCTAAGAGTCTAGTAGACTGAGCTCTCCTGTATGTTGGGCAAATTATTTAATTTCTATTATTTTCTTCTGCAAAAATGAATATAATAGTACATAACTTGCAGGATTCTTTTTGTCTCTAATATGTGGTAACCACATGTCACTACTGGTTATTGGAAACACAGACCAATCTACCAAAGGATAAACACTCAGGTCTTGGTTCCTCACTTCCACCTGGCTCATTAAACTGTTGGGAGATCCAGTGCAGTAACTAAGTCAAACCTCACATCCACTTGGAACTAGGCCAAATGTGACTTCAATAACACATCCAGCATGGTGCCCAGTGTTGACACTAGTATGCATGGAGGGTTGACTCCATGCTGGTCTCTGTGCTAAAGGCGTCACATGGGATTGTCCTCCATCGTAACCACAGAATGTTCTTAATTACCAGCACAGCTGCATACACTGGGGCAACAAACAAACAAAAACAACCGTCACAGTGCATGTGAGTAAGCACATCAGGGCAGGCCTGAGAGACGGGAAAGGCCAGAGGCAAGCACTCTCCCTTATGGTGTGAAGCTTAGTGTTTGCGTCTTGTCCACTTTCAGAAAAGATTAGTGAGGCCAGGCACGGTGGCTCACATCTGTAATCCCAGCACTTTGGGAGGCGGAGGCGGGTGGATCATCTGAGGTCAGAAGTTTGAGACCAGCCTGGCCAACATGGTGAAACCCTGTCTGTACAAAAATACAAAAAAAAATTAGCCAGGTGTGGTGGCAGGTGCCGGTAATCCCAGCTACTCGGGAGGCTGAGGTAGGGAGAATCTCTTGAACCCAGGAGGCAGAGGTTGCAGTAAGCCAAGATCGCATCATTGCACCCCAGCCTGGGCAACAGAGCAAGACTCTGTCTAAAAAAAAAAAAAAAATCAGTGATTGTGTAGCAAGAGTAAGCCAGGATTTAAAGACAGAAGATCTGGTTTCAGATCCCTACTTCACCTATTGGGCAAGTGTTTCTTGAGACTGCTTTCTTATTTTTAAATTAAAGCTAAAACAAGAATATGGACTTTATTATATGGTTATCATGAAACTTGAATGAATTTATACACACACATATAATTTACCACATAAAGAGTAGCTTTAGGCTGGGCGTGGTGGCTCACACCTGTAATCCCAGCACTTTGGGAGGCCGAGACAAGAGTACTGCTTGAGGCCAGGAATTCAAGACCAACCTAGGGAACATAGTGAGACTCTGTCTTTACAAAAAATTAGAAAAATTAGTTGGGCGTGGTGGCACACACATGTAGTTCCAGCTACTTAGAAGGCTGAAGCAGGCGGATCAATTGAGCCCAGGAATTAGAGGCTGCAGCAAGCTACGATTGCCACTACCCTCCAGCCTGGGTGACAGAGGGAGATCATCTCTCAAAAAAAATTGCTTATATATTAAAAATATGTAACATAGTATATAAATATATAACTACTATTTGAAAGAGTAGACATATAACAAATACACAATAAATATATAACTATATATAATAGAGTCTACATACAAGTTATATATAAAACTACTCTTTATATGATAAATTATACTCTTGTCGAATAAAAAACAAATCCAGACTTGGTAAGAGTAGACTTTTATCCAAAGAGAATTATTGCAAGGCTGGGGGAGGGGAAGGGACTATTGCAATAGGGAGAAGGCCCTGACCATCCTTCTGAAAGCTTCTTAGGAATAAGGCAGACAGGAATTTTTTTCCTTTCTAGGGAAGAGTAAACAAGGCTAGAAAGAAGCAGGTGTGGGGAAGGGGGTGGGTGATGGGGCAGCAGGGTCAGGCAGTGAGGCAGGGGCTGTTTGACCCAGAGGCCTGCCTCTTGTCAGGAAGGGCTGTTTGCTGGCTCAGGCTGAGGGTGCCCAAAGTCCAGGGGCCTTGAAAAAGAAACTCTTCAATGAAGTTTGGTTACAAGCATTTTGTCCCAATTGATCCGTGGAGACAAGCAGCTTAGCTAATCATTGATGAGGCAGAGCAAGGGACTCTGGAGGGTCTGTGACTGGCCTTGTCATAGGTAAAGTCTTAATCTAAGTCATTTGAGGAAGGGTGGGGTTCTTTGCCGTAAGCAGCTTGCTTTACATATTTTTGGGGGTTTAATTTGCAATATAAAATTCTAATAGACACTTTTCTCGCTATTATTTACTATGAAATATTTGGTTCCCGTTTTTAGTGGATTCACTGTAAGTGGCCATTTTCCGGGATCAATTGCCCTCCAATAATGAGAACCTTCTGCTCAGCCCCAAGAGCCTGAGACTCACGCCGGATGTCGCTGGCCATGAGCATGAAATTCCTTCAAATTCTCACATTTCATCTTAAAATATTTTTATAATCTATAATATACTTCTGATAAATTACTTGTTAAATTACTTAAAGTTTTCCCTAAAGGTCTTTAACCAAAAGGATCCTCTTTCTTAAGAGCCATTTTTATCCTGTGGCTTCACACACCCTGTGGCATATTGGATGTTTCCCTCAGGATATAGAAACTTTATTTGAAAAGCTTGGCCATAAAGAATGATCCAAATTACTTGGGCCTTGATGTTCAGAGGGGAATGTTGCCAGCCAACGACCATACACAGCCATAGAAAGATCTCAAAAATGTTCTCTTAGAATATCTAGCTTGGAGCAATGCTCTGATGGCTCTTTGAGGAAAGTTAATTGTAAATGTACTCTTGAATTGCTAGATTGATTTATAACTTTAAGTCTTTTTGAGCATGATTAGATATCTGAACCCAAGGTCCCCTGATTATACTCCTATGTCATGTCAAACAGAAGATGTATCCCATCTCCATTTAAAGAACTCCTCATTTGGTGATGAAAATCAGTTTCTTCATCTTCCTTTTTTTTTTGACAGGATCTCACTTTGTCTCCTAGGCTGGAGTGCAGTGGTGTGACCATAGCTCTCTGCAGCCTTGAACTCCTGGGCTCAAGCGATCCTCCCACCTCAGCCTCTCGAGTAGCTGTGGCTGACTACAGGCATGCACCACCATGACCAGCTATTTTTTTATTTTTATTTTTTGTAGAGATGGGTCTTACTAGATAATCATAGTTTCTTTTACTGTGCCTTTACTACATATCAGAAACAGGGCCAGCATTTTGCATGCATTATCTCTAACTCTCCTAACAGCCTGTAAGGAAGTTGTTACTATCTTCTTTTAACAAATGACAGAACAGAAAGGTTAAATGATTTTGCTAAGGCCACACAGCCAGAAGGTGGAGGTTATAAGGCTCATACCCTTCCCATTAAAGCAGAATACCTTAGGCTTCATACTTGGGTTAGGTTCATAGTATCAGTGACCAGAATGCCCCTTACCCCAACTTTTTCAAATACCGGTGGTCTCAACCAGGTTTTGGAGAGAAACCGGACAACAGCCAGTGCAAGGTTCAGCGCCTCGATAACAGTCCAACGCTCAGAAACTCTACTCTAACTGGAGGAAGACCCTCCAACTTCTTTTTGCTTTCTTCTTACTCACCTTTTAGGGGCAGCATTTAATGATATGGAATATTCTTTCTGTTACAGGAATAAAGTGAAGTAATTTGTATTTAATAAAATTGCGCACGCTCTCTTTTAACCCATTTTTTTCCCCAGGTCGATATTTTTACATGGGGAGCAATTGGAGTTTTCAAGCTCAGCCACTCCATTATTGATCATTGATTTACTATCTGTGGTTGTGAACGAATCTGTCTAAACCAATAGAAGATTGAGGGGGTTTTTTTGTTTTGTTTTTTGTTTGTTTTTCTTTTTTTTGAGACAGAGTTTTGCTCTTGTTGCCCAGGCTGGAGTGCATTGGTGCAATCTCGGCTCACCGCAACCTCTGCCTCCCAGGTTCAAGTGATTCTCCTGCCTCAGCCTCTCGAGTAGCTGGGATTACAGGCATGCACCACCACGCCCGGCTAATTTTTCTATTTTTAGTAGAGACGGGGTTTCTTCATGTTGGCTAGGCTGATCTCGAACTCCTAACCTCAAGTGATCTGCCCGCCTCGGCCTCCCAAAGTGCTGGGATTACAGGCATGAGCCACTGCACCCGGCCAGATTGAGGTTTTTTCCTCACCTCTCGTTGGCCTTGACAAAGGGGCCAGGAAGTGGACCACATATGAAGAGTATAGATCCCTAGTTGCTGATGTACATATAAAACACGCATTTTGATACTGCCATGAAAATCAAAGTCCACAGGAAGTATTTCCTGGCAGAAATGTCGTTATAAACATTTTCCAAATTTTTAAATTATAAAAGTATTATAAAAACTCTAAACCAGAATGTCATTCTTTTTCTTTTTTTTTTTTTAGATGGAGGCTCACTCTGTCGCCCAGGCTGGAGTGTGGTGGCGCGATCTTGGCTCGCTGCAACCTCTGTGTCCTGGGGCTGCTCCTGCTAGGGTGTCACCATGGGTCCCCAAGCTGATGTGATGCTGTCAGCATCCTGTCGGCACCTCCTTGGCCTGTACCATTTCGGGGCATGCTGGCTGACATTCCGACTGCCAGCTTCTATATCACTTGCCTGAGGCCTTTCTTTGCCTGCTGCAGCCTGCTTTGCCCACATATGTGGTAAACCAGACACACCGGGGAATTCATGCTCCTAGAGCAGCCCTCAACCATTGATTGATGGGAGTTGGTATATATGCCCCAGCTCCCTCCCCGCCTCAGGTAGGATGATTCAGAGGCTGTTCAACACTCCCAGAATTCCTCAGTGGGGATGAGCTTTAATTCCCTTAGTAGGAACTAGCTTGGTAACACACCTTTTTGGGGGCCTTTTTTCCTTTCCTGTCTCACTTGCCCACTCTCCTACTAGTGTTTACTGGGATCAAACAAATGACTTGTATTTGAATCCCTTTCTCCAGGTCTGCTTCTAGGGGAACCCAAACTAAAATGGATGGGTTATGCTTAGATCAAACTAAAGTGATACAAGACCATTCTTTTGGGCCATTTTATCTTGTACCCTCATCAACGGAGTCTTATTACTGTAGGGTGTCAACTAAAGACATTGCCAATCCTGTTACTCAGCACTGCCTATACGAATTTCATTGTGAGAAATTTCTTCTAAAACTTACAGCTGGAAAAAATTTTGCTTAGCCTGACACGCTGGTATATTTCCTTCATTCTGGTAAAGAGAATTAGATTCCAGACATCTGTCTGTCTGTCTCCTTTTTTTCCTCTCTCTTTTCCTCTCCAGATTTGCCTTCAGGGAAGCTCAGAAGCCAATCTGGAGTCCAATAACAGCAAATATGCAGGACTTTATCCCCCGTGTATGTGTGTTTCTCTTCCCTAGTCTTGATTTCATTTCGTGTATATTTTCTGTGATCCTAGTTATTCATTCTTATTTGGACTTACTCCTGCTTTAGTGCATGCATCTCTTTGCAAGCCGCCAATACTCTGTGGAACTAGTGGCCATGTGAATAAGGTGTTTAAGAAGCACTTCTTTAATGAATTATATTTGGATGCTAACTGTGCAAAGATATTGTTATGAAACTAGAGAAGTATGAGTCTCCCCTCCAGAGCACCTTCTCACCTTGTAGGACAGTGCTTTTTCAACTCTCTGGTTTCTGTAATTGTCTCCTTGGATGAAATCTTACATGGAAGATATGGCAAGTCAATAAAAAGAAGCTGTTCTGGTTGAGATGTGTGAGTGAGGGGATAGGAAATCCTTTCACTCAGCTTGGGAATCCTCTTCCGCTACACCCCCTACACCCTGTCTTTTGGTCCCCCAGGCACCAGCTTCTAAACTTGAGGTCTTTGTAGAGCACTGGTTGACAAACAGCTTTAGAGACACAAGCAGGGTGTGGGCCTTTGATGCCAGGGCAGTGCTGGGGACAGCAGCTGCGCACGGAGCTGTTCTGCCGCCACCCAGGAAAGGGGGCGCTCACTGCTGCAGGCTGTCTACCCACCGGACAGGGCTGTTCTCCCCAAGTTTGCCTTATCACAGGCGCTGACCTATAGGTCAAGAAGCAGCCTCGGCTGGGCACGGTGACTCACGCCTGTAATCCCAGCACTTTGGAAGGCCGAGGTGGGCGGATCACAAGGTCAGGAGTTCGAGACCATCCTGGCTAACATGGGGAAACCCTGTCTCTACTAAAAACACAAAAATTAGCTGGGCGTGGTGGCGTGTGCCTGTAGTCCCAGCTACTCAGGAGGCTAAGGCAGGAGAATCACTTGAACCCAGGAGGCAGAGGTTGCTGTGAGCCAAGATCATGCCACTGCACTCCAGCCGGGCAACAGAATGAGACTCTGTCTCAAAAAAAAAAGAAGCAGCCTCAGGGCAGTTTCCTCCCCAGCCCACTCTGTGTCACTCCATAGCTCGCTGGGCCCTCTTCTGGCCCTCTTGACACCTCCTCAAGTCCCCTCCTCAAGCCTGGTGCGGATGGGCAGGAGCAGGCTGGGACAGAGGTGAAGATCCAGGGGCTGGCTCGGCAGGAGAGGCAGGTGTGTGAGGAGACAGACCTCTGGCTCTGCCTCTTTTTCTGGAAGCTATCGGTTCTAAGCTTAGACACCAATGCACCCCCCACCCCCAGCCCGCACTGTTTGTCTAATAAGGAAACCTTTTTGACCTAGCCAGTTAAAAGTCCCGGCCCTTCACCTCATTACTGCCAAGGCCAGAACTAAAGAGGTGAAAGCTGGCAGCCTTGGGCTGCCTTCAACTTGGCAACTGGCCCTCAGGGTCTGTGTCTCGAAGTCCCAGCCTTTCAATAGGGCTGTGTTTTCAATCCTGCTTACACAAAGCCGCACGGTCTCCCTCCTGGGCCTGAGCGCGCCATTCTCATCTTTCTATGGGGGATTAAGGGCTGCTCTCTTGTTTGAGTGTCACTCTGCCTTTGAACCACTGTGGCTTCATCTGGTTTCAGGCTCAGCTTCCTGCCAGGAAGTGGATTTACCTCTGATTTGCTGTTACTCTCTCTGCAGGATGATGCTGAGGGGAGTGAGTTCCTTTCTCCCCAGACACCACCACCAGCTCCCCGCTTCCACTCCCCTCCACGGCTCTCCAGCTTGAGCCCTTGACATAGCTCCCAGCTCCCTCCTCTTCTGGTGGAATTCTCCTCTCACACAGGGAAAGCGGAGACTCTAAAGATAGGGGAGCCCCAGGCTGGCTCACTGGGGTTGCGGGGGAGGTTGGAGGTGAGGGAGCTGGAGCTGGAGCTGCCTGAGAGACTGAATGTGCACCTGCTGGGGCTGTGGAGGAAGGTCCTGGATTGAGTCAGGGCTGCTTTGGGTCTCTCTGGGGTGGCAGCCTGGAGCTATTCTCTCTCTTCCTGAAAACTCCAGAAAAGAGTTGAGACAGATGCTTCTTCCCTGGATGCTAAGCTTAGACTGGAAACCAGATCTCTTGAATACAAACCTAGAGACATTTTTACCTTCTCCGTGGAGAGTGTGTGTGTGTGTGTGTGTGTGCGTGTAAGAGATAGATAGAGAGACAGAGAGAAAGAGAGAGAGACAGAGGTAGGAAGGAGAACAAAAGTCAGGTGATTTTAGGTACACTGACATCCAGGCAGAGGAAGAAGATTCTTCCTGGAGGGGAGCCAGTTGCTCTACTCTAACAGAGATCAAGAGAAATATCAAAGTATAATTAGGTCGGCGTCGGACTCCATGTGCTGAAAGCAGTAGTTCGGTGGCCCACAAAATAACCTAGGTTTTATTAATGATTGGGGGAGGGTGAGTTGTGGTGGTGAGAATCCACAGTGGCCCCTATTTCTGGAAATGCAGCTCAGGGGTCTGTGGGTGGAGTTGTTCCTGGATTCTTTCTAGATCTCAGGGGAGAGAAGCTAAAGAGCAGGGTGATCTTGCCCTGGGAGAGAGATACCATCTCTGGATGAAGACAGGTGTGTTTTCTTGTTTGCTTGTTTTGTTTTATGTGCCATCCTCCTACATTACCAGTTAGAAGAGAAAACTGCACTCCAAAACTGGGAGTGAAGAGTCTGAGGGGCACTGAGACTGAGCCAGGTGCGCATGGGTGTAGCGGGGACTGATGGAGAAAGGCTCCAAACATTCTTACGGGAGGAGGAGGATGGTGTAATACAGCTAAATGCCAATGGCAAAAGAGCTGAAAGGGGGGTGTAGCTCAAGCGGACAGAGGCAAAGAGAGAGCCCTTGGCCGGCGCCTGCAAACACCACCCTCCAGGGCCTGGCCCTCCCCTGTGTGCCCTGTTGTGGGCCTCAAAGGGTGCTGGCCCAGGCCCTGTCTGCCATTCCCTTCACAAAGCCGGGGTTGTGTTCTTGGCAGGGCTGGGCCTCCCCGCCATTGAGGTCCCGGCTGGGGCTGCCTGCCCTGGGAGCCTCCCTTCCCAGCCAGAGGCCCTCGATTTGTCCAAGTGCCAATACCTAATGAGGAGCTCATTTGAATCCATGCAAAGTACCAGGGAGCAAGGAGGCATGCTAATTAAAGTGATTGCTGTTCTTTAATTAAGCAATAATTCCCCCAAGGAGGGCATTATCATGCAAATAGAGCCCTCTTGGGTGAGGTAAGGGCTTTGGGCAACAGCTGAGGTCTGTTAATAAGGCCCCTGGGCATCGGAGGGCAGGCATCCAGAATGCCCCATTGAGCTGGGTGATAGAGCAAGGGAAATAATCACCCCTGCGCCGCACTGCCTTTTGTCTCTCCAGGCTTTGGCTGCGGAGCTGTGGGAGGCGGGGACCCTGCACCCCCTGCTGTTCCTTTCCCTTCCTCTCCCTTTGCCTCCTCTCCAAGAAACGTTTTCAGAGCTGTGTGAGGTGGAGAGGTTTGTAGGACAATGTCTAGTTTGGCCCTTCACACAATCGATGTCCCAATCATCAGAGCATCAGCCCAGAAGAGTTGGAATGGAGCCTCCTGAATGTTCATAAACAAGGAAGATATTGCAAGAGGCTGAGCTCTGTTGGGCCACTGTAATAAAATGGAAAGAGCACTGAAATGAGCCATCGACCTGGGTGACTGTGGGCAAGCCACTTTCCTTCTTCAAGACTCAGTTTCCTCATCTTTAGAATGGGTTGCTAGTAACTACCTGACGCAGTTATCATGTGAGTAAATGAATGTGAACGTGTAGGGTATTTAAACCCGTGGTTCCCAACCTGGAGTGATTTTTGCCCACAGAGGAAGGCTGCCAGATAAAATATATTTTGATATCAAATATATTTGCTAATTTTGATATCAAATTTATTTGCTAAATCTGACAACCTTATCCCAGAGGACACTGGCAATGTCTAGAGATATTTTGCCACAACCAGAGGAGTGGGTGCTACTGGCATCTAGTGGGGGGAGGGCCAGGGTTGCCGTTAAACATTCTCAACTGCTCAAGAGAGTCCCCACCACATGGAATTATCTGGCCCAAAATATCAATAGTGCTGAGCTTAAACAACTCTGACCTAAACAATGCACAACAAAACTGAGTTAGATGAAAAAATACATAAAGAGATAGTAGATTTTCTGAAGCAGGACCATAGTAGTATGGTTCTAAATCCCCTAAGATACTTCTGTTTTCTTGAAAGAAAAGGTTTTAAATAGGCCAGGCACGCTGTGGCTCAAGCCTGTTATCCCAGTGCCTTGGGATGCTGAGGCAGGAGTATTACTTGAGGCCAGGAATTTGAGACCAGCCTGGGCAACACAGACTCCCATTTCTACAAAAATAAAAAAGAGAGAGAAAATTAGCCAGCCATGGTGGTGAGTGCCCGTGGTCCTAGCTCCTCGCGAGGCTGTGGCAGACAGATCACTTGAGATCAGGAGTTTGAGGCTGCAGTGAGCCATGATCATGCCACTGCACTCCAGCCTGGGCCACAGAGTGAGACCCAGTCTCTAAAAATAAAATAAAATAAAATTTAAAAATAAACAAATCATGGAACAGACTGAGGCTCAGTGGCACACTGATACTGGCAGTTCCACGTAAGAAGAGGACCAAAGAACACGCTGGCAAGGTCCAAGAAGTTTCAGAGACAACACAAAGCCAGCCCTGATGTAAGGGGAAGGCGACTCTTCATGCAGAGAGCCCTGGCAGAGGCACCAGGGCTGAGCGTTGAGGGCACAGCGAGGCAGTTGAGAGCAGGTGTCAATGACTCTGGCACTGTGAAGCTGAGAGTATAAGAGGAAACTATACTCCTACCTTACCTTTGACAGTAATAGTACTCACATAACTAATACCTATGGTGAGCGTGCTGGTCTAATTCTCACAACAGCCTAGGAGAAAGGTGCTATTATTATCCCTATTTTGAAGATAAGGACATTGAAACATGGGAAAGATAAATAACCTGCCCATGGCCACATACCTAGTAAGAGCCAGGATTTCAACCAAGGCAGCATCTGAAGGCAGCACAGCTGCGGAACCAAGTCTGGGAAAATGAGACTTCCGCAGTGATCACAGATCTTGATATACAGTCATCCTGCAGCATGGGAGTTAGGCCCTCAGCAAAGTGCCTGCTATGTCTGCCTAGCTGCCGGGTGGGTCTCCGAGTGGTGTCTGCATTTGGGACATCCATCACTCGGCTTTTGGGTCCCTGGACAGACAGCTAGAGGGCAAGGCAACAAGTGGGGAAGGGAGTCACCAAGCCTGGCTTTGTCACTCACGGCTGACTCATTTGCTGAATAATGGCTGGTCCTCTCCCCTGGAGCTGGGGTGGGGGTAGTCTGGTGCTTCTAGAGCTGCCTTTGTAATGGTCTATGTCTTAGGTAAGGCTGGTGTGTGGCTCAGGGGGTGGCAAAGGCAGAAAGTCAACAAACCAGGCAGTCCAGCCAGGGGGAAAACCAAACCTCCTGCTCCCAGAAATCTTGGCCCCTTTTCAATTTTGTGTTCACTCCCAGCAAAATAAATGTTTTGTGTTACAAGGAGACGGAGATAGTATCTCCTCAGCCCTACTAGTTTAGCACTGCCTCTGCCAACCTCTCACTCTACATTTGGCAGGGGGAAAGAGTGAGGAGAAAAACAGGACCAGGTTCTGTTTGCAAAATATTTTCATCAGTCAAAAAACTGCCGGGGTTGTGAATATTAAATAAACCCTGACTCATGGAGACATATACCTTGCTTTGCTTTGCTGATAGGTGGGGTAACAGACAGCGTTACATTACTTTAGAAGTGACAGCTCTAACATTCTGCAGACTTCTCAAAACTGCTCTGGCTTTTTCTGAACAAAGAACAATCCACAAAAACGCCCATGGTTTGCAATGCATAGGAGTCTGTTTACAGGATCACAGACTCAGGCCCTCTCAAAAGGGACCGGGTGAGATCATCCATTTAATCACCTTCCACCTCCAGGTGGGGCTGGGTGGCCCGAAGGTCTTCCGCCAGAGGGTTTAGTGAGAGCATGGCCCAAGTCTCAGGCCCCTATAGTGAGTTCCCTAAGGGCCAGCTCCATTTTTTCCATTGCAGAATTTATAAGTGGGATTGAAATGAGAGCATAGTGTTGCTTTGCCAGGAACAAAGATTGTCAGTGTGTTTCAGTCACTAACCTAAGACACCATAATATAAGCCAGTCCCCCAACCCCCACCTCTAGCCAGTCCCAAAGTAAAACAGTTCACCTAAGAACGAAAACAGTAGTAGTGTAGTGAACACTGACATTGAGCTTACTACTTGCAAGACACTGTTCTAATCCTCACCACCATGAGGCAGGCAGTAGTGTTACCATCATTTTGCAGAGAGGAATTTGCCTAGTTTCCTTATTCTTAACTCAGGCAAGGTTCCCACCCTACCCCTTAGCTTCCTGTGAGTCTATAGGTTGTCCTTCCCATTCTTCATGAGAACAGTTTCTTCCATTAGTCTTGAAACAGTGGAAACCAACTCTTTCTTTCTTTTTTCTTTTTTTTTAATTTGAGACGGAGTCTCGTTCTGTAGCCCAGGCTGGAGGGCAGTGGCGTGATCTCAGCTCACTGCAACCTCCGCCTCCTGGGTTCCAGTGATTCTCCTTCCTCAGCCTCCTGAGTAGCTGGGATTACAGGTGCCCGCCACCACGCCCGGCTAATTTTTGTATTTTTAGTAGAGACGGGGTTTCACCATGTTGGCCAGGCTGGTCTGGAATTCCTGACCTCAAGTGATCTACCCGCCTCGGCCTCCCACAGTGCTGGGATTACAGGCATGAGCCACCGCACCCGGCCAGGAAACCAACTCTTTCTGTAGTTATTTTCCCAAGAACCATTTCCATCTTGCTCTTTAAAAGCATAACCTCCATACTCAGCTAATTTTTGTATTTTTCGTAGACAGGGTTTCTCTATGTTGGCCAGGCTGGTCTCGAACTCCTGACCTCAGGTGATCCACCCACCTTGGCCTCCCAAAGTGCCGGGATTACAGGCATGATAATCGCGGCTACTTGGGAGGCTGAGGCAGGAGAATCGCATGAACCCAGGAGGCAGAGGCTGCAGCGAGCAGAGATCACACCATTGCACTCCAGCCTGGGTGACAGAGCAAGACTCTGTGTCAAGAAAAAAAAAAAAAGCATAACCTCAGTCTCCATCATAGCCGATAAGTATTTATTTATGTGCTGCTTTGCATGGTTTCTAATTGTTTTGGAGACACATTTGACAGACTGTACAGCATAGTGGTCTCAAGGGCAGATATGCAATTGTATTCTTCCACAGGTGCAAAGCTAGTAACAGATAGAAGAAACTTGGCCGGGCGTGGTGGCTCACGCCTGTAATCCCAGCACTTTGGGAGGCTGAGGCAGGCGGATCACGAGGTCAGGAGATAGAGACCATCCTGGCTAACATGGTGAAACCTCGTCTCTAATAAAAATACAAAAAAAAAGTAGCTGGGCATGGTGGTGGGTGCCTGTAGTCCCAGCTACTTGGGAGGCTGAGGCAGGAGAATAGCTTGAACCTGGGAGGCGGACGTTGCAGTGAGCTGAGATCGCGCCACTGCACTCCATCCTGGGCGACGGAGCGAGACTCTGTTTCAAAAAAAAAGAAATTTGATAAACATTTATTGATTTGCCTGGGTCTCTGGCTGCTCAAAAAACATGGTGTGTGATGGGAGGCAATATATACTGACCATCGCAGGAAAACAGCAAAATATGAGGCAAACAGAAGGAACTGTAAGAACACTACATTTTGCTTGATAATACCTTGCACGTAATAGGTGCTTAATAAGTGTCATTAACTAATTTTCGTATACTTTAAAATTAGTAGTAAGTTGACTAAAATTAAGAACTATGGCAATTTTAGGGCTCTAAAGTCAAAGAGAGATGTAGGGGAATAGAAAGTAGAAAGGAGAAGGTGATCTATTCCCTTGCCTTTGTGCTTTTGGTCATTTTTGCAAGTGCGTGTTCTGTTCAGTACCTTCTGAGCATCTTGTAGGGAAGCCTGAGGGTAGAAGTCTGCACAGATGCAGGCCCTAGAGAAAAGCACAGGCTGAATTTCTAAACTGTGGCTGCTAATGCTGATAGAGAAGACGGGAATGGCTGCCTTCTGTTTGACTTCCTGCTGCAGACAGGTAGTAGGGTTCCAGGACACATCCAGGTGGGTCGAACATCCCAAAGAAGTCCTGAAATGTTTTCTGTGTTAGAGGATGACAAAGCTGGATTCTGTGTCTGGAGGGGGCCCTAAAGGTTCCATACCTTGTGGTCAGGAGCCAAGACACTGACAAGTGAGAGGGAAGAGTTGAATAAGGACCAGTCTTCTCTAAGCCATCCTCATGCATGGAGGCAGGGGATGGGCCTCATGAGCTCTAGAGGGTACACACAGTCCCCAAAGTCATGGAGCCTGACGGTTGGTAAAAAAAAAAAAAAGAAAATTGGCCGAGTGTGGTGGCTCATGCTTGTAATCCCAGCACTTTGGGAGGCTGAGGCGGGTGGATTGCCTGAGCTCAGGAGTTCGAGACCAGCCTGGGCAACATGGTGAAATCCTGTCTCTACTAAAACACAAAAAATTAGCCGGACGTGGCAGCATGCGCCTGTAATCCCAGCTACTCGGGAGGCTGAGGCAGGAGAACGACTTGAACCCGGGAGGCAGAGATTACAGTGAGCAGAGATCGCGCCATTGCACTCCAACCTGGGCGACAGTGCGAGACTCCATCTCAAAAAAAAAAAAAGAAAAAAAAAAGAAAATTATCTCACTCTGGAAAAGATTCCAAAGTCCCAACATTTCATGTTGGTTCAGTTTCTTTCTTAGTTCTCAACACCCCCACTCCATTCCTCCCTCTAGGGTAAGGCCCCATTGCCTCCTCCCTCTGGCATTTGTGAGCACAGCATCTCCTCAGGCACAGTCCTTTAATCAAGGTGGAAGCCCTTTGTGAAGGGGCAGTGGAGAAGCTGGGCTGCTAATTGGCTCAGTGATGAGCTTTTGACGAATCCATTAAATGAATGGAACAGAGGGGTGGGAAAAGAGGTGTTCCTCAGTGCAGGTGGGGGTCTGAGAAGGACAGGAGGAGACATGTGAGCAGGCCCTTCTGCAGGTCTTCCCATGCCCCCTCCCACTCTGGGACCATTCACACAGGTCATAAGTTGCTCATCTCAGCCCCTAGAGCCCTTGCTGGTCACCAGGGAAATTACTGACTTTGGGACAAGCTGTGAAAAGTGGCTGGACCTTAAGTGTTAGTAGCACAGAGAGTCAAGTGCCTGCTGTGAGCTGAAAGATGAAAAGTCAAGATCCCCCAAATACAGGGACCTACTAGAGTATCTGAAAATCTGCTGCTGCATAGGGATCTCTTAGATCCACAGAGAACTAATTCTAAAGCTTTTCTCCATTTTTCATACCTTAGATTGAATTCCTTCACTCAAGTCTTTTCAGTCTGAAAGCATGCAGAGAAGCCTATGGCCAGTTTACAGTTATGACCAGGAGAAACCGAGAGAAAATTGCTGTCTTTTTCTCCATTCCACTCCACTCATTGAAGAAGGCAGTCCTTTTTGCAAGGAGGCAAGGAATGGTTGGTAACAACTTTTTTGTTTTGTTTCATTTTGAGAGACGGAGTTTCACTCTTGTTGCCCAGGCTGGAGTGCAGTGGTGCAATCTCGGCACACTGCAACCTCCGCCTCCCGGGTTCAAACGATTCTCCTGCCTCAGCCTCCCAAGTAGCTGAGATTACAGGCGTACGCCACCACGCACCACGCCCAGCTAATTTTTTTTTTTTTTTTTTTGCATTTAGTAGAGATGGGGGTTTCACCATGTTGGTCAGACTGGTCTTGAAATCCTGACTTCAGGTGATCCACCCGCCTTGGGCTCCCAAAGTGCAGGGATTACAGGCGTGAGCCACCGCACCTGGCGGGTGGGTAACAACTTTGTAACAGCACGTCCACGAGGAATAGATTGAAGGGGAAGGGAAATGGCCCCAAGTTTAAGTTTTGTCCATCCCTCTCACCTTCCCTGTGAACTTCCCTTATTCAGGTATCTCATTCCTCTGTGTGTGTACTCTCCCTACTTGGTTTCCCACCTTTTCTGACATAAATGTGAATGCAACGTCTATATCCAAACAACTGTGAGATGTCTGAGTCCATTAGAGCTGCTACAACAAGATACCTTACACTGGGTAATTTCTAAAAAGTGGGAATTCATTGCTCACGGTTCTGGAGGCTGGGAAGTCTACAATCAAAGCACCAGCAGATTTGGTGTTAGGTGAGGGCTCATGATCTGCTTCGAAGATGGTACCTCCTTCTGTGTCTTCACATGGCAGAAGGGCAAAGAAAGCTCACTTGAGCCTCTACTCCTATTCATGAGGGTGGAGCCTTCATGACTTAATCACGTCCCAAAGGCCCCTACGTCTTAACACTATCACACTGAATAGTAGGTTCTGACATATGAATTTGGGGGGAACACCAACATTCAGACCATTGCAGAAGAGCAGCCCAAGGCAGGAGCGACTAGCTTCTTTAGTCTCCTACCTCTGCCCCAAGATGCCAGAGTTCCAGACACTCTTCTCATGGTGTCCTCTTCCTGCTCATGCCCTGGTCCAGCCTCTCTCTGGCCCCCAGGGAAAGGTACAGCTGACATGGAGGCGCAGAGTCAGTAACGCGGTTTCCATTTTTTCCAGGAAATTTGGTTCCCAGAACCCCCAGAATGGGACAGACAGTAACTGGGGAACAGGCAGGTAGTAAATAAGCTGGTCAAAGATCTGGCCAAGGGGAGAGAGAAGATGAGGCACAGAAGAGGGAAAGTGGGAAGCATGAGGCTAGCATGAGGACATGATTTCGGGGAAGACACAGGAGCCTGACTCCAGAGGGCTCAGTGCAGAGCCATTGTCTTTGTTTTTATTTTTTATTTTTCTTGAGATGGAGTCTCACTCTGTTGCCCAGCCTGGAGTGCAGTGGCACGATCTCGGCTCACTGTAACCTCCGCTTCCTGGGTTCAAGTGATTCTCCTGCCTCAGCCTCCTGAGTAGCTGGGATTACAGGTGCGCGCCACCACACCCGGCTAATTTTGTATTTTTAGTAGAGACGGGGTTTTGCCATGTTGGCCAGGCTGGTCTCGAACTCCTGGCCTCAAGTAATCTGCCCACCTTGGCCTCTCAAAGTGCTAGGATTATAGGTATGAGCTACGATGCCAGACCCAGAACCAATGTCTTTTAAGGGCTATCAGCATCGATGCTATTTATAAGTACTTAATTTTTTTTTCTTTTCTTTTTTTTAAATAGATAAATAGAGATGGGGTTCTTGCTACATTGCCCAGGCTGGTCTCAAACTCTTGGACTCAAGTAATCAGCCTGCTTGAGCCTCCCAAAGTGCTAGGATTACAGGCGCAAGCCAAAGCGAGGGGCCAGTACTTTTAACTGACCAAGAGAAGAGGAAACACTTGGTTAGATAATGTAAAAGCAAAACTAGTAATAGAGATTCAAGAGATGTTCCTGTTCTTTGAATATATGTATGTATGTGTTTATTTTGTTGATAAGCACTCATATAATGCTGAGCATGGGCCAAGCTTATCTTAATCCTTATAAATCTTCTAAAGCTATGTCATTTATGAATAAGTATCAATATGTAGAACAAATATTCTCCATATTACTAATATGTAATAGATGATACTACAAATCAGTAATTCATGTGTGTTCAAACTTTCACTGCTAATGCATGATAGTTGCTAACAACTGAAAAAATAAGAGAAAATTTTGACCTATAGGAGTAGAATTCACAATGATTTTTACCACAATGATGATGATGGTGATGAGAAAAATAATAATAGTGGATTTTTATTGTTGATTATGTACTTGTTATATGTATAATAAATAATAAAAATTAGTTATTGTTGGTTATGTCTGGGCCAAGTACTTTATATGCATTATTTCACCTAATCCTCAGAACAGATATAGAAAATAGGTACTATTAAGGTCTTTTTTTTTTTTTTCTTTTTTTTGAGACAGGGTCTCACTCCATTGCCTAGGCTGAAATGCAGTGGTGCAATCATGGCTCACTGTAACCTTAAACTCCTGGGCTTAAGTGATCCTTTTGCCTTAGCCTCCTGAGTAGCTGGGACTACAGGTGCACACCACCATGCCTGGCTAATTTTTAAATTCTTTGTAAAGATAAGGTTTCACTACGTTGCCCAGGCAGGTCTCAAACTACTGGCCTCAAGCAATCCTCCTGCCTCAGCTCCCCCAAAGAGTTGGGATTATAGGCTTGAGCCACTGCTAGACCTATTACTATTTCTTAGATGAGAAAACTGATGCACAAAGCACGTTAAGTGATCTATCCAAGATGCAAGTTAGTTGTCATAGCATTCCTTGCTTCTGATACAGGAAACGTTCACAACTGATAAGGAACTGCAGGTGTGGAAACCAAGCTGATGAATAATAATGATGCCCATTATGAGTCAAGCACAGTACCAGGTGCATTTTATACACCTTAAATCCTCAAAACAACCTGGCAACCTATGGTGTATTTACACCCGTTTTACTGATGAGGAAATTTGCCTAACTTCCTACAGCTTTTATGGACAACTGGACCAAACAGAAGACCTCTCCTACCTCCAGGGACTAGTCATTTTATCCAAATCTTGTTGGTCCAACCTGCGCTAGAGCTGTTAAAGTGGTCAGAACTTACTCTAACAATGCCAGCCCCTTAGAGACTTTGACAGACTGTAGTTCATTTTTCCTTTGGAGAGGAAAAAGAGAAATTCTACCACGGAGACTTAGTGATTGGCCCAAGTCCACACCGCAGACAGGAGGATAATGAGGGAGCTGGGATAAATTATACTGGACAGGTTCCCCAATTCTCAGCTTGGTTTTTTTTCTATGAGACCATCCAGCCTCGAATAACTCATTCATTAGCTCCCTATCCTTTGCAAATATCTCCAACTCCTTGCCATTCTCTTTCAGGCCCTTTGCTTTCTTTCACATCGCAGACAGGGGCTCCTTTGCCACACGTAGCCTAATGACAGGGAAGGTGGCATTGTGTCTGCTTAGCGCCGGGCTCCCGTACAGGCCTTTCTCTTTCCTGTAAAAGGATCTCCACATTCTTTGCTAGTGCAAAGAAGATGTGGAAAGTCATTTTCTCCTGACCTGGTATATGGGTAAATCAATCTAGCATCACAAACCCAGTAACAGAGTTAGGTGATCTGTGTGTAATGGTTTAGGCAGTGAGTCTCCGGAGCTTAGCGCCAGTTCAGCATAAAAAAGGCCATAGAAATCCCTCTCTCCGTGAAATCCTCTTGCACACAATTCAGGAAATGTACAAGACAGTGAGAATACAGTCAACCTATTGGAATTTCTTTTTCAAAGAAAAAATAGATTGCAAAGGAAAATTGTTGATTGCCAACCTTCCAGCCTTGTCAGGAGAGTTATCCTGCAGTCAGTCATTAGATGTAAAATTCCTAAGCCTTGGGGGATGGTCAGGTCATTTGATACCATGTCAATATCAAGTTACATCATAAATAATTGGAACTTCCTGAATATTTAACAAGAACTTTGTTGTGTAAATTTGGAAATCAGCCAAATTGAGACAACTGACTTACGTTATTATTTAGCCCTCTGGGTCTAACTCATTGTGGGGGTTTAGTTGTTTCGAACTTTGGTCCTTTTAGCAGAGAGTAGAAAGGCGTTAAACCAATTGACTTTTAGATAGTCAGTTTCCCTTCCTTTTTTTGGTTTTAAATTGATTAATGCTTTTTTCTCTGTAAATAAGACCAAATAAAAATCCAAAGTCATAACCAAGAGAGAAATATATGAAATTGCTGTTTAGTTTGCAAGCCTTTAGCAGACTAAGTCAGCCTGGTGATGATCAACTTTGACCACTCTTGCAGTTGCTAAATGGGCACTTTCTGACATTTGCTACCTCTGTCAGATCATTTCTAGTCCAAGAATATTCTAGAGGCTCCTAATGTTCATTTGAGTTGGTATCAAATTCTAGACAATAAGATTTGAGTTTCTTCTGGATGGGAATCTATAATTAAGGTTTCATAAACCATAAGATAACAGTATAAGTGTAAAGATTAATTATGGTTATTATCACCTAAAGAATAAAATCCCAAGTTCTTATTTTACCATTCAAACCCTCTCCTATGCAGCCTCATCCTATCTTACTAATACTGTCTCCCATTGCTTCTCCCAATCCCTCCTTGGCAATAGTCCCCACTTCTCTACTTCTCTCTCAGTCTTTCCCAGCCTCTAGACTTAGGCTAAGCTTTCCTTCCTCGTTGAAGCCTTCCTTCCTCTGCTTCAGTTGGAAGTTATTTCTGAAGCTACCATTTACTGAGACCCTACTCTGTGTCAGGTACTGTGCAGAGTACTTGCAGATAATGTGATGCATTATCTCATTTAACTCTTGAAGGGCAGGTATTAATTTCCCATTAAATTTTTTGTTTGTTTTGGATAAGTAGCCTATTTGCATGGTTCAAAAATCAAGACAGTATAAAAAGTTACACTTTTTTTTTTTAAGATGGGGTTTCACTGTGTCACCCAGATTGGAGTGCAGTGGCACCATCTCGGCTCACTGCTACCTTGACCATGTCAGTCTCCCAAGTAGCTGGGGATATAGGTACACACCACCATGACTGGCTAATTGTGTATTTTTTGTAGAGATGGGATTTTGCCATGTTTCCCAGGCTGGTCTCAAACTCCTGGGCTCAAGAGATCCACCCTCTTCGGCCTCCCAAAGTGTTAGGATTACAGGCATGCGCTGCTGTGGCCAGCCAAAAGATATAAATTTAAAAGTATCTTATCCACCTTCCACTATAAGTAATCATTTTTAAAGATATTCTTTGAATAGCCAGGTGTGGTAGCGTGTGCCTGTAGTCCCAGCTACTCAGGAGGCTGAGATGGGAGGATCACTTGAACCCAGGAGGTCGAGGCTGCAATGAGCCATGATCATGCCACTGCATTCCAGCCTGGGCAACAGAATGAGACCCTGTCTTCAAAAAAATAAATAAATAAATAAAAGGAAAGAGGTCTTCTTTGGTTCCTTCTAGTGGTTCTTTATGCAAAAAAATCAGTAAATACAAATATATAATCTTATTTTCTACCTCTTAGAAATTAGAGCATAATACTGCCCATAAGATGTCCTGCACCTGCCTCTCTCTTTCTTTCTCTTTTCTTTTCCATTTAACACATATTCTAGAGTACCCTCCACAGCAGTTCTCTGAGAGCTTCCCTTTTCTTTTTTCAGTGGCACAGTATTCCATTGTGTGGATGTAGTTCTTGATGGTGGACGCTTGGATTGTTTCTAATCTGCTATAAACAACAATGCAGTGAATAGATTTTTCATATGAATGCAAGAGTATCCGTAGGACAAATTTCCAGACTGGGACTGCAGGATCAAAGGGTAAAAGCATGCTATATTTTGATAAATATGGTCAAATTTTCTTCCCTGGGGTCATACCATTTTTCATTCCCATCAGCAACGTATGAAAGTGCAACGCACGTATCACTATCTATAGTTTATATATGAGAAAACCGAGGCACAGAAAATAAAAAATTAAGTGGTTAATAACATTCAGGCTGGACCTCAAACTTGTGCCTGGCTGTATTCCTCTCATCTGGTGTTTATCAACTAGTGATTTGCACTGTTACTTGTTTTATATATACATAGGCCTAAACTTTCTAAAGCTTTAGTATAAACTCTTTAGGTTTATAACAAAGATTTTCTAATAAACAGAGTCTGGTCAATCACAGGTGAGAATGAGGGAAAAGGGAAATCGGATAGAAACAGCTGGGAAACAAACGCAGGCGATCTGTTGTTATGAGGCCCTTGCGTTTGATATATCACACAAGACCCAGCTGAGCCCTCAGTAGGTGCTTCTGCTTGGCCACGAGGGATGGTTCCAGACAAGTAGTGTGGACAAGCCATGCTTGGAGCAGTCCATGGATAGAGGATGGGAGGAGTTTATCTGTTGCCCTGCTCCCATGCCCTCCTCACATAGGGGAGATAACACACTGCACTTTCTTTCTTTCTTTTTTTTTTTTAAATAGAGATGGGGTTTCTCAATATTGCCCAGGCTGGTCTTGAACTCCTGGGCTCAAGCAATCCACCTACCTTGGCCTTCCACAGCATTGGGATTACAGGCGTGAGCCAAGACGCCTGGCCTCACACTATATGTTTGAGTTGTGTTGCTTAGCCCTCTCAGCAGATCCTGGGGAAGCCAGATTTCAAGCTCTGCAGTGCCTAGAAATGGTGCAAGGGACACAGAGTGAGTCACTGCAGGGTGTTGGAGACAGGTGAGGCTAAGAGAGTCTGATGAGGCCACATAAGATGTCTTTCTTTTTCTTTTTTGAGATAGGGTCTCACTCTGTCATCCAGACTGGAGTATAGAGGCGCGATCTTGGCTCACTGTAACCTCCGTGTCCTGGGCTCAAGCGATCCTCCTACCTCAGCTTCCTGACTAGCTGGTACTACAGGTGCATGCCATTACAACCGGCTAATCTTTTATAATTTTTGTAGAGACAGAGTTTCACCATGTTGTACTGGCTGGTTTTGAACTCCTGGGCTCAAGCAATCCATCTGCCTTGGCCTCTCAAAGTGCCGGGATTACAGTTGTGAGCTACCACACCCAGCCAAGATGTTTTTAATACAGGTATTTCCTTGTATGTCTTTAATTTTGTGCTTTATACTTAAAAGGTGCTCAACAAAGTTTTTTCTTTTTTTCAGTTTATTTATTGAAACTTTACACATACACTGTTTGGCTGTAGAATTCTAAAATCATATTTTCCAAAATGTTTTTTTTTTTTTTTTTTGAGACGGAGTCTCGCTCTGTCGCCCAGGCCGCACCGCGGACTGCAGTGGCGCAATCTCGGCTCACTGCAAGCTCCGCTTCCCGGGTTCACGCCATTCTCCTGCCTCAGCCTCCCGAGTAGCTGGGACTACAGGCGCCCGCCACCGCGCCCGGCTAATTTTTTGTATTTTTAGTAGAGACGGGGTTTCACCTTGTTAGCCAGGATGGTCTCGATCTCCTGACCTCATGATCCACCCGCCTCGGCCTCCCAAAGTGCTGGGATTACAGGCGTGAGCCACCGCGCCCGGCCTCCAAAATGTTTTTAACCCAAATTGCAGAATGATTATAGCAAAGGAATACATAAGTCATTCAATTTGCTTCTCAATGTGTTAAACACAGAGAATTATTTGCTCATTTGGTAAACATTACCTCATCCGCTTCTTCACCTTCTTCATCATAAACATCATCATCAACTTCAATAGCTTCTCCAGTAAAGTATGACACTGCTCTTGGGATTATACGCTCACGTAAAAAGTGACCTATTTTGAAGTCTGTGCAAGGATTTCAGCATCATCATCCAGATCTCCACTCTCAGGAACTTCAGGAGGGGCAAACAAATTAAAGAGTCATTGGAAACTGTGTTAGTCACAGTATGAACTGTCCCACTTCCCTTGTGTTTCTGCTTCTTCTTAATGGTTTTCAAAGTGACATTCTTTCCTTTTTTCCAATCTATCTGGCACCCTGTGCAACCCATAATTTCTGGTCCATCAAAAGAAAAGGGATCAGAATCATCTGGTTCTGACCTCATCCTGTATGTCTTTGACAGCATTTCATTTGTAAAATATTCATTGGGTTCAAAGTGAAATTCTAAGACAAAATTCATAGGCTGGTCAGCATCTGAGAGCTTCACTTTAGTATCTTTCAAGTGTTTCAGAATAGGTTCATCATGTTGTTGAACCATATCACTGAACAAGTCAACATTCTTAGAAACAGTTAACCAAAATTCAGGAATTTCTTTGGGGTCTTCTTTTTCTTCATCCTTTTTCTCATCTTCGATCTTGGCCTTTTCTTTCAACTCCTCTGAAATCTCATCTTCTTTATCTGGTTACCATTCACATTGTTCTTCTGTGGGTTCATAAATTTCATTAATAATCTCAAATCGCTTATCAAATAGAGGCTGATAGAGAACAGCATATTCCTTTCAAGATCGTGAACTTCCTCATAGAATTTGGTTTCTATCTGTGCACATTTAATTTAACTTGCAGGTTTTTGAGAGCATTCACTCGTCTTTTAACTACCCTAGGCAGGCTTTCAGTGTATCCTGTTGGTGTTTCTACCAGAACATCAAGTCTTTCTTGAAGGACTGCAAGAATCTGAGGACTTTGCATTATCTGAACAGTTAGCTGATGTGCTTTGATTTTTGTTTCTTCACCAGTTTCTTCTTCATGTACTTCTTCAACATCATCCAAATCTCGATCAAGTTCAGATTGTCAGTGTCTGCCATGTTATAAGAACTCCAAATATCGGCAGCTAGTATGGGAAGCCAGGAGGCCTGAGCTGCGCAGGCAGTGACTCAGGGCGGCAGTGGCGGCAGGAGGAGCAGGAGGCGGCACTGCGAGCAAATGGTGCTAAAAAAGAACAGATCAGTTTAACTGATCAATTTATTTGAAGTGATATTAATAAAAATACTTCCCATTATTGTAGGGAGACATTAATGTGTAATAATTAAGAGTCCAGCCTCTAGACACAGATTACCTGAGTTTTAATATGAGCTCTGACACTGACTAGCCGTGTGACTATGGTCAA
Source organism: Homo sapiens (assembly GCF_000001405.40). Classification (NCBI taxonomy): domain Eukaryota; kingdom Metazoa; phylum Chordata; class Mammalia; order Primates; family Hominidae; genus Homo; species Homo sapiens. The sequence continues at coordinate 126,067,223 of NC_000011.10, read as the reverse complement.
GGCACTTCATGTCTCAGTTTTCTCATTTGTAATTTGGGACTAATGCTTAAAATAATACTTGGTGCACAGAAGGAACTATATAAGCATTAACTATTATTATTATAAATAGCTTTTATTTATGTTAAAAACACTTTTATCCAGTGTTTGCTACTTGCCAATCACTGTATTAAGTGCTTTGTGTGTATCATCTCAATTAATCCTCCTAGCAAACCACTGAAGTAGGTCCTATTAACAACTCTATATGAGGTATTATTACTCTTTACAAATGATGAAGTCATTTACAACTTTACAAATGATGAAATCAAGACTCCAAGAGTTTAAGTTATTTGACCAAGATCAAATAAGGTACAGTCAGAATGTGATACAAGTTTATGGACTCTAGTTACTCTATTATGTTATTCTTGGAGAACCATTTTTGTTTTTGTTTTTGAGATGGCGTCTTGCTCTGTCGCCCAGGCTGGAGTGCAGTGATGGGATCTCGGCTCACTGCAAGCTCCGCCTCCTGGGTTCATGCCATTCTCCTGCCTCAGCCTCCCGAGTAGCTGGGACTGTAGGCACCCACCATCACGCCTGGCTGATTGTTTGTATTTTTAGTACAGACGGGGTTTCACCATGTCAGCCAGGATGGTCTTGATCTCCTGACCTCATGATCTGCCCGCCTCGGCCTCTCAAAGTGCTGGGATTACAGGTGTGAGCCACCGCGCCCGGCCTTGGAGAACCAATTTTAACATGTATTGAGTATTATAAAAGCACCCACTTCAGGCCTGGAATGTATTAAATGTCACTTAGTATCTAACAACCTTCCCACCTCATCCCTGAGGACTTGAGTACTTGGCTCATGGTATTTCATTTATCAGCCTCTCAGTTCCTTCAATATGTCCCCTGACGGCATAAATCATCCACATCGTCCACCAGCACCGGTAAACATACTAGATCTAATCATTACTTGGAACTGTTCTACTTCTGAAATGGTAAACTCTGGTTATTACCAAAGACTTCTTGGTTCTTTCTTACTCAATCCTGTAACAACAGCTCTTTAATGTCATACATATCTCCTTTTCTTTAATTTGTAATTTTTCCAGTCTATTATTCTTCTCAAACCTCTTACACCTTTTCCACTGCCTGGATTCTATGATTGCTGTTTTAAAAATTTTCTTACCAATACCGTGTGTTATTTTCCTTCTTGTACAACTTCCAGAAAAACTTCAAAATTGGGTTGGTGTTATGCTTTTCCCCTTCTACCTGACTGATTAAATTTTGATGGAGAAAACCACATAATCATGCAAGCTCCATCACCATACATTAATGGTCTCCAACCTCAGCCAGGCCCTCAGCATCACTTATCAATTCTCTGAGTGATTTTCTACTTTCATTTTTCAACTCTCATTTTTCCTAATGACTATTCCAAACCTTCACCACCTTCTTCAAGCATCCTTTTCAAGTCCCATACCTTGAGTTCAGTAAACAGCCTTTGCTCCAAATTCATCAAGATAATTGGGGGCTTTAGTTATTGGAGTTTTAGAGATCCATCCTTGGCTACAACTTTCTGGTTCCATATTATTCCTGAGAGATCGCTTCCACTTTAATGGTATAAACACTACTTTATGCTGATGACGTTTAAATCCGTATTTCCACTTGGAGTTCTCTACATAGTGGACATCTGTGGTTGGAGGCCCCATAGTGTCTTAGTCTGTTTCTGCTGCTATAACAAAATGCCTTAGATTGGGTACTCTTTAAGCAACAGAAATTTATTTCTCATAGTTATGGAGGTTGGGAAATCCAAGATCAAGGTGCCTGCAGATTCAGGGTCTGGTAAGTGCCTACTCCTTACAGATGATGACCTCTCTGTGTCCTCCCACGGCAGAAGGGACAGAAGGGGCTAGCTAGCTCCTTGAAGCCCTTTTATAAGGTCATGAATCTTGCTCATGAGGGTGGTCCTCATGACTTAGTCAGCTTCTAAAGTCTCCACCTCTTAATACTATCACCTCTTAATACTATCACCTCTTAATACTATCACCTCTTAATACTATCACCTCTTAATACTATCACCTCTTAATACTATCACCTCTTAATACTATCACCTCTTAATACTATCACCTCTTAATACTATCACCTCTTAATACTATCACCTCTTAATACTATCACCTCTTAATACTATCACCTCTTAATACTATCACCTCTTAATACTATACTCAATACTATACTGACCTTGTGTTCACACAGCTCCCTGTTCATTGCACTGAAGATGTCTCCTTGTACTTACCCACGTGTGTGTCTGTATCACAGTTAGACTGTGAGCTCTTTGAAGCTTGGGACTGCACATTGTTTCTTAATGTTGAACAAATGGATGAATGATTCATTAATGAAAAACTGTTTTACACCTGAAATGATTTCTCTGCTTTACAAAAAAAGGGGGAGAGGAAGTAATTAATATCAACAAACATTGTGATTTTTTTCTTAGTCTGACTATGAGTAACAGTAGGCATAGTGAATTCAAATGGCACTGTGAGATCTGGAGGTGCACAAAGTGCATTATGTCCCAGGAGAAGAACCTGGAATTCTCTGTAGCCACAATAAATTTGCAAGACTTCTATTAACATCCACACAAAACTCTCATTTCAGTTAAATCCTCTATAGAAAGACTTACTTGCCGAATGAAAAATCGTTTACCATAGCTTGTTAATAACATATAGATTCTTGGTCTCCAAAAGTGAACAATAGAACAGTGGAGGACAAACTAGAGTTAAGAGTTTTTTTCTGGCTGGGTGTGGTGGCTCACGCCTGTAATCCCAGCACTTTGGGAGGCCAAGGCGGGAGAATCATCTGAGGTCAGGAGTTCAAGACCAACCTGGCCAACATGGCAAAACCCCGTTTCTACTGAAAATACAAAAATTAGCCGGGTGTGGTGGCACGTGCTGTAATCCCAGCTACTTGGGAGGCTGAGGCAGGAGAATCGCTTGCACTCGGGAGGCGGAGGTTGCAGTGAGCCAAGATCGCACCATTGCACTCCAGCCTGGGCAACAAGAGCACCCCAGCCTGGGCGACAGAGTGAGACTCCGTCTTAAGAAAAAAAATTGTGTTTTTTTTTTCCGTCCTGTACTGACTTTCTTTCCAGGGGCTTTACAAAAACCCTGAATCTAGCTAATGCAGAAAGCTAACCTGCTTGAACAATACCACACTTTCAAAGCATTTCTTTTTAAAATTCACGTAAGAAGGTAAGGGAGGACTGGCATATTTCTCCTGAAGTTCAGTACTGAGTATTTATAAACTTAACTATTATTAGGGATCCTTTTGTAGTTAAGCTAATAGTAAGTAATGATGATGGGGAAAAAAAAGAGCTAACTGCTAATAATAACAATTTATAAAGAAGTTACAGTCCTTGAATGCCCACTGAGTGGCAGGTGCTTTTCACAAAGTATCGTATTTACGCTTCACAGCAACATTTTGAATAGAAATTTATTTTTCCTTTTTCTGTTTGAACAACTGAAGTTCATTGAGTTCAGATAACTTGGGGCAGGTCCAACGGACGAGTTGGAAAGACTCTGGGGCCAAAGGCTCACACCACGCCTCTCCTAGCCCCTGAGTTTTGCTACCTGCTTGCGTTTATGTGCAGGCAGGGCGGGTGGGTGGTGGTGGGGGAATCAGATGAAGCTGCCTAAGGAATTAAACATGGAAAGTGGTGGAAAGGCGAAGGAGGTATAAGCGGTGGGCCGCTGGAACCCTAAGAGAGACCAGGCAAGAACCGGGAGAAGGGATGCACCCGTTGGCGGCTCAGAGAACTTAGGTAGAGGCGAGGGGCGGGGCGGGGCGAGGGGCGGGGCCTGAACGAGGCTAGGGCGGGGCCCGAACGAGGCTAGGGCGGGGCCCGAACGAGGCTAGGGCGGGGCCTCGGGGGACAGAGTCGACCATTTGGAGACCTGCCAGAAGAGCCGTCTCTCCAAGGGAATGAAAGGTGAGGGGAGCGTGAGTGCAGGCATGATGGGAATCTCCGTGACTTGGTAAGGCAACTCACCCTTACCTGTCCTACACCCAAGAAAAGCCTCTTCTATGCTCCCCTGGGGTATCTCTCTTGCAGAGTAGGCAGGTCAATGACGAGGAGAGGGTCCTGCCCAGAGCGTGCCCCCCTCCGTCACTTGGTACGGCCCGTGCCCCCGCCGCTGATCTGGCAGGCTGCGCGCGCACACTCCGGCCGGGTGCGGGCCGGCGGGGCACAGCGGCCTCTACGGCCCGCCTCCGTCAGTCATTCCCCGGTCCCTCCTCCCGCTGCTCGCGTGCTCCGGGCCGGCCCAGCACCCTCCGAGTTACGTGCCCGCGCTCCCCGGCGGGGAGGAGCGCAGCCGCGGGGGCGCGCCCCGGTGACTCCGCCCCTCAGCTCCCCTCCCCTGAGCCCGGGAGCCCGGCTCGCGCGGCTAGGTGCGAGGAGACCCGGGACCCCACGCCCGCCCGCCCTGCCCAGCGCCCCAGCCCCGGCGTGCGAGGCGCCGCTCCCTCCTCTGCCCTGCGCGGTGCATGGAGGGGCCCGTTCGGATCGCAGCCGCCGCCACCGTAGCCGCCGCCGCGCGCGCGCGGGGGGATGACCTGGGGGTGGCTTTCCGAGCCGGCTGCAGCGCAGGAGGTCTGGAGGCTTAGCCAGCCCCGCGGAGAGGTGCGGGGGTGGGGGTCCCGCCGCAGGGTCGGAGGGAGGGGTGGCGCGCGGGCACTGGGCTTGGGGGGCCTTGGCTTAGGGGACGGGAGGTCCCGGGGACGGGCGGGCCGGCGTTCCCTGGAGGGCGTGGGGGTGCAGGGCTGCGTGCGGGGTCTGGATGCTGATGCTTGCCCGGCGGGGAGCCCCGGCGTTCCGCGTCCTCGGGGGCTCGGAGGCACCTCGCGGGAGGAGGCGGGGTGAGGTGTCAGTGACACGACGAAACCTCTTCTTGACGATGGTCCTCGGGGGCAGGTGAGATGCCGCAGAGCGGGGAGCTAGGGCGCCCGCGCGTTTTCCCAAGGGAGCCGGGTCCCTGGCCTCTCTCAATCTCCATCCCTGCAGAGCGCCCGCGAGAGACAGTGATTTATGTGTAGGGAGAAGCAAGAGAAATTTCCTGCACAATGTATCTTTCTCTGCCTTCACAAGACTCACTGACTTCCCAGCCCCAGGGAGTGTATTTTTCCTTCTCCTCTGTAAAGCTTTCTGTGGATTGCATTATCATTTGCTAAATACATTACAGCTCGCTATTTATTTCAGTCGGCAGCTTCCAGACCTTTGTTGCTTTCTCTCCACATCTAGGAATTTCAGCAATAAATCACTGAGGGGGATAGATAGACTCTCTTGCCCTTCCCTTCATTGTTCTCCCTAACCCCACCAAATCAGGTGGAAGGCTCTCCAAAAGGAGCTGTTTCCAGAATGCCTGCCCTTCCTCATCAGGACGACAGAGGGTGGCAGGTGCTTTAAGGGCAGACTGCTTTCCAGTGGGAATCCAGAATTTAGAGAACCTCATCAACAGAAAGTCAGCCTTTGTGTCCCAAACCAGACACCTTGAAAAACAGGAGGTTGGACTAAAAGCTCACATGAGATTTATTTTCAGGCCTATGCCAGTAAAGATGAAAGACGCCAAGTCAGTGAATTCTGATTCCTTTCGGCGCTGATAACATAACCCTCAAATTCCCAACTGACACTTGGCATACCTAGTGGACAGTGTCTCCAAGGAGAGGAAGGTGGGGAGGGTGTTAGAAAATGAAATGAGTTTATTGTCAGCATAATTCTAAACATTCTATGACATTTTGTAGTTCTCCCCCACCCTCAGTCTATTTTTAGCTGAAAATTTGGGGATAGTTCAACTTTTAAGATAAGATGAAAGAAAACCTTCAAAAAATTTTCTGGAAATTTTAAATTAGTGCTTAACTAGAAAGCATTCTTTGGAACCCGAGAAGCACCAAATACTGCAGTCTCTGTTATGCACATGTTGGAATGAACTGCCTCATACTTGAAGTTATATGAGAAGGATGGAGAAAACCTGTTTCATTTTGTAAAGACGTGCCCTGGGTGTGTGTTTGGCAGTGTGTAGAACAGAAACATTTATATTTCTATTAAGAAACACACAAATGTATACTGTTTAACTTTCATGCAAAAACTTCCCAGTGTTTGGGAAATCTGTCTTTGTTTGAATAGTTTAGTCAGCCAGGAGAATCAGTTACTAGAGGTACTGTGCTGTTGTTTGTGTAATAACTCACTTGGGATGCTTTGATTGATTGCCATGGTTCTCATCAGCCTCCTCTTCTGTGCAAAGTACTTAAACAGCTCTGACTCTCAAGCCTTCAAGTACAAAGAACCCTTAGGACTTGGATACTGATCTAGCTTGTGTAGCTTGGCTTCTAAATCTAGCTTACGCCTTGCTTTCTTTGCAGGTGGTTTGACTTTGCAGGAAAAGAATTAAGTTCACTTTAAGATAGGACTTTCTCCTCCAGATCGTCAGGGTATATACAGCTGAAGGCAGTAGGTAGGAATAGGAACTAATGTCCTAGGGCTTTGTTCTAAAGAGAGCAGGTAAAAATTTGTTGACTATTTCTTGGGCTTGCTTCTTATTTTCCCACTTCGCCCATCTGCCTTCATGACTTTGTAGACAATTTCATGTATGGTTTTGTCGAAATGTAAGTTGAAGTAAAATTTTCCTTCTGTAGAATTTTTTTTTTTCCACGAACGTTTAGACTAAAAATTGGTGATTGTTTCGAAGTTAAATACTAGGGAAATGATTTCAGGAATTAAATATTATCGTAGTAAAAATCAGGGAAGCGTTAGAAAATAAATAATGAGTTGAAAAATGTGTTGCTTTAACGTGTAATGATATGAGCCAGCGCCTTGTGATCAGCTATGGCATGATGTAGAAGTATGGGTAAGACAATACAGTGGAGCTGTAGATGAGCTGCGTACATGGTAGCCCCCCTTTAAGTAAATGAACTTAATACAAACTAATTAGATTAGAAACAGAATTTGGAGTATGGTTGCCAAATATTTTGAGTTGAAGGACTTGCTTTTTTACAGTATTTTTTAATGGGGAATTTTTTCAAGAAATTTCGTGAACTTGAATTTGAGAATGTTTTATTTTTACTTAAATTTTTATATTGTATGTAATCATTCCATGTGATAAGTTTTTGTTGTGTATTTGGCACTAACTCACTTTCAACAGCACAGGGGAGGGCTTTACTTGATTCTTTTTTGTTAAAAAGAAGGGATGGTGTATGGAATATTCTTAATGTCACTTGAAAAATATTGGATTACAATTAAATGAAAAACTGGTTTCTTGGTTTTTTTTTTTTTAATCCTTCAAGTTTTCCCTCATTGCTTGTGCTCTTTCCCCCATTGTCAGGCTTAAAACATACAGTATCATTGTCATCTGTCTCCTGAATAATGGTCCTGAGGTGATATTATTAATGTGGCTTTTTAAAATCAAGCTAATTATACTTGCCTAAAAGAGCCACATGTGTGTGATTCTAGCTGCCTGGTGCCTTTTGAGAGCCCTGGAGACAAGCTAGTGAATAGAGCTGAAAATTCATTCTGTATTTGATTAAATGGAACAGACTCGCTGCTCCTTACCCCAGCGGGGGCTATGAGATCTCTTGATCCCCGAAGCGGCTCCAAGACCCTGGGAATTCCATTAGCGAGCACCTGAGGAATTTCTGCCCTGCAGTGCCTTTTTTGTATGTGTGTATGTGTGTGTGTGCAGAGGGAGTGGAGCAGAGCGGGGATTGGGGGGATGCGGGCAGGGGGGGTTGAGGGGGTGGAGGGAAGGCTACATTAGAAGACTCCATATGTTGGCAGATCTAAAATCAAGGCATGACTTAACAGCTTATCTTGTAAGAGAAAAGCCCAACCCAAAGGCAGATTGCTAGTCCGGACTTTATTACAAGCAGGACTACAGTGATGTGTTTTCAGCACTGAAGTGAACTCCAGTGTAAGTACAGAAAGTGGCTTCTCTGCTTTCCCTCCGAAGCACAAGCATATACACGTTGCAGACTTGGTAAGTTTTCTTTGAATGATCTTTTGATAAATATGTAAAATTATCTTACTGTTTGGTCTTGCCTGTAAAGGCTGATGTATCGTTTTAATAACTTTCAAACTGAGAGCAAAATCAGACTTCATGTGAAACAAATGGTTTTGCAGTGATGAAATGCTTGTTTTAATAGGCATATTTTAGTTTACTATTGATAGAATTTGATTGTTTCTGTTACATTATTATTATTATAGAATTCTAATTTAGATTATGTCTTTTCTGTTGTCTTTTTAAGAATTGTATCATTTCTAGTGTTTCTGAGGCATTACTTTGCAGACTTGCTAGCAGCGCCAAGTAAATGAAAATCTATCTGCCAAAAACATTCTGTAAAATCTTTGGAGCAAAATTTTTGAGAAACATTAGTGTGTCTTCCTTCCCAAGTCCCTTTTCCCCTGCCTCAAATAATGTTTGGGCACAAACTTTTTTTCAGAATATTAGCCCAGTTTGTTTCTTGTGTACTTTTCAAGGAAGACCAGTTCTGAATGGTGGATGGTGTAGTTAATTGGTTTTCATCTACCAAGAATGTGAATTCCAATGCTCCTGGTTTTCAGCTAATGCAGAATGCAGTAGCATATTTGATGGTTCATTTGATATATTTTGTTTCCAAGTAAAGTCGTGTTGTAAATAGTGCACAGTCTTTTCCGTCCTACTCCCATGTAGCCCTCTACCAAGTTCTCCTCACAATACAGTGTGTTCAGAAAATAAAGAAGCCTTTTTGAAGATATGTTTAGCTTTTTTCCACCTTAATCCTGGGCATTTCTCCTACTACTATGGCCAGATTGAAAGGACCCTTGAATGAATTGGAGTAAACACTGCAGTTTGTGCCTGTCCGCATTCACAGCTGTTTAGTCGCTTTGCTGTGCGGTATATTTTGATGGCCAGAGAGAATAAAAAAACTAGCCCAAAGAACATTTTGTTCTGCTGTATATCTGTTGGAATGTGAGTAGGGACTCCAGTGCTTAAGAGCCACTGATGTGCCTTTCATCTTACTCGAGAAAAAATATATGGGTTATATTACTGAACTTAGCTTACATATTTTGTTTATGTTTTGTTACTTGGAACTGTGAGGCCAATTTTATTTTTATGTTACCCTAATACAAACAGAGAATTTGGACGCTGACATAGAGCTTGCTTTTCAGCTATTCTTGTTGTAGACCAGCTCACTTCTTGTTATTTATGTGAGCCTGGGCAATGATCTTGACTTAAGCCTTGGGGGTCTTTGTCTGTAAAATGGGTATAATAACAGAAATTATGTCTTACCATTGTTGTGGGATTAAATGAGATAATGAAAGTCAAGCACTTGGCATATAGTAAAACCTCTGTAAATGTTAGCTGCTGTTATTTTTATTAACTCCTCCTGTATATGTAAGTGTACATGTATTTCTCAGAAGCTAGTAATAGTGCGGGCACGTGAAACAATACAGCTTTCTTAAATTTGCAGCTGAAACTTAGAAGGCACTTGGACATTGTGTGTAATTTTTTTCCAGTTGAGGTGTAACATAGTAATATCACAAGTGTACAGCTAATGTATACTAAGTGAACAGCTAGATGAATTGTTACATATGCACATGTCTGTGGTAACCAGTACCCAGATGGAGATATAGAACATTTCCTTGGCCTTAGAAAGCTCCCTGGTGCCCATCCCAGGCAGCCCTCCCTCTTGCTAGCAGGCAGCAGCTATTCTGAAGAGTTGGAATAGATGAGTTTTGCCTGTTCGTGAACTGTATGAACATGGACTCCTACAGTATGTAGTCTTATGTTGGAGTTCTTGCACTGCTCAATAATGAGCATTGTAATAGACATAAGCCTGTGAGATTTATTCATGTTATTGAATAACATTTATTTATGTATACAGTACTAATTCATGCTTTGTAAATTGTTGTAGAGTCTTTTGTGCGGTTTGAAATTCATAATAATTCATTTTATTGGCACATTGGATACACAGTCTTTGGGGGAAAAAAGAAAATAACACTTCTTCCTACATTACTAGAAAATCAGATCCCAATGGCTATCTTAGGAAAACAACCATGACCTCATTTTTATTCACAGAACTGGGTTTATTCACTACTTGAAGGTATAATTACCTTCAGTTACAATTCCATAAACCAAATACTTTGAAAACTGTATTCATTTTTATGTGTGTGTTTTTAGGAGGGAGCCTCAAAATAGGGGAAAAGGACCATCTAAGGTAGCTTATATCCTTCATGCTTAGGACTAAATGCCGTAATCAACACTTAGCGTTGTACAGAAGTAACCACCAGTCCAGCATTAGTATAATATTCTTTGAGTTTAAAATGAAACAGTACAATGCTTTTCTGAAGAAAAAAGAAAAGTCCACCATAAAAGGAAGAAAGTGGAGCTAGGATGTTATACTGCAGGAAGATTTTGAGGAACAGGACCAAGCACTTATATCAGGAAGAAGAGTTTTGGCCACTAACCTATTAACAATTGTGGTCAGGCTATGCCTATACATTCAGAATTTGTTTGTATTGTTGAAATTCTCTAATATGCTAAATAAAATTTATTTCACAGACAGACAAGATGATTCAGTAGATGAAATCAGAAGGGTTTTTGTTTGTTTGTTTTAAATTTTGGAAGGGACTTTGGCTGTGGTTAATAGCTTGTATTTCTGTTATTGGAAATGTTGATTAAGGATTTTGTGGGTGTTCTGCTTGAACACTAGCCATTTTTCTCTCAGGAGACATTGTATTTTTCAACATTTATAATTTTATTAAATCTGACTATTCATAGCTCTTGACACAAGGTCATTCTTCACATACAGCCATATGCAGGATGGGTTCCTCTGGACTGGAGAAGGGCAAATTGTCCCCTTTTCTTCCTAAATCAGACCATCCGTGGTCAGGATTTCATTGGGGGTTGGGAGCGTTGAAATAGTGATACATGATTCATCTTTTGATCTATAGGCGTCCTCAAAGATGCAGATTATGTTTCAGAAGAAAGAAGAACTATCCAACAAATAGAGCTGCCTCATGTGAAGCAGTGCTGTTTGGAAGGGGCATGGACTCCTGATTCCTGGAAGTGTTGTAATGGCATTTGCAAAGGCTGCTGTGGGAAGAATCTCTTTCTTGGGTGCAACATTGAACCAAATAACCTCTAAGGCATTTGTAGGACTGAGGTTCCATGAAATAGGCTTTTATGGTATGCCTAGGCTACATACCCACCACGTACATGATTTTGGAGGTAGGAAATATGTTAAAAGTTACCAACAGCCATTGGATAAATACATTTTTTAAACCAGCTCCAGTTTAAAGTTGGAGATTGCCTCGACTTGCTGGCTCTTTTCACTTTAAATGTAATCCTTAGTTTATCACTAACAAGTAAATGTCGGGTATTCTTTCTTCCTTACTTAAATAGGGACTTTTTCAATATTCTAAGTGTATTGGTATCAGAAATGATAATACTTAAAAGTATAGCATGTACTACCTTTTTATATAGGTACACATCTGAAGCCATTTGTTGGCCCAGTTATTTATTCATTCCTACAACAAATTATATGTAAACATTAATAAATGTCCCTCTTGTCCCTCCTCCACTGCAACTTTTCTAAACTTGAGTTACAAGAGAGATAAATAACTCATATAGGAGGAGAAAGGCCGGTATCAGAGACGTGTCCAAGTATCAAAACCATATTCAAGATCTTTTCTGGGATCCATAGATATTTAACCATGTACACATCTTGTATCTGTAAATATAGTACTTTATGTTAATCACTGATATTTAAAATGATGGAAGGAACTGTGGGATCCTGAACCACCAAAATAATATTTTCTCCATTTTATAAAACAGAAAAGTATATTGAATTTTTACTGTTTTATATTTATGTATGCCCATCCATACCAATTCCATCCTCCCTGTAGCTTAGAAGTGGGCCTTCTTTATCTCTTGTCTGTTACCATTACCTTACCCCTCCATCCTCCTCCTCAAACTTTGGGAGAGGGACAGAGGAGATTCAGCATGTGAGATGAAAAAAATGCCTTTGCAACTCCTGCTTAAACTGCTACTAACTCATCCCCTTGTCTTCAGTTTTGGTTTGCCCCCTTCCAGATCATTGATTTTTCTTACATTTTGCCTGAGTAATGATCTTTCTGAAATGTAAATATGTGATCACGTGACTGCTTTCATTAAAATCCTTTAAAGTCCCTGAATTGCTCACTTGTTGAAGCCCAGGTCTTTAATTGGATGTACAGGGTTATATGCCTACTGGAAGCTTCTGCCATCCCGGCTGCTTTGCCTTCCATGAATATACCATGCTTTCTCGCAGGCTGGAAACGCATCTCTCCTGGCACTGATACGTATCATAATTGCATACGTGTCAGTCTCCCCTTTATTCCTTAAGGACAATGTGATTTTCCCCTATGTACCATTGGCCCACCCACCCCTTTCTTTGCACTCTGCTGAACAAGTACTAAACACTCAGATATCCTGGATGGCATTAACGTGCATTTGAATTTCTGGGTGAGCGAGTGTGTTCAACTGCATATTCTGATTCAGTAGGTCTGGGGTGGGGCCCAATATTCTTCCTTTCTAACAAGTTTCCAGATAATACTGATGAGCTGGGTGGAGCACACTGAGTAGAAAGATGCTGAACCATCTTCTCTAGATCCATGAATGATTTCAACACACGATTTTGCTCGTAAAAATTCAGTGACATCAATGACTCTCAAGTTCAGGGAGTGATACCACAGCTTCAAGTAATGAAGATAAACGAAAGCTTTAGATAAAGAAAAAAACAGTTACATATTGAAGATGCTGGGACATGCATTATCACACTATGACTGGAATCCTTGTCAAATATTTTGAATATTTTAACAATTTTATATATTTAAAATGTATGTAGTAGTTCTGTGCAACATTATTCAGTGCCCAGAGAGCTGATGTCATGTTTTGTCTTTTTGTATTTTGCAGGGGTTCTCCTGGGTATATAGGTACTAAAAAACATATTCAGGATTGTGTCTCTTGCCAGGGAAATTTCTGACAGTTACTGGCTTTTTACAGTATCAGAATAAAAGTAATTAGAATTTTTTATTTTACTGTAGTTTGGTATCTGTTCAGTGAGTAATTGTACACACTGCCTGGTTAGAGGTAAAATTGGCAAGGGGAACGAATGTTTAATGGATAAAATACTGCTTTTATCAGGCCATGAAATTATTGTAGTGACATCAGAACTTGGCAGTCTCTTATTCCAATAAAAAGAAAAATAGCATTGCAAGCTGGGGATAAGACATTTTTCCTGCCCATTTAATTTGGCTTCTTTTCATGATTTTGGCCTTAGGATGTGGGTATGACAAAACAACAACACAGTGAATAACAGGCAGTAACAATTAGGGAGTGAGCGTGGTTTCAGCTGGAATGGACATAGGGTTTATCAGTAACCTCTGTTTCCGTCATTCTCACTGTCCCTCTCCTGTTGGTGACTATGAGAGTATGAGAGTGGGTATGGGGAATCCTCGTTTAGAAAATGGGGTTAAACCTCACCATGTGGCTCGATATGGTATGCAATACATTACATAGCTTGCAATGTATTGAAAACATCTGATACTGGCTCATAAAATGATGATGTGGCTGAATGTCTGAATGTGATTATGTATGTGACAGTACAGTTTTGCAGGAAAGGTGCCATTTATCCCTCTGTGTAAAAACACCAGTCAAATAATATCAGATGACCGATCAGAGCGGTTGGATTTGATTTAGTGTTTCCTCCTTCCCATTTCATCCTATGCACTCTCACTGTGCAATTAGATTTCTAGATGTGGCCATGATATAACGACAGCTCATTATCAGGATTTCGGTTTGGTGTCCTAGCATCCGAGCAGTAGTTCCAGTAAACCCTGGGACTACTAAATCTGGAGGAGGTATTTTTATAGTTCTTAATAGATTACTAAACTCCTGAGTAGGGCCACATTAGAGTCTTAACTGCTATGTTGTACCCATGATTTACCTCCTGGGTGCATCTTACTGTGTGATCGCCTTTTTAAATGGGGTCATTTTATTGTTTCTTCCATTAAATCTTGGATGTTCATCCAAAAGGAAATGGCAGGTTTTCTTCTACAGTAATAAGAATTATAGTGAGGTTCTGCTGAGTTGGTTCTGGTGGGTGAAAGCATATTTTAAACCTAATTGTGAATACAGTCGTCCCTCAATATCCATGGGGGATCCATTCCAGGACATGACACCCCCTATTGCCTGTGGCTATCCAAATTCTTAGATGCTGAAGTTCCCTGTATTTGCATATAACTTATGCAGATCTTCCTGTTTAAATCATCTCTAGATTACTTATAATACCTAACACAATTTAAATGCTATGTAAATAGCTGTTATACAGTATATTTTTAATTTTTAATTTTTTTTTTTTTTTTGAGACGGAGTCTTGTTCTGTTGCCCAGGCTGGAGTGCAGTGGTGTGATCTTGGCTCACTGCAACCTCCGCCTCCCAGGTTCAAGCAATTCTCCTGCCTCAGCCTCCCAAGTAGCTGGGATTACAAGCACCTGCCACCATGCCCGGCTAATTTTTGTAGTTTTAGTAGGGACAGGGTTTCGCCATGTTGGCCAGGCTGGTCTTGAACTCTTGACCTCAAGTGATCCACCCACCTTGTCCTCCCAAAGTGCTGGGATTACAGGCGTGAGCCACCACGCGTGGCCTGTATTATTTTTTATTTTTATTTTCCAAATATTTTTGGTCTGTAGTTGGTTGAATCCCTGGATGAGGAACTGTGGATACCAAGTGTCAAGTGTGTATACCTCTACTTAACATATTTTCAAGTCATATTATAATTTGATTAGAATTGTTCTGATCTCTAAATCAGTAGTTTGATTTCTGTTTATTGAAAATTAGGCATACTTTCTTTTTCATAGTATGAGTCCTTTTTAAGGTTACAATAAAAGTAAATAGATCAGATTTCTACCCTGAGTTCCCAATTCCAAGCTCTAGTCACCATGTTTTAAATTATTTTATATTTTGGTTGGGTTCCTCTCTTAAAAGAAATTGCAGTAATCATGTTTTGACTGTATGTAGGTCTTTTGTATAATTTTCATAATACATTTAGAGCTAAAGTTTTTTTTGTTTTGTTTTGTTTTGTTTTGTTTTGTTTTAATCCCATGGCTAACTAAAGCCAATTTTGAGTCATTATGAGATTGACTGTTAACTGTGGTTTCCTATTAGGCTAGCAAACACAATTGATGTTATGTGTTATTTCTTTTGCGTTTGAGGATGCATTTTAAAAGAGCTATTGTTGGCCAGGTGCGGTGGTTCATGCCTGTAATCCCAGAACTTTGGGAGGCTGAGGCGGGTGGATCACCTGAGGTCAGGAGTTCAAGACCAGCCTGGCCAACATCGTGAAACCCTGTCTCTACTAAAAATACAAAAAATTAGCTGGGCGTGGTGGTGGGTGCCTGTAATCCCAGCTACTCGGGAGGCTGAGGCAGGAGAATCGCTTGAACTCGGGAGGCAGAGGTTGCAGGGAGCCAAGATTGCACCATTGCACTCCAGCCTGAGCAACAAGAGCGAGACTCTGGAAAAAAAAAAAAAAAGAAAAAAAATAGCTATTGTTATAGCGATTAGGTCTTACAATAATTTCGCATTTGTTATTATGACAGCAGGTGCAGTGGGGGTTTTAATTATACAATACAGCTTGTGCAGAGATTTCATATCAATATTTTGTGGTATCAGATAAACGTTAGCTCAGGGTTTGGACTGCATGTATCTTAGTAGTGTTAATAGGAGTCTTGTAGCTAACTCCCAAAGTGGATTTCTAAATGTGAACCTTGGTAAATCCAGGCTAATGCATTCCACCCTCCTTGAAAGTAATATCCAAAATTATCTTAAAGAAAACACTATCTGTGTTTTACTTGTTATTTTAGGGTGTGTCTTCCCAGATAGGTAGATTGTTAGGGAAAAGATAAGGAAGTGATTACCCTTATAAAGTAGAAACTATAACACTTGGCTAGATTCACGTTTCCTTAGCTGTACGTGAATACAGGACACTTAATTCATTGTGATTACAGGTGTCAGCTGGCCATGGAATCAGAGCAGCAGCCACCACATCTCAAATGCTACAGGCCTTTAACAACCAAGAATGAGAAACTGATTTTTGAGTTTTTCATTTGTGCAATTAAGGATTTTTTTTCCTTCATGTTGAAATGTGAGTTTTCTGGAAAAAAAAAAATTTACATCGAGTAGGCGAAGTCCCCATTTGCTTGTAAAGGTTCTTTCTCATTCACTGAGAAATACTAGTGTCTTTTTCCGATTCACCTAGAGTGAATGTATGCTGCATGTGTACTTGGGCAATTTAACAGTAACTAATATGGTGTCAGAGGAGTGAAGTATTGCTTTTTGCAGAGCCAGGTCCTTGTCTGTGTGTGTGCCCTGCAGACTATAAGAATGGAGGCTCCAGGGGATTGGGAAAGAAAAGTCCTGACCCAGGCTGTGCATGGCGTGCACAGACAGGCTTAGGAGGAGCCACGGCACACCCCGTCCTTGGTCCCCTGCTGAGGAGTTTGTATTTCGGCAATTACAAATCTTGTTTTGTGGTTCTTTTTATTCTGTATACAGCATAATTTTCTCCTTTCCTGTTTCTGATAATGATCATTTCTTAAATAACTTTTATAGAGCCCTTTGTATTTTGGAGTATTTTACAGACTTTTTTTTGTTTGTGTGTGTGTGTGTGTGTGTGTGTGTGTGTGTGTGTTTGCTACTTACAGGAAATGTATGAGATTGTAAAATCTTTGTTAGAATGGAAATCATGAAGACTAAATGATCGAGCATTGATATCATATAAAAGTTTTAATCTAGTTCAAAGTTAGGTGTCCTTCAAAATACCTCTTTCGCATGTTGGAGAAAAGTGTTATTTGGAACTTTAGTCTTTCTTTTTAGGTTTATTTTAGGTTATAATTGCACAGTTGTATGTGTTTAGGAATAGATTAAAATAGCTAAATTCTAAGGGTGCTTTTTTTTTGTTTTTTTGCTTTTTTGATCTTTGACATTTCTAAACCACAAGCTCTGCATTCTAGATACTATTGACCTAATGGAAAACATTGAAGCGCATTTTGCCTAAGGTAAAATTGACTCCCTGGTATCTTATATTTTTAAACTCATTCTTCTAAAGTTCTTCTAAAGAAGTCATTTCATTTTCTTTTCCCCTAGCCACTGGGATCCTTGCTTTTTAACGCTTTTCTTTAGAGCAGGCAGAATACTTGGATGCTTAGAAATTCTTTAACGGTACATCCTGGCTGAATATGAAGTATGAAAGCCCTTTCCAATTATATGTAAAGAAGTTAACGAGGAGGATGTTTTAGTTCGTTATTTGTGTCTTGGTTATAGAATGAATACAAAATCTGAATTGGGATGCTCTTTCTCTTATTTTAACTGTTGTTCCATGGTGCCCCTGCACCCAAAATGGGGCCGATTATATTGAAACAAAATTTGTTTTTCAATTTCTTGGATGTGTTACAACATGAATTCAGGCTTTGCAGTTTTAAGTGATTCCTTTAGTATTGCTTTTGTCAGTTGTTAACTATTTCTGTTTTGTTTTATATCACTGTGTAATGCAGGCCAAAACAAATGTTTTGGCATTTAATGATAGCTAATTGGTGTAGATTAAAATAATTATTAACTGTTTAATGGGATAGTTTAAAAATGACTTTGATGACTTCTGATGACCATATTGAGAAGGAAGGAAAGAAAAATAGATGTTCCTCCTCCTCTGTTGAAATGAAGACTGAGTTGTAATAGCAGTGGAGTGCAGCTCCCAGTAAGAGGTGTGAGGCTGTTTATTTTCACTCTGGAGATGTATATACTACAGAAGGAAAACTCTGGCCTTGCTTAACCTAAGCAAGTCATTACTTATCTACGATCTGTCAAGCAATTTGATTAAGGTTGACAGAGCTCATATAATATCAGAACCAGGCCCTCTTAATGATTGATGATGCTTGTCTGTAAGTTTTTCTTTTTTTAATTTGAAAAGAGAAAAATTGAACAAGAAAGACTACTTGTTCAGATCTCTAAATGCCCAGTATAAACTGTCTGTAGTATTTTTATCTATAGTGAGCAATATGCATTAATTTGTATGCTGTTTTTTAGGTTATAATTAAATGGCTTAAAAATAATAATTTTTCAGGTCTGCAGGTTAACTTGGCTTTTAAAGAATTAAATTGGGCTGGGCGCGGTGGCTCACGCCTGTTGGCTCACGCCTGTTGGCTCACGCCTGTAATCCCAGCATTTTGGAAGGCCGAGGTGGGCGGATCACCTGAGATTGGGAGTTTGAGACCAGCCTGACCAACATGGAGAAACTCCGTCTCTACTAAAAATACAAAATTAGCCAGGTGTGGTGGCGCATGCCTGTAATCCCAGCTACTTGGGAGGTTGAGGCAGGAGAATTGCTTGAACCTGGGAGGCATAGGTGGCAGTGAGCTGAGACTGCCACATTGCATTCCAGCCTGGGCAACAAGAGTGAAACTCCATCTCAGAAAAGAAAAAAAAAATAACTAAATTGTTGAAATTTTAGAGAACCTGCTTCATATCTTAGTATCTTTCTTAACATGGTTTTCTTTGATGCTATATATTCTTTATGTAGTAGAATTTTTTAACCTGCAGGAAATTTTCCTCTTCATTCTCTAATGAAATTGAATTATTTGGAAGTCTTTGGCTTTAACTTAAGGGATTTTTGACGCTTTGCCTTCTAACTATAAAATATGATTTGGATGATTGTAATAGCATATCTGGGGTGTTGAACGTTGCTGCTGACCTCTTTGCTCGAGTGTTCCTTATCTCATTCCCATTACCAACAGATTAATACAATGTGTGATGGGAATGTGCCAAGTGTTCTTGGCAACACTGTAAATCATTAGTCTACACTGTTGAGTCCAACTGAAGAAGACCATTTCTTTTCTTTTTTTTTTTTTTGAGACAGAGTCTCACTCTGTTGCACAGGCTGGAGTGCAGTGGTGCGATGTCGGCTCACTGCAAACTCCACCTCCCAGGGCTCAAGCGATTCTCATGCCTCAGCCTCCCAATTAGAGTAGCTGGGACTACAGGTGTGTGCCACCATGCCTGGCTAATTTTTGTATTTTTAGTAAAGACGAGGTTTCTCCATGTTGGCCAGGCTGGTCTTGAACTTCCGACCTCAAGTGATCCACCTGCCTCAGCCTCCCAAAGTGCTGGGATTACAGGCAGGAGCCACCACGACGGCTGAAGACCATTTCTTGATTTTTATCATTTATGTCATTCACGTACTACTCTCTGGAAGTAGATATGGGATTGAAAGACATCCACATCCTTATTTTATATAAACGTAGCATGTAGAATTTGTAGATTAATGAAATGATTGAATTTAGAATGAATTTGTGTTACATAAATGGGAGCTTTAACCTAGGCATTTTTGGGCAGTGTATTATAGCAGTTTAGACTAGGGTAGGTCCTGGAGTCAGAGAGCCTGGAGTCAAAGCCAGGCTCCACCATATTCTAGTGATGTGAGCCCTCTGTGCCTTGATTTCCCCATCTCTATATGGTGGTCCATGGGGCTATGGGATCATCCCATTTAGTCTTTACAGGCAAAATGAGGACACAATAGCTTGGGCTAGTGATTGGCACTTGCTAGGTACTTACTGCATGCGAGCAGTTGCTGTTGCTGTTCTGTTGTTCTGTTTGAGATGGAGTGCTTTTATTGACAAAATGTGATCTTATTGTGGTACAGGTTACTGAGAGACTGTCAAATCAAAATCAAATGAGTAGGATTAAAATTGAAGGAGCTCTTGCCGTGGGAGTAACTAGAATTGATTGTATGTGCTTGGGTTCGTGAGGACATGGCTCCTGGGAAAGAGAGCAGTTAGGGGAGTGCTGTAATAGGTAATGGTGAAAGTTTGGGTAAATTCCTGTATGTTCAAGCAACTGAACACCATCTTGATTTTCTTGCTTTAAATTTTCAATTTTGTTACTCTCCCTTTCCCCCTCCATCTCCTGAAGCTCAATGTAAACATTCTTCAGTTTAATACCAGGTAAATAACACTGATTTTTATAAGAGATGTACTTCATACCTAGCTTTACTAGGCTAGGTATGAAGCAAGGGATAGCTAAAAGCAAGGGGATAGCTATTGTTAGAATTCTTTGCTAACTTTACTGGTAATAGTTTTCTCCCAAAAGTATGAATGTTGTCATCGATGGGAAATCCCATTACTTCCTGGAATTTTCAGATGTATACTTAAATACTGAGCATGATTGTTACATCTGTTCTTTCAGGTTTCCTACTTTTCTTTTGGGCTTACATGTGTTTGGAGCAGATAAACACTTAACTGTGATTGGCAGTATTAAAACCACCAGTAAAGTACCATCCTCAAGGTGCCTCACAGAAAGAAATAGAGTAGAAGTGGGGTCACCAGAGCAGAGATTTGCCTGGAGATAGACCAGTGTGCATACTGTCAGCCCCACCCAGACACTCCCGTTTTGTTTCTAGCTGGCCAGGATAAGTACAGTGGAAGTTGACCTCAAGTGGCCATTGAAGATTGGGATTTAGTAATGGAGGGGGATCCAAAAAACTGGAGCCAGAAGGTGTTGTAGAATCGGAAAATGACAAGGGGGGCCACCGTCGCCCTTTTTCAGCTGGCTCTTGCCTTTCTGTCTTCAGCAGTGACAGTAACAATGCTTCAGAAAGTAGATGCTTGTCTTAAATATTTTTAAAAATATTATTTAGATAAGTCTCGAGAATCTCATTCTTTTCTTTGACCCCACAGATTGGTCTAATTACTGAATTTTTGTCACTGGTCTACAGGTCTTCAGAGCAGCACAGTAATTTTTGTAGCGATATTGAACATGTATGCAGGAGAAAACATTGTACCACAGCTCTAGAAATGCCTGGACTTTACGATACTCTGTGGGTCCCCTAAAATAGAGGATAAGTTTATTGCATTGCATTTATAGAATTTTATGAGGGTAATGGTCTTCATGGCTAGGGTAGCATTTATAAGATTCTTATAACTTTTTTGATTCTAGGGAATGGGAATCTTGTATTTGAAACTACAATTCTTATCCTACCATCCCAATACCATTCTTAGTCCAGATTTGTGAAGATGTGTGATCAAGGAAACAGCTATGTGTTTGGCTAGTTGTAATGCCGTTTCAGTGAATATGTCTTAATTGAGATGATAATATTCTGTATTTTGCTAAAAAGGGGCTAGCACTTAACCTTGAATGTGACTTTTTTTTGTTTTTGTTTTTTTTTTAGGACGGAGTTTCGCTCTTGTTGCCCAGGCTGGAGTGCAGTGGCGTGATCCTGGCTCACCGCATTCTCTGCCTCCCACATTTAAGCAATTATCCTGCCTCAGCCTCCAAAGTAGCTGGGATTACAGGCATGTGCCACCACGCCCGGCTAATTTTGTATTTTTAGTAGAGATGGGGTTTCTCTGTGTTGGTCAGGCTGGTCTCAAACTCCCAGCCTCAGGTGATCTGCCCACCTGGGCCTCCCAAAGTGCTGGGATTACAGGGGTGAGCCACTGTGCCCAGCCGAATGTGTGACTTTTTTGAAAAGGAAAAATTATTATAAAATCCTAATGTTGATTAAATAATTCTTATTTTTAATCTCATATAATTATTTATAAAATAAACTAAATGGAAACATCTTATAAAACTAAAACGAATTTCCAAAGTAAATACTGGCTCCAAAATCAACACAATTCAAAAATTTAAAATAATATTTTAAAAACGTTTAGATTGCTATTGTTATGTTTAATGATTGAGAACTATTTTTGTTTATTTTATATTTCCTTTGTCTGTTTTTTGATTCTTTTGATATTAAGCATGATTACCATTATTTTTTCTTTTTAACAATTTTCCCACAAATTTAAGTGCTTTAAACATTTTAAATTATTGGCCGGGCGTGCTGGCTCACGCCTGTAATCCCAGCATTTTGGGAGGCTGAGGCAGCCGGATCACGAGGTCAAGAGATCGAGACCATCCTGGCCAACATGGTGAAACTCCGTCTCTACTAAAAATACAAAAAAATTAACTGGACATGGTGGCGCGTGCCTGTAATCCCAGCTACTCGGGAGGCTGAGGCAGGAGAATCGCTTGCACCCTGGAGGCGGAGGTTGCAGTGAGCCGAGATTGCACCACTGCACTCCAGCCTGGGCGACGGAGCAAGACTCCGTCTCTCTCTCTATATATATATTTTAAATTATTATAGGTACCTAATAGTTGTATGTGTTTATGTAGTACATGTAATGTTTTGACGAAGGCATAACAGTGTGTAATGATCAAATCAGGGTAATTAGGTTTTCTTTGTGTTAGGAACATTTCAATTCCACTCTTTTAGTTATTTAAAAATATACAATAAATTATTGGTAACTGTAGTCACCCTGTTGTAATACTGAATACTAGATTTTATTCATTCTATCTAATTATTTTTGTACCCATTAGCCATCCCCACTTTATCCCCACCTCCCTGCTGCCCTTCTGAGCCTCTGGTAACCATCATCCTATTCTCTGTCTCCCTGAGTTCAATTTTAAAAAATTTTTAGCTCCCACATATGAATGAGAACATGTGAAATTTGTCTTCCTGTGCCTGGCTTATTTCACTTATCATAATGTCCTCTGATGCCATCCATGTTTTTGCAAATGACAAGATTTCATTCTTTTTATGGCTGAATAGTATTCCATTTTGTGTATATACTACATTTTCTTTATCCATTCATCCGTTGATGGACACTTAGGTTGATTCTATATTTTGGCAATTGTGAATAGTGCTGTGATAAACGTGGGGATGCAGATATCCCTTTGATATATTATACTGATTTCTTTTCTTTTGGATATATATCCAGCAGTGTCATTGCTAGATCTTACCGTAGTCTGTTAACAGTGAATTTGTTTTTAACAATCCATTATTTTGCAGGGCAGCCACTTTAAAAGTACTCCCCGATATATAATACCAAAGTATGAAGAAAACCCATTCAATGAAAACTTTTTGTTATGTATTAATAATTACTTTTTGTTGATGAACCATATTAACATGGGATCTGTGCAGTATGTGTGTTCCTGCTTTGTGTAAGGTCGTTTCCTATGTCGTGCTTTTCAAGTTTGGCACACCAGTGCTGCCATGAACCGGAAGATAAATCTCCCACGTTTCTTTTTACCTGTTTCAAACTTTGTTTGTACAGCATTCTATAATGTCATGTGGCCTTCAGATGTCATCTCTGTGATCCAAAAATGCAAATGCACCTGGGCACTGAAATTTTGGGACCTGTCTTTGGTTGATGTTCCGGACTTCGCTGGATCAAATTATCACCATAATTTATTGATCAGCAATGCATAACCACAGTGACCTTTTTTTTCAGTCAATTTCATACCTCCTGAAATCCATCCGCAGATTAGAATAGAACTAAAACCTGGTAAGTTTGAGAATCTTCCAGAATGACACATGGCCATCGATTCACACTGAAGTGAGTGGATGTAAGCGCAACTGTGTACTCAAGGCCTTTCTTTTGCTTAGGAAGCTGTGTATGGCGCGGGAAGGCTTAGGCCTGGGGTTGCCCTGGGTGCAAACCTCACCCTGTCTTTATTTGCTGTGGTCCCTTGGGGAGGCTATCTGAGTGTTCTTTGTTTTCTCATTTGTAAAATGGAAATAATACCTATCCTTAAGTTTGTTTGAGGATTGGTAACAATGTCACTGGTAGAGGGTCCTGACTGCAAGTTGTCCAGGTTCTGGGCATTTTGAACAAAGGATTGGACAAAACGCCCAGCAAAGCAAAGAAAGAATGAAGCAACAAAAGAACGAAAGTAGGGATTTACTGAAAACGAAAGTACACTCCACAGTGTGGGAGTGGGCCAAGCAGCGGCTCAAGGGCCCGGATACAGAATCTTCTTGGGTTCAAATACCCCCTAGAAGTTTCCTGTTGGCCACTTCATGCTCATCTCATGTCAGTTAAGTGGTAGCCTGCAATCGGTCTGATTGTTTGCAGGAAGGAGCCAACCAGAGGCCCAAGTGAAGTTACAAAGGTAACACTCCTGTGCAAACATCTGATTGGTTGCTTTTTGCAAAGTTATACTTCTGTGCAAACGAAGACTCAGCCCACAATCAGTCTGATTTGTTGCGGACAGCCAGTTTCCCACCTGCCATGCAGAAAAGGTCAAAGCGAGTAGCCTCTGGTTCTTTTGTTACTTAGGTGTCGAAAGTTAGGATTTTCCTTTCAATTTAGTTCTAGGAAGTCGGTGTGAAACAGCCTTAGGTTCCCTGCCTCCAGACCCTATTCTCCTGCCTCAATAATGTATGTAAAATCGGCCAGGCGAGGTGGCTCACGCCTGTAATCCTAGCACTTTGGGAGGCCGAGGCAGGTGGATTGCCCGAGCTTAGGAGTTCGAGACCAGCCTTCGCAACACGGTGAAACCCGGTCTCTACTAAAATACAAAAAAAGAAGCCGAGCATGGCAGCGTGTGCTTGTAATCCCAGCTACTTTGGAGGCTGAGGCAGGAGAATCACTTGAACTGGGGAGGCGGAGGTTGTAGTGAACTGAGATTGTGCCATTGCACTCTAGCCTGGACAGCAGAGCGAGACTCCCGTCTCAAAAATAAAACTAAAGTAAATAAATAAAATCTTTGAACCATAAACTTAATAATTAGTAGTTATAAACCTAATAATTGGTAGCTGTTATTATTCTTTGAATAATCTCATAAACCACTTGTTCAATAGGATGCATAAAAAAAATATATGTTTCTGCACAATCCAGTTCTTGTCTGCTTTGTGGAAGAAAGAGGCTGGGGTGGATTAGATTATCAGAATTATTTGGCAAGATTTTTCATACTGCATGTGTCCCACCTTCTTGCCACTTACAGGTGACCCACAATTACCACTGGGAATGTGGCATAACTGCTGTGCTGAGGCAGAAAAATGAGTACTGTTGACTAAAAACAGTTGAGTCTTTCTTGGGCAGCTCTGATTTAAGTACTTGTACAATATTTTAAAATCCTAATCTTATAATTGCGTATGAAGATGAATTTATGTAAATAAATCAGCAAATTGGCCGGGCTTGGTGGCTCACGCCTGTAATCCCAGCACTTTGGGAGGCCGAGGCAGGCAGATCACCTAAGGTCGGGAGTTCGAGACAAGCCTGACCAACATGGAGAAACACCGTTTCTACTAAAAATACAAAATTAGCTGGGCGTGGTGGCTCATGCCTGTAATTCCAGCTACTCAGGAGGCTGAGGCAGGAGAATCGCTTGAACCTGGGAGGCAGAAGTTGTGGTGAGCCGAGATCACGCCATTGCACTCCAGCCTGGGCAACAAGAGCGAAACTCTGTCTCAAAAAAAATAAATCAGCAAATTGATATTGCCTAATATTGACAGGGAACAACTCACATGCAAGCTGGATTAACCTCACGTGTATGTGTAGGTTAAATTAGCATTGTGGCAGACTGTTTAAAAAGTGTATTGACTTTCCTTACATATTTACCAAATTTAAGACTTAAAAAGTGTTGGCAAGAGGCGGGATAGATTGACCTGATGGTTTTAAGAAGATTTATTAAACTATTTGTGGTTTGACCCAGTTAGTTTGTCCACTACTGTTAAAATCTACTTAAAATTTATCCTAAGAAGTTATCCTATTTAGTACTAGCATTATGTGGTAGAATTTTGTTTTAACATAGTTTGCTATTACGTGATTTTGACTATACAGAAGTTCATATGTTGTAGGAAGCCCAACTATGTTCAGTAAAAACCTGACAGTTTAGCCAGTAATGCCCATCTGTGTCATAAGTGTGTGAAGAGAGTCTGTTGTGTTTGTTTTGGCTACAGATCCTTAGAGCATCCTAAATGTAGAGATTTCCATTTACCCACAGTTGGTCATATGCCTTTTAGAGCTTTTAAGATCATAATGTTTTTGCAGCCCACCAAGTCATTTCTATTTGTGAACAAAATAATAGTGCCTTTGGTGTTGTTTGTGGTCTTTTTCCCTTAGGTTTAAAGGGACCCTTTTGTTAAACTATTTTAATTTTTGCCCTTTTTTTTTTTTTTTTTTAGACAGTCTCACTCTGTCGCCCGGGCTGGAGTGCAGTGGCACGATCTCGGCACACTGCAACCTCCTCTGCCTCCCAGGTTCAAGTGATTCTCCTGCCTCAGCCTCCTGAGTAGCTGGGATTACAGGCGTGCACCACCACGCCTGGCTAATTTTTGTATTTTTAGTGGAGACGGGTTTTCACCATGTTGGTCAGGCTGGTCTGGAACTCCTGACCTTGTGATCCGCCCGCCTCGGCCTCCTAAAGTGCTGGGATTACAGGCGTGAGCCACTGTGCCCAGCCTGCCCATGTTTTTACTGTAGCGCTGCACCATGCTCTTGGTTAGTCGCCTTGACTTTAGTACCTTTTTTTTTTTTTTTTTTTTTTTTTTTTTTTTGAGACGGAGTCTTTCTCTGTTGCCCGAGCTGGAGTGCAGTGGCACCATCTCGGCTCACTGCCAGCTCCGCCTCCCGGGTTCACGCCATTCTCCTGCCTCAGCCTCCCAAGTAGCTGGGACTACAGGCGCCGGCCACCAGGCCCGGATAATTTTTTGTATTTTTAGTAGAGACGGGGTTTCACCGTGTTAGCCAGGATGGTCTCGATCTCCTGACCTTGTGATCCGCCCACCTCGGCCTCCCAAAGTGCTGGGATTATAGGCGTGAGCCACCGCGCCCGGCCTTTAGTACCTATTTTTAATTATATATCCTATAATCACTTTTTAAAAATTGTTGTAGTAAAACATAAGTCATTGTGGTTGTTAAGTAACTTCATAATTCCCAGAAAACATTGCTGAGTTTCTCACAGTGTAAGTTCTTTCATTTATCACAATTTACTAAGCACTCATTTTGTGCAAGGTATTTCCCAGGTGGTGTCTGTACAGTGATGAGCAAAATAGACAAGGTCCCGTTTCTTATGGAACTGACAAACTAGTGGTTAATCTAGTTCCTCTAGAAATTTTTTAAAAAGTTATTTTTTAGAGCAATTTTAGATTCACGGCAAAACTGAGTGGAAGGTACAGGGATATCCCATATACCCCCCGGCCCTCTGTTCCCAAAGACCTTTTTTGCATTTATGTGACCTGTGAGTAAGCTAGTCTAGCTCTTTTACTTATTTATTTATTTATTTGAGTATAGTGAGTCAGGTAGGATCATCTGCTCTGTCCGTTCATGACCCTTCCTTGGCTATGATTTTTACACAGGGGAAATCAGATTAAAATGAAAGTGAAGGCCATAAGTGCGGAAGGAAAACAGTTTTAAAACATGATGTTGGAGAGCAGTGTGCTGAGAGCGAGCAAGGGGGCAATGGGGGGTTTCGAGTGGAATGTAGGGCTGCTTGTGATAAGGGTCCTGCCTCTGAGACATCAGCTTCCCAGCAAGGTCTAAGAGTTCGGCTTATTTTGGAGGGGAAGCTTAAGAAGACAGGGATGGGACTCTGAGACACATTGGGTCTTTTTGAGTGGCAGAAACCTGTCACTGCTGAGAAGAGTGATAATGCTGCTTTAGGGAGACCATTGGCTGACACTGAGGATGAAGAGCTGAGGAATACCTGCGTTTACAGATGACTCAGCCTGTTTCATAGCCAAATGTGTGGTGTTGAGCAGTTGTAGTATAATCCTACTGATTTAAGACAGTGAAAATGTTAAGTCTCTAGATTAGTTGTTTTTTGACACTGATCTTTGAACCAGCATGATCTTTAATGAAGGTTTTATATTCGTCTGGAGTGAAATGAGAAGCAGCTAACCAAAAAACTTAAGCTGCATTTATACTGAAATTACTTCTTGCTTACTACTTTGTTTTCTAATGAAATACCAATAGTAGATGGCAGTGACTAATTTTTAAAAAATGTTTTTAGGGCAGATTTTGGAAAGCTTACATAGGATATATAGCTGTTTTGTTTGTAAATTTTCTGTTTATTAAAATCCCAAAGTTTGGGAACCATTGCTATAGTTTCCATTGAGTAAAATGACCTATGTACAATTATCTGTCTTGGAAAATGGTTTCTGTGCTGTTTCTCATGCTAGATGCTTCTTCACCTGTAAGATTTATGCCCAAGTTTTTGTGATGCCTCAGTATCAAGTAGGGTTCTCTCTCTCCAGCCATAGACTTAAGTTGGCTTTTTATTCTTCTCCAACAGAAATGGAAATAGCTCTCTTCGTTTTAGGGGCACATTCATTGTTCCATGTACTGAGGTTAGGAGGCGAGTACCTAAAAGCCTCTGTCTATATAAAAGCTGCTTTGTTGATGTTTTATTAGTACTACTGTTGGCTCTTTTAATTAGTAATATGTTTTATTTGCACCCCGAGGCTGTTCAAGCAAAGAAGGTAATTTAAATCAACAAAATTATTTCTTATGTTTTGGAATACCTACACTTGCCATCTGATCCTTTACTCTTGAGGTACTTACTTATGTTGGCAGGGAAGCTAGGAAGAGAGAAAGATGTTTATGTGGAGTTATGAAACATCTTAAAACGTAAGTTCTTGGAACACTTTGCAACTAAATAGTTTTCAAATTGGAAATGCTCTTTGTTCATAACCAGAGATTCTTTTTTTTTTTTTATTTTGAGACGGAGTTTCGCTCCTGTTGCCCAGGCTGGAGTGCAGTGGGACAGTCTCCGCTCACTGCAACCTCTGCCTCCTGGGTTCAAGCGATTCTCCTGCCTCAGCGTCCCGAGTAGCTGGGATTACAGGTGCCCGCCACCATGCCCAGCTAATTTTTGTATTTTTAGTAGAGACACGTTTTCACCATGTTGGCCAGGCTGGTCTCGAACTCCTGACCTCAGGTGATCCTCCTGCCTCGGCCCCCCTAAGTGCTGGGATTGCAGGCGTGAGCCACCATGTCAAGCCTGAGATTCTTTTTTTAAGATAAATACTGAGTCTTCATGAGAAGACCTATCTCTTCTACTGTATACATATTTCTGACAGTCTTTCCAGAATTCTACAGATACCTCAATGATTGTTTGACAGTGGCTGTGACGTTCACAAAGTAAAGTTGGCTAGGGAAATTTCTGCAAATTCTTTACCTGAATGTAAAGTGAAAGGCCCGCCTCTCCAGGTTCTTAGAATGAAACTGAACTTCACGTCTCCTACTGTTTTTTTTCTTTTTAACTTAGCTTTTTGATTTTTTTGACTGAACATGAACAGTCTTTTTGCTTGCAAACTGAAGTGATGAACTTAAATGTTTAGAGCTGAAATTTTGTCGACTTTGGATATCTTTGCTGTTTTTTCCCCCTTTCCTCTTAGTGCAGTCATTTTTGGAGCCTGCCATAGATGAGGCAAAACTATAGTGTAAGATAAACTTTTAAGTGTTTGTGTGTTTTTTCATTTACACATAGCAGTTGTAAATATTTGTCATAGAATTCCAAAGCTGGAAAAAAACTGTGGAGTTTTTTTTCCTTTTGCAGACAGAACCTAAGCCATACTAAGTAAGTGTTCTGCCTATCATACTCTGGGAAAAGGAGATAAATCCATTTAGACTACCAACTGATAATTTTGTTTTAAATATATTGTTTTAGAAAATTAGGGATCCTGTCATGTTTTGAAACTTTTTTATACCAAAAAAGTTTTAAATTCAATTGCTTATGAATTGCTATACAAGAGTTGAAGATGTCAGAGATTGAGTGTTTTAAGAAATGAGGTCAAGGTCTCTGTTATTTTATTCTGCTTTATCCCCCACCCATATTTGTTCCCTAACTACTTTGAATATAGGTACTCAATATATTTTTGCTCTATAAATGAATGAAAAACTGCTCTTTGCAGTTTTAGGTTGTAGATTCCAACCCCACTCATAGTCTGTCCTTAGAAAATGGGTTGAATGGGCTGGGTGCAGTGGGTCACGCCTGTAATCCTAGCACTTTGGGAGGCTAAGGTGGGCAGAGCCCTTGAGATCAGAAGTTCAAGACCAGCCTGGCCAACGTGGTGAAACCCATCTCTACTAAAAATACAAAAATTAGCCGAGCATGGTGGTGCACACCTGTGGTCCAGCTACTCGGGAGGCTGAGGTGGGAGGATCGCCTGAACCCAGGGAGGTCAAGGCTGCAGTGAGCCATAATTGTGTCACTGCACTCCAGCCTGGGCAACAGAGAGAGACTCCATCTTCCAAAAAAAAAAAGAAAGAAAATGGGTTGAATGAAGAGATTTTAGAAAATTAAGGATCCATCCCCCAGCATTCTTATAATCCTCAGACTCAAATTAGTTATATGATGTTATATAAAGAATAAAGTTGTAGGCTGGGTATGGTGGCTCACATGCCTGTAATCCCAGCACTTTGGGCGGCTGAGGCAGGCAGATCGATTGAGGCCAGGAGTTTGAGACCAGCTTGGGCAACATGTGAGACCCTGTCTCTACAAAAAGTGGAAGAATCAGCTGGGCGTGATGGCTTGCGCCTGTGGTGCCAGCCACTTGGGAGGTTAAGGTGAGAGGATCACTTAAGCCCAGGAGGCAGAGGTTGCAGTGAGCCATGATTGCACCACTGCACTCCAGTCCGGGCAGCAGAGCGAGACCCTGTCTCAAAAAAACAACATGAGTAAAGTTGTACGTTTTAAGAAAACTCACTAAAAACAAAAGAAACCCTCATGTTGTGCACAGAAGTCCACAATGACAAGTCCTTCAAAGAAGAGTGAGGCCTACAAGGGTATATACAGGTAGAAATGTATTCTATAAACATAGGGTCTGTTATTGTTTGACTATGAAATATGAGTATAGTATAATACAAAAGCCTTAAGAACTATGCCAAGACTTATACATGAGAATTGTTTCTTTAAAGAAGCCAGTTACCTTGGGAAACTGCATATTTAATCTCTTGTTACTCTTGTTGTGCCAAGAAATTTGGAGTCCTTTTAAAATTACCTTTATTGCTTGTGGTACATTAAAGAAAGTGTTTGATGTTCTTGATTTTTTGGAAATTGATTTTTTGGAAATAGTCATTAATGAATAAATTGGGTCATAATGTTGGAGTTAAGACTATATGTGTTTAAAAATCAGATGTAATCATAATGAGAATATTCATGCCTGCTTTATACATTGATACCAAAAATAATTAATAAGGGATTATGTTTTGCACAGAGAAGCATCATTGGAATAAGTTTTATCTGGGTTCCAGGTTGGGTCTATCTGCGGCTGTGTTTTTTTAGTAGTATGTATACATATGTGTGTATTTATATGTGTGTGTATGTACCTTTTCTGTATCAGTGTCTGTGAATTATTTCTTTGACCATCCTGCCAGTGTTGTGTTACAATCTGGCCACTGCCGCTTCGTGCATGTGTGGCCTAGCAGAGTTGTTCCAACAAACTTTGCTTTATTTTTGATAGTCAGGCCGGACCTGATGCCAAAGGCCACTTCTCGGGCTTTTCTGCTTGGACTAAAACTTCATGCTATGTTGTGTTATGTTTACAAAGATATTGTGATCCTAATTGATTTGTTTTTCTATTTTCTAGTTTCATCAGGGCATTGTATCCTGATGGTTACTTTGGTTTTAACTGCCTGGCACTGATTTTGAGTTTTCAAGGGTGCAGGTTTTCCTGACATAGGCCAATTTGTGTTTTTACTTAATTTTAGACTTGTCAGTCAATTGGTGCCAATTATGTACTAACTGCATAGTAATCTGTGATTGACTTGTATGTCAGCTTATGAATGTGCTTGAAGAACCCCTTTATCAATGCACAGCCTCTCTTCCATGGTAGGATGACAGCTTTGATGAAGCTGTGTCTGACCTAATTCCCATTACCAGTTTGAACAAAGCAGGGGCTGATAAGAAATCTAGATTTCTTCCATTATTTTATGTGGCCAAGTTTAAAGATGGAATAAGGTACTTGGAAACTAGTATTAATATGTTCTAGGTCTCTAGGAAACTCGTAACTTGACGGTAAGATAATGTAAAAGTCATTGTGGCAGAGACCCAGTGTTCAGCCAGCGTTGATTCAAGTTTATTTGCAGCAAAGATCCTTTTCCAAGATTTGTTTTTTTCTTATCTGCCTTTTCAATGCTTGACTGTGTATATTTGAATAATGTACTTCATGGAAATGAGTTTCTCCTTGAGGATTTTTTCCTTGTTATTAAAATGGAATCTAAGCCAAACCCCATGAGGGTGAGTCTTTTGTAACTGCCAGGGAAACTCTTATACTTAGGTTAGTCCAGTGCATAAGTCAGTAGGGTCTAAGCAAAGCGCTGGACCTGTTAACAACTACGTTAATTATATTACCTAACACCTATATGGGGCACTTTTTCAAATGTTTCCATATTCCTCCTGCTCATCCTCCAGCAGAAGTTAGTCAAATGTGTGTCTACATCTTTGCAATAGCTAGTTCTTAGCAAACTTAGCTTTTAGCATTTGTTTTGTGGTTACCATAACGGTTATTTTTTCCCATAAAGCCAATTCCAGTGACAAACTTGAAAAGCTACCAAGTGCTGGATTTGTGGAAGTGTTGACTCCATGGGACTTGCAAAATAATCCCCTTGAAATTTTCTATATTTTGTCTTTTTAATAATCTCTCTCACGCTGCTTTTTAGAATTTCACCATTTGTATGCAGCTATGCTTTTAAATATTTATAATGCTCCTGTACAACCCACTGTGGATGCCAGGATTATCTTCACAATTCTTGGCTTCCTGTGCTCTAGTGGCAGGAAGAAATAGTCTCTTAGAAAGAGAGTGGAACAGGAACACTTGACTTTTTTTTTTAAACACACAAATATTGTGAATAGAACCTAACTGAGCTTTTGCCCCCTCTCCTTTGGTGTAATTAGGACCACATTGATTCCTGTTGCAGCTGGCAGCCCCTCACTGTTGCCTTTTTCTGCGTGTGACCCTTGATCTCAGTGACCTTTCCTGGGGTTCGTCCTGGGCCCTTTTCATTGTGTTGGAGCTGAAGAGGCTCATGTGGAGTTGATTATTTCTTTGCTCATTTGGCCTTTTTGGTGCCATAACTCCAAGTCACTTCCATTTTCTTCCTCTACTTTTGGCAGTCCACGGTGAAAGGAAATGCTTTCGCAGGCAGCAGGATCGTTTGTATGCTTGGCTGACTCGACTGAGACTTGGGAGAAGTGGGGGAAGGGTTGCGAAGTCTGTAGGTGTGAACTTTTTTTTTTTTAAGTTGATCTGAATGATTGCACGATCATTAATAAGTGCTTATAAAGTAAGTACTGTGGAAAGCTGCATTTCACACCCAGGGGCTTCATCCTGGCAGGAAGAGAGCACTCCCAGTGATTGGCAGGGGGCCTTGGTGTCTGAGATCCTGCAACTTTACTTTGATGAGATTTATATGTTCCTCCTATGGACTGGGAGTGATGCGGCAGGTCAGAAGATACATCATTGTTAATTGCACATGACTGCTTTAAGAAATTCTTAAGTTTCTAAAAGAACCCCCATACGCCCCAGAGAGTAGCATGCTATTAGATAGTATGTTTGTTGCGACTAGACTTGTAGCACTCTGTTTGCCTCTCCTTTCCTCCTGTAGAATCATGGAAGATGTATGCCAGCTGTTACTCTCATTTTGGGAGAACCCCTGTGGACAGCATGAAGACCGTCCCTAATCAAAGCCTTTAGTAAGCATGAAGGAATGTGTCTGATTACCCTACACTGTAGTACCTTGGAAAGGTATAACAGTGTGAAATGTGAAATTAAATCACATTAAGAAACTCATTTTTAAAGTCTGACTGTTTGACTCCATCCCTGGAATATCATTTCTGTCTTTTCCTTTTTTTTGCTTTAAAACTTTTTCATTAGTAGTATTGATAGTGTGGTTTATTTTGAATGAGGAGTTTCTGTCCCTTCAAGCATGATAGTTTTGGGATTCAGCCTGAGCCATAGTTCCGTGTGTCTGCTGTTGCCCACCAGAGTGTCATCTGCGACCCAAATCTCTTAAGAGCTTCAGGCTTCTTTCTGCTTGCCTGCCCAACCTTCCTTAGAACCCCACTTACCTCCAGCTCCTCTTGTTATCTCCACACCTTCAGACGCTCTCCATTCCCTCTACCACCTCAAACAGCAGCAGCAGACCACAGAAGACCCTGCTGCTCCCATCTCAGTAAATGCACATCATCCACTCACTCACTTGTCTGAGTCAGAAGTCTGGACAGCAGCCTCGATTCCTTATTTACAGTCACAGCAGTGGGGAAATAGAGCAGTGGACAGATGAATGGATTCCAAAGATGTCCTAGGTCCTAGTGGTCTATTCTTTTCCAGTCCAACTCATTCATTATCAAAGTCCTGTTGATCACAGGGCCTCACTCTGTCACCCAGGCTAGGAGTACAGTGGTGCGATCATAGCTCACTGCAGCCTCAACCTCCTGGGCTCCAGGGATCCTCCCACCTCATCCTCCCAAGTAGCTGGGACTACAGGTGTGCACCACCACACCTGGATAATTTTTGTATTTTTGGTAGAGATGGGATCTCCCTATGTTGCCCAGGCTGGTCTTGGAATTTCTGTGCTCAAGTGATCCACCCACCTTGGCCTCCCAAAGTGCTGGGATTATAGGTGTATGCCACCGCTCCTGGCCTCTTACGTCTTTTAAATATGACCGTGTCTTAAAAATTTTTGAAAAACCTTTCAAATTTATCCCGTGATATTTCTCCAGTACAGGTCCCCGTATCTCTCACCATAGCCTTCTAACTTCTCTTATCCTCAACTGTTTTCCACATTGCAGTGTCAGCGATTTTTCAAAGGTACGGGACTGATCATGTCCTTGCCTGCTTAAAAGCCTTTGACACCCTCCTCTCAGAATAAAAGCCAAACACTTTAATATGATTTATATTGTTCTTTACACTCTTGTTTCTGCTCATTTATGTTGCTTTCCCCTCACTGTGTCTTATCCTTCTCTTCTTACTGTATTTTCCAGCCCAGACATCCTTACTCTGATTCTACAAACACACTGTTCCTTCTGCTTGAGATACTTCCTTCCTTCTCTTCCTCCCTTCCTCTACTCCATCCCCCAAACGTATCCCTCTGATTTCACCTAGTCAGTTGTTTCCTCTGAGAAGTCTTCACCTCTCCAAGTACAAATCTAGGTTAAGTGAGCCTTCTCTTTTTCCTGGAGCACCTGTATTTGCTTTATTCTGTTGCTTACCTGTCCCTTTCTCATGTAACTGCTTTAATCTCTGAAAACCTTTATTTCCTAAAAATTCTGCCTTTTAGTGTAAAGCATGTCTATTGCTTTTCATGGAAAGAGTCATGATATGTTCTGTCCCAATCCAAGATAGCCAGATTTCACAGATAGAAAAACATGTCAATGGAGCAGTGAAAGCACATTTGTAGAGATGGTAAAAGATACTTTAAAAGTAAATAAATCCAGTTTGTTCTTAAATAAAATGCACTGAGTTTATTATGCTTGTCAAAGGAGGAAGAGAAGCCTTGAGGCTGGTGAAAGAGGAATGGTGAGCAATTCCTTCACGGGTGGTGTAGAGTCAGGAAATGGATTTTTGGACACTGGAAGTCATCTTAAGGCTCGTAGTTACCTCGCATTCAAACTGCACTTAGAAAATAAAAGCACTTAAAATCACCTTATGGCAAAACAAAAGCTCAACACAAGAGTGTTTCACAACTCGCGGAAATGGTGCACACACACTGCAGACAGAAGATTAGTAGAATCTCACTAATTAGTGGAATCTCACAGAAGATCAGGAGAATGCCCACTGTCCTCCCCCTCAGTTGGCATCTGAACACAAAGCACAATGTTTGAGGTCATCCAAACACAGCAAGCAATTCACTTTTTTCTACGTGACGTGGTGTAAAGTCTAAAAACTGTGGTATTATATAAATTGGTGTGTGCAGCTTTGCCTGAAGCTATAATATCACTTTTTAGAGTGTTTTCTTTAGTTTCTGATTGGAAAAGTTGTACTGAATAAAACGAAGCTGTATTTTAAAAAAAGTGAAATAACTTTCTAAGAGCCATTATTGCAAAAAGTTGCTATCTGAGCCATTCCCATGTTAGACGAGTCTGTATTTTAATTGCTTCCTTACTTGTCACATGTCCTCACCTGGTTGTAAGCCTCATGTGGGCAGACACTGTGTCTCTTTTATTCATGGTTGAGTTTCCAGGATAGCTCAGTGCCTGGTATATAGTAAGCATGCACCAAGTATTTACTGAATAAAAGATGAATTCCTCTGCTTTGAACTCTTTCAATACTTTTTACTCTCTTATTGCATTTAAGACTTTTTTCTTTATTCTGGAGATAATTATGTTCGTGCCCTTCTTAGTTGAGCAGTTTCCTTTAGTTTGGTATATCTTTGCACCCCTCATAGGTTCTTGCCCAAAGTAGATGTTCTATGTATTAAATGGTTTGATTGAATGAATACTTACTTGAAAAGCAGAGTTATTTGAGAAGTTTGTGTAG
Source organism: Homo sapiens (assembly GCF_000001405.40). NCBI lineage: Eukaryota > Metazoa > Chordata > Mammalia > Primates > Hominidae > Homo > Homo sapiens. The sequence goes on along the minus strand of NC_000011.10, from coordinate 126,030,890 downwards.
GAAATGATGTTAACTTCTTAGTTAAATTAAATATTCAGAATGAAGAAAACTGACAGGAGATTTAAAGTTGCCTGTGGTTAAGGTCAAGGTAGCCCAATGGGTTAAAAAACAGTATATACTATATTTGACTTCCATAATTGAAATTGGACTGCACTAATCTTGATAGTACTTAATGAAGAATTTTTAAGTAGACATGTTTTAGTTTTTCTTTGTAGTTCTGAAAATAATTTTTTCTTAGCTGATCAATAGCATATTTTGAGATAGATTGTTTGAAAATCGAGATGAATCATTGTTTTAAAAAAGGAAATTACCATGTTTCATACAGAATAAGATTCTTTTTAAAAAACGGAATCTAACTTAAATAATTTCCTATTTTGAAGAACTATAACTGATCTCAAAGCCAAGTTTTTGTTCACAAATTAATCACAGTTATTTCCTAAGCTTGAAAGAAAACTACAAGAAAGTTTGAAATAGGAGGCTAGGAAGAGGAATGATTCAGAAAGACAGCCTTCATCATCCTTATGAAAGCAAAGGCGTTGCTTCAAAAACAAAGTAATCAAATCTAGAAATTCAGGAAAGACTTTTCCCAAAGGATTATTCTGGCAGCATGTTGAAAAGGGGTTATAAAAGCAATAAGTTCACAACCTGAACAATAAGTTAAGTAAACGTTAGGAAAGTATTTCCTTTCTTATTCTAAGATGAGGTATACCTTTAGCTTCCCTCTGCCCACAGAAATGCTCTAAGCTTGGCATGGCATATAAAGTAGAGCTTATAGGACAGATTGCCTTCTATGTGGATGTGGGAGAAAGGCTTAAAGAAAGCCTTATAACTTAGGAAACACCAGCTGTTGTTTAGTGACATTTGGACTTTGGGAGCAGTACTTGTGCCACATGAGACTGGGGAGCCTCCAGAGATTTTTACAGCATTGAGCAATAAGTTGTCCTGCTTTGTAGATGGTTTAATGGTTTTACTACACTTAGCTGCATTTTGTGTGTTTGTGTGTGTGCATGTTCTACAATCTTTTTCCGGAGAGACTGTACTACCAGGCGCTTTCCTGAGAGCAAAGGGACCACTAAGCATCTTCTCAGACAAATCACCCACTCAGAATGTCGGTGAAAAGAATGGAATTGTGTTGGCCACTAGCTTTATATGAAGATGGGAAGGAGATGGAAGAACTTTCTCGTGGTCATGCTAATTCCATTTGAGACCACTGGGTTCGATGAGCCCGTCACTTCTGTTTTTCACATAAGGAATCAAATTCAAATTCTAACCTCTTCACTGATTTTATTACCTCTAGTAGATTAGGGAAATAGAGATACATATATATATATATATGTTACATGGACAAGAAAAGCAGTAAGAAAGGGAGAATACGGTTTTGAAATGAATGGCAATTTACTGTTTTGAATGTCAGCAAATATTCCCTTAGAGTGTCAGCAATTTTTGCATACAAATTTATTTTGAGAAACATGTGTAATGAGTTAAAACCACACGGTGTAATGACAGTAACTCCTTATTCTACTATATAATAGATTATGGGTAAAAAGCGAGATTTTGTGTCCACGTTGTTTTTTGTCATTGGAAGTTCAAGGATTGACAAGGTTTGATGAATATGGCCTGCAATGCCCATGCCTTACATTCTTTTTCCAGTTACTTTTATGTAACTTTAGAATATTGTTTAAAAAAATCCCTAATAGAGAGTGAAAGTTGCTTTATGCCTTAGCAAGTATTTTAGTTCATTACTCAAAGTCAAGATTCGTATCCACACTTTGCTTACCACAGTGTGAGGATCTAAACCATATGTCAGTGATGGGGAGTTACCTTCATGTGCCAATTTTGGTTGTGAGGGATGGGGTTGGCTATTGGGGGCCTCTTTTTGGAACACGACTTGACAATATGTATTAAGAGTCTTGAAAATGTTTGCACTCCCTGATCCAATAATTCTATTCCTAAAAATGTCCTAAGGGCATAATTAGAAGAGTGGTTTAAGATTTATGGACAAAATATTCATAGAGTGTTATCTAGAATAGCAAAAAAGTAACATATATATATATATACACACACACACATACATATACACATATATAAAAATGTAGCCTAACTATCCAAAAGAGAATGGTTAAGTAGACTAAAATACAAGACATAATAAATAAATAAATAAATAAATAAATAAATAAATAAATTCTCCGCAGCTGTTAAAAGTTTTATTTATGAAGAATTTTAATAAGGGCCAGGAGCAGTGGCTCATGCCTGTAATCCTAGCACTTTGGGAGGCTGAGGCAGGTGGATTGCTTGAGGCCAGGAGTTCGAGACCAACCTGGCCAACATGGCAAAACCCGATCTCTACTAAAAATACAAAAATTAACCAGGCATGTTGGCACGTGCCTGTAATCCCAGCTACTTGGGAGGCTGAGGCAGAGAGTCGCTTGAACCTGGGAGGCGGAGGCTGCAGTGAGCCAAGATCATGCCACTGCACTCCAGCCTGGGTGACAGCAAGATTCCATCTCAAAAAAAAAAGAATTTTAATAAGGAAAAATGATCACTAAATAATAAATTAAAGCATTTAAAACCCTAACATGTATTATCACAATTATGTAAATACCGTACACCACATATATGAAAAAGATGAGAAGGAAGTGCATCAGAATGTTGACATGCTATCTATAGGTGGCGAGATTGTCGTGTTTACTTTCCTTTTTATACGTTTATGTATTTTCTGCACATTCTGTATTGAATGTGTACTTTTTTCGGATGAGTATTCATAGAAATTTAGCAATTCTTGTAAAACCGACATATAAAATATGCGAAGAAAACTTGAATATTTTGTTTAAAATATCACCAGGCATTATGTTGACAACATAGAGTGCTTTAAAAAAATTCAAAATAAAAGTAACCCTAAAGTAAAAAAAAAAAAAAAAAAAGGCAGAGTGATTTAAGTCAGAATTCTATTCTATCTGACATGATTTAAATCAGAATTCTGTTTTAAATTTTTACATGAGGAGATTTGAATGTTATGTTCACTAGAACAGAGGTTAAGCACGTTTGGCAAGTAATGTGCCCATGTTATGTGTGGTGTAGAGTAGGATGGTTGTCCTTATCATGGATTGTTTTCTCTGCTGGTCATTATTTCCAGATTGAAAGAAAAGATAAGGAGGATGGGATAACAACTATGTAGAGGAAATTAGGGTTATTGTCTCCCTTGCCAAGGTCAATTTCTGTAGGTGAGAAAAATGACTTATACATTAAGGCCGCTGACTTGTGAATAAGAAGATGGCAGAAACCTGTTTAGTTATGGTAAACTTTGTCAAACAAAATTGTGTTTATTTGCCAGAGCAATGTAGGGGAACTTAAGTACACACACATGCATTTGCATGTATATATACACACACATATGAATAAATTATATATTTGGTTTTCTAATAACTTACTAGTTAAATAACCATAACACTAATATTAAGGGTTTCTTTTTTGATAAAGATAGTACTTTTGAAAATGATGTACCATTGAAAGATTTTCCAGTAGTACTAATGGATATACTGTGATTTCTGCGTATCTAAACTTTGTGTGGTCAGTAATGTTTATTTGTGAGGTTGGGCCTGGGGTGCTGTTACTGGCTGTTGACTCTAATGTCGAGCTACCCAACTCCATAAAACAGCAGAATCCAACTCCTTGTTGTCATTATCACAGCTCTTTAACAAACTGAGCAGGCTTGCCTTGGGTACATGTAAACCAAGCCAACACGTGTTTAGTAAATGCCTTTTCTGGCCATAGGTTCTTTCCAACTTCCAAAATCAACTGAGAGCACGTAGAGAGTAACCCAATAGAAAGATAGACTTAATAAAGAAGATTCCTGTGTGATAATATTTAGGTAGCTGTAATGAGCTGTGAAACTTTCAAGGACAACTATAAAGTCACTGAGTAGGTCATGCACTAGGGTTAAAGTTGACTCTGAAATTTGTTTCACTGCTTTTTAATAAATAAATAGCTGAAAGATTTGGCAAAAGGAAGAAACAATCCTTCTTGTCCTCATTCTCTCAGGAAAATGTCTCCTGTTAACAAGTTATTTGAATGTTTACTTTGCCTTGACTGCTTTCCAGTGGTGTGTCAGTTCTTACCCTTGAACCAAGTGAGAATTCAAATAAACCAAAAAAGTTTTCACACAGCTGGACTCTTCTGCCGCTGAGTCATTGCCAGTAGTCCCTCTCCCACTTTTTAAAGGAGGTCAGCAAGAAAAAACTGGAAAAGCAGATTCATAACCTGATATCCACGAGCTAGAGAAACTTGAGTTTGCACCTTTTAGATTTTAGAGTACTTGGCATAGAGAAGGTGAGCAGATTCTGGGAGATACTATTTGATTTATTAAAAGCTGTACTTAAGGTGCCTTCCTCTGTATTACTACCTAATTTTATTAATGGTTAGCATTAACCTTTCTTTGCATGAATGAAAATGCACATAAAATTCTCATTTCTAAAATGTCATTAATGTAGCACAGTCATTAGATTTTGTTGTATTCTATAGTCGTAGGTCCAGTGTCTAGCCCTGGCTAAGCAGGAACATGGGGCAGGATTCGCAGACATAGTAGCCTAGTCTAGCATAGTGCCTGGCATATAGTAGGCACTTACTGTATTTTTTGTTGATTTTTAAAATTATACATATGAATGAATAAGTGAGTGAAGGAATAAACAATATAGCTAGAATATACTAAATTCAGATGAGATGGCAGTTCTCACTAAACACTAGTCCTTAAGGTACTTCTGGGAATTGCATTCTATTGTATTCCTTTCATTTTAAGAAACATTTTTGAAAAAGCTACTTTCTGCTAGGCACTAAAATTTTGTAAAGCTAAATATGATGTCATTGTTGCCTTCAAAGAGGTCACAGTTGTGTCACCAGATAAGTTACATAAGAGAGTATTGGGTGCTGTGGTTACGCATGTCCCAGGTGTAGAGGTAGCATAGAAGAGAAAGAATTGGCCATATCTGGAGAATGGCATGGACATTGTTAGTTTTACTAGTTTTATTTATCTTTTATATTGTCTATCTCTCCTACTTGAATATATGGTATACATTTTTTGTCTGTTACTTATTTTTATATATACATTTTTAATTGCTCAATTCCCACCTCCTAGGATAGTCTTAGCATATGATAAGCATTCAATAAGTATTTGTTGCATAAATGATTTTTGATAGAAATAGCAGACTGCCTCCAAAAAGTATGTACTGATTTTGTTTCCACCAGCAATATATATGATAATGATTTTTGCTCACATTCTTGCCAGTGCTGGGTTTTGTGAAACTTTTTTAGTTTTACCAAATGTGCTATACTGTCTCTATAGTAAAATACACACACACACACACACCCCCCACAAACAAACCATCTCTTGACTACCATTTGTCTTCAGCAATTCTCCCTGTTTTTCTGCTGCCTTTGTATAGCAGAACCCTGGAAGGAAGTGTCTGTGTCTGCTTTCTGTTTCCTGTCTTCCCATTCTACCCTGAACTACCATCACGCTTTTGTCTTTTCTCCACTGAAACCAGTCTTGTCAATACCACCAATGACCTTCAGTAGTCCTTTCTGATGGTGTCTCATCTTACTCTGCTTCTCATCGATGTTTGAGACCATTGATCACACTCTTCTTCTAGAAATATTTCTTTTTCTTATTTTTTAAATTTATTTTTATTTTTTTGATATGGAGTCTGGCTCTGTTGCCCAGCCTGGAATGCAGTGGCACAATCTTGGCTCACTGCAACCTCCACCTTCCAGGTTCAAGCGATTGTCCTGCCTCAGCCTCCCGAGTAGCTGGGATTACAGGTGCATGCCACCAGGCTCGGCTAATTTTTGTAATTTTAGTGGAAACGGGGTTTCACCATGTTGGCCAGGCTGGTTTCAAACTCCTGACCTCAAGTGATCCGCCTTCCTCAGCTTCCCAAAGTGCTGGGATTACAAATGTGAGCCACCGTGCCCAGCCTAGAAATATTTCTTATATTCTCCCTGAACAAATAGATTTCTTTCTGTTTCATTCACTACCTCTGCTGAGTGTCCTTGGCTACTTCCCATCTCTAAAGGTTGGAGTATTCCAAGGCTCTTCTGTTTTATCTCTTCTCCTCTCCTCAGTCCTCTAAACATATTTTCCTTAGAGCTCAACTAGTGCCAAGGCGTTCATACGTTTAAGATCTACATTTCCAGCTCTGACTTCTTCCTACAGCTCCACACTCACACATGCAACTGTTGACTTGACAGTAGTAGTTGGATGTCTAATAGATAGCTCAGACTTACCTTGGCCAAAACAGAACCAGTGATGAACCCTCTCTTCTGTCTCTCCTCTAGTCTTCCCCATTTCAGTAAACAGGGCTATTATTTATTTTGTGTCACCAAAACCCAAGTGTATCCTTCACACATCTGTGTCCCACACTCTATATCCAAGCCTTTGACATGTCCTGTTGGGTCGACCGTTATAATATATTCTGAATCCAACTACTTTTCTCCACCTCCACGGTTGACTCAGTGTTGTAACCACTGTGTCCTCATCTGTCTCCGGGGTGATTACAGTATGTCCTGCTTAGTCTCCCTTTTCCACTTCAGCCAGTGATCTTTTTAAAGCATAAATAACATTACATCATTCCCCTTCTCTGTGTCCTCTAAGGGTTTGCTCTTGCATTTAGAATAAATCCCACGATCTTTACCATGGCCTTCAAAGCTGAATGTGATCTGGTCCAGCCTGCCTCTCTGGCTTCATCCATTACTATCCTTTTCTTGGCTTATCCCACTGTCACAATAGTGCCAAGCCCAATCCCAACACAGGCCTGACCTTGATATTCTCTGTGCTTGACCAATCCATGAGCCAGGAGTCCTCCATCTGAAAAAAGGGACAAAAACCAGTAGTACCTGTCTCACAGGGTTGTTGTGAAGATTAAATTCGTGTATTAAAGCACTGAAATGGTGTCTGGCACATAGTAAGCACTCCGTAAATGTTAGCCATTATTTTGTTGTTTTCCTTACAGTTACTATTTTAGGGGATGTGAAAGAGGAATACATGTTGGTTGCATTGAGTTTTGTATGTTTGTGAGATGTGTAAGTAGAAATGCATTATAGGCAGTTGAATGTATTCATTCAGAGTGATTAGTTCTGTGTAGTAGGAGATATCCTAGGACCTTGGAAGAATGAGCAAAACTTCTAGCTCTAGTGTCTAGAGATCAGTCTGTGAATTGGGAAGATCTGGATAATTAAGTGCCTGGTATTTGACGTACTCTACACAGAGCTTTCAAAATAGATGGCAGCCGTCATGCTCACAGCTCCAGCTGCTCAGACGAAAGATTTCAATGGTTTAGATTTTCTTTCCTTTTTCTTTTTTAGTGAACCAAGGACTGGGTTTTGCTCTGGAAGCCTGTCCTGATTGCTTCTGTAATCTGGCGCTATGCATCCGGATCTTGGACCCTTATGTACACTGCTGTATGTTACTCTTACAATTCTGTGCTCTTCTGTGAGTTCAGGTAAGAGTAGAATTGGGGAGGGGGTGGTTTGGCCTTTACTCATCTTAATCCTATAAAACATAAATTTGTACTTCAATGCTTTGTGATAATGGTGCTATCTAAAGATGTTTCTAAGATTGGTTTGACCAACTACATGATTTAAAAACTCGATAAATTAAGCAATTTAAGGATCTCTTGGTAGTGCTTTGGGCATTAGCAGGCCTTCCTGTCCTGGCCCTTATAATTTATCCCTTTCATTTTTTAAAAAAAAATACATATTTTCCAATCATGCTTTTTTTAAATAAGGGGATATGTCACTAATTTCTGAACTTGGAAAGAACAGGAATAAAATGCGGACTAAATATACCAAAGAGAAGTTTTAGAATCAGCATGATACTGTGTTCAACTGGGAGTGAGAGAACTTGGTTCAAATCCCAGGTCTGCCACTTTCTCTTATGAGCTTGCCTAATTTATTGTCTACCTCTTTGGGTTACTGAAAAGCATAAATGTGTTTGTTGTTAAATGTGTATGTAAGCCCCATGCCTAAGACATGGTTCACGTGCATTTCTTTTTATTTTAGACTTGGGTAAAGATGAATATATAAGTAGATACAAATACAGTGATGTTTATTCATTGAGTACTATTTATTTTTAATATCTGCTAAAAGTACTATATAGCTGTATTAAATTTAATAAGGGGAAAATTGGTTTTGTGGTTTTACTTTTGTTTTGCTAAACAACCACCCCAGATTCAGCCAAAAGAGATACTTCCCCTTAACTTCATTTCTGATTAAATATTCTATAGAAGTAGATTCAGCAATTTATTGATTTTTTTTCTCTTAAGTATTTTATTCTAGAAAATTAACAACTATTTCTTCCCCCTTCCCACTCTCGGGTTGGAACAGAAGGATCTGCATGGATACTTCAGTGCAAGAACACCCTCGCCTTCCCATGTTCCTGGAGTAATAGAAATAACAGACGAAACCATTTCAAATCCCAAATAAAAATACGAAGCCCTATGTTTAAGAAAGGATAGCCTTTGTATTTCAATTGTGGCTTCCTAGCTTTCTATTTCTGTTTTCTTAAAACTTAAACATTGTTTTATACTGAAGGGAAGTAGTAAGGAAGTACCACAGCCCTCATTTGTAGAAAAACTTGCTCTCGTAAATCAAATCCTGTTGGTAAAATAGGGGAGAATTCTTTTTATTTGGAAAGTCATCTTCACTTTTTCAGGTTCTTAACTTCCAGTTCTTCCAAGTCACTTTATTAAAAGAGCTGTTTGCCATTTCCTTCTTTCTTTTTTTTTTTTTTTTTTTTTTTTGAAGCAGGGTCTCCCACTGTCACCCAGGCTGGAGTGCAGTGGTGCAGTCATGGCTCACTGCAGCCTCCACCTCCTGGGCTCAAGCAATCCTCCCACCTCAGCCTCTGGAGTAGTAAGAACTACAGGTGTACACCACCACATTGGCTAATTTTTGTATTTTTTATTGAGATAGGGTTTTGCCATGTTGCCCAGGTTGGTCTTGATCTCCTGAGCTCAAGGATTCACCCGCCTTGGCCTCCCAAAGTGCTGGTATTATAGGCGGGGGCCCCAGGGCCCAGCTGCACTTTGCTATTTCTTATTAATAGGATTGATATTGTATCTGATTTATATCATCAGCATTCTTGTCTTTTGTACCCTAATTGTTAAGTCCTAGGCTAACATGTTGCTCTTTTTTACTTCCAACAAATAGGCTTATAAGAATTTTGCTAGAACTTTTACAAGCATCAAGAACCATAACATATATAAAATAAAAGATTGCCTTTAGTTATAAAGATACAGATGAAATGTGTTTAATGTAATCTTCTTTCTCTCTCCTCTTTTCTCCCCTGCTTTCTTTGCATATGGGGAATATTCCCTTGTAGACTTGGCACCTTATTTTACTTCTGAGCCGCTCTCTGCTGTCCAGAAACTTGGTGGACCTGTAGTACTGCATTGTTCTGCTCAACCTGTGACCACTCGTATCTCATGGCTGCATAACGGAAAAACATTGGATGGAAACCTGGAACATGTTAAGATTCATCAGGGGACTCTGACAATTCTTTCTCTCAACTCCTCTCTTTTGGGTTACTACCAGTGCCTTGCCAACAATAGCATCGGTGCCATTGTGAGTGGCCCTGCGACAGTATCTGTGGCAGGTGAGTTTAATTTTGTCCCTGTTAGGTATGGGTTTTCTTGAAATTACTGTTAGTGCTTATATTTCTGAAGAGGGGAAAGACCATGGGCTTTGGTGTAAAGCATATAGGAGTTTTTATCTCAGCCTTGACTCTTGCTGTGAGTATATTGTGGAAGTGCACTTAGACCTCTGTGAGCCTGGCCTCATGCCCTCATCAGTAACAATGATATGGAAATGATTTTTTTAAAGTTACGCAGTTAGGACAGTTTTTTTTTTTTCTTTATAATCTCTGCAGCTTTGCCAGGGAAGGACACTTTTTAAATGTGAATTCTGAACAATTTCTTTGTGAGTGCTTGGAAATCCATGATATCATTAACAACAAAAGCTGTTGTCTACTCTGACAGTTATTTCCTGGAGTCCTTTGTCTTTCTTTCACATCTAATTGTTTTATTTGCCTTGATTACTGAGTGATTTTAATATATTTAATTGAAGCCATGGTTAAAAAGCAGGAAAAAAGTAACTGTAAAGAAAGGAATGTTGAGTATTGAACTTACGGAAAATCTGGAATGCGTGGTTTTTCTTAGTAAGTTGGAGCCATCTGCGTTTCAAACGGTGATGGCTTCCAGTAATGGAAAACGTCTTTGTAAGGGCACCCCTATTTACAGAACAAATCTGGATTCCCCAGGAGTAGTGAGTTTGTCATAACTGAGAAGAGTAAATGTTTTTGTAGAGCTGTGACCCATGGACAGCTGTAAGACACACACTGGAGGGCTGAATTCCTCGTGGCAGGCTGCTGAGTGCTTTGAGCCCTGGAGATAATAAAGAGTCCCCTGCAGGCTCCGTCCGTAGTGAACTGAGACTGAGAGGAATTGAGACCAAGTTAGTAGATTCAGATAATCTAAATAATGATATCCTTCCTTATTTTTTTGATGTCCTAGGTTCATTCCAGAAATCATTTTATTGCAATGTGAATAGCTACAAACAGATTAAAGATCCGTAGGGAAAGTGAGTTTTGATGGGGCACTGGATTGAAAAGGATTTATCTTGACTGAATGGGAATAATTATGCTTTATGGTTCTAGATGTCTTAGGAGCAGTTTATATTTATTCCCTAGAAGCATTGACTTATGAAAAAGGGTGCCGTGACTTCGGTCTTAGCCCTCAACCATGCACATGTGCCCCAGCTGCTTTCTTTTCTTTTTTTTCTTTTTTTTTCTCTTGAGACAGGGTCTCACTCTGTTACCCAGGCTGGAGTGCAGTGGCTCTCCACTGCTTGGCTCATCACAGCCTGAACCTCCTGGGCTCAAGCGATCCTCCCACCTCAGCCTCCTGAGTAGCTTGCCCCAGCTGCTTTCTGAGATGAAAAGATCATGCAGCCCTCTGGACTGGGGTCAGCTGCCACAAAAGGCCGTGCTGCAGATGTTGTTTCTAATTTGTAAATTTCCTTTGGGAAAAAGAATTCAAATTTGCATGTATTTATTTATCTGTTTCCTTATATATTTCAGTTCTTGGTGATTTTGGTTCATCCACAAAGCATGTTATTACAGCAGAAGAAAAAAGTGCTGGTTTCATTGGCTGCAGGGTACCGGAGAGTAACCCCAAAGCTGAGGTGCGCTATAAAATCCGGGGAAAATGGCTGGAACATTCCACAGGTGAGACCTTTTGTGAAAAGCCGGTGGCACACACAGAACAAATGCTCATTAAATAAGCTACTTCTAAGCTCTGTGTGCTAGGGACGAACTGTGGATACAAGAAGGCATGAGTGGAGAGGACTAAAACAAATGGTTACAATATACAAATAATTACGGCCCCATACCCTGAGGCCTCACTCCCTCAGTTCCTTCAGACCCCCATCAGATTTCACTTCCTTGGAAAAGATAGCCCTCATGGTCCTATCTAAAATAATATGCCTGGTGCTCTCTGGCCCCTTTATTTCGTTTTGCTTTTCTTTATAGAATTGATCACACCTGATACTGTGTTATTCATATTTCTGTTAGTTTATTATTGTTTGTCTTTTCCTCTGACCTCCCCACATACCCCTACTGGAATGCCGGCTGCATGCATGCAGGGTTTTTGTCTGCTCTTTTCCTTGCCGTAGCACTTGTGCCTGGCCATTGTTGGCAGAAAGTAGCCCCTTAATATGTATTTGTGGAAAAAAAATGAATGACTAGACAGTGCAGGAACACCATGTGACCAGTGCTGTAGCTAGAGGTTTGCCAAAGTCAAAGCATGTTTCTTGTGCTTTGAGATTCACTACCGTTAACATGCTTCTGCTGGGTTTGGTTTGCTATGCTAGTTCTGTAGACTTTTTTTTCTATTCTGCCTTGACTTTCCCTTTCCTTCATTTAAGAAATTTTCCTTGATTGCTTCTTTACCGCTAATCTCATGTCTAAATGTAACGCAGGCTGGCCGGTGGCTCACGCCTATAATCCCAGCACTTTGGGAAGTTGAGGCAGGAAGATCACTTGAAGCCAGGAGTTCAAGACTAGCCTGGGCAATATAGTGAGACCCCCATCTCTACAAAAAATTTAAAAATTAACTGGGTGTGGTGGCATGCACCTGTAGTCCCAGCTACTTGGGAGGCTTAGGTGGGAGGACCGCTTGAGTCCAGGAGTTCCAGGCTGTAGCGAGCCATGCTTATGCCACTGTACTACAGCCTGGGTGACAGAATGAGACCCCCATCTCTAAAATAAAATAAGATGGAATAGAGCATAATGATCAGCCTTTGTGAGTTTTAGTTGTGCTGTGGTGTCCTTCATAAAGGGAGAGGCCTAACTGCACTCCCTTCCTTCCTCAGAGAATTACTTAATCCTTCCATCAGGAAATCTTCAGATTTTGAATGTATCCTTAGAGGACAAGGGATCATACAAATGTGCAGCTTATAATCCTGTCACACATCAATTAAAAGTTGAACCTATTGGCCGAAAGCTCCTTGTGAGTCGTAAGTATTTGGGAGAATAATGGTAACTGGAAGAGGAAGAGTCCTCATAAAAAGTTGGGCAATGATAGTTCATTTTTTTTTCAAATCCTGTTTGTTTATCATAAAAAGTCTTACCAAAAAAGTAAATACAGGCTAGGTGTGGTGGGTCACCCCTGTGATCTCAGCACTTTGGGAGGCTGAGGCAGGTGGATCACCTGAGGTCAGGAGTTTGAGACCAGCCTGACCAACAGGGTGAAACCCTGTCTCTAATAAAAATACAAAAATTAGCTGGGTGTGGCAGCACATGCCTGTAGTCCCAGCTACTTGAGAGGCTGAGGCAGTAGAATCGCTTGAACGTGGGAGGCAGAGGTTGCAGTGAGCTGAGATTGCGCCACTGCACTCCAGCCTGGGTGACAGAATGTGACTCTGTCTTAAAAAAAAAAGTAAATACATGAATGCATTATAGAAGAGTTCTGTACATGCTTTAAAAATGTAACTTACAGAAGGGAATTTTGGCCAAGGTGACAGAGTGAATACATGTGGAGAATTTTGCCCTTTGTTCAAACAAGAAGAAATAGAGGAGATACAGCTTTATAGTAGTGGTCATTAAATTGATGTCTGTGAATTTTGAAAAAAAAAAAAAAGAGATATGTCTGTCCTCTTTCTTTCAGATGTAATGAAAATCACTGTTGATTTTTAGGTTATGGCGGTTGAGTTGAGGTAGCACCAATAGAGCATAGCAGAGGCGTGGCTTCTGAACTTGTTGGGAATTCTGCATTTCCAAACTGCCAATTCAGAAGTAGCCCTAAAGGACCACAAAAATCTTTTAATCCTCAACTAAAAAGGATTTAACCACCAAATAGGACCTTGTAGTATAAAGAATACATGGGAAAATGGTGATGCCCACAGGTTTGCTAAGCAAGAGATTAGAATCGAAGACTTACTAATAATCTCTCATCTCCTTTCCTTTTCCAGGTCCTTCTTCAGATGATGTTCACATTCTTCACCCCACCCATTCACAGGCATTAGCTGTTCTTTCTCGTAGCCCTGTAACCTTGGAGTGTGTGGTGAGTGGGGTCCCGGCTCCTCAAGTGTATTGGCTAAAGGACGGGCAGGACATTGCACCAGGAAGCAACTGGAGAAGGTTGTATTCTCATCTTGCCACTGATAGCGTTGACCCGGCGGACTCCGGAAACTATTCCTGCATGGCGGGAAACAAGTCTGGAGATGTAAAATATGTGACTTACATGGTTAATGTACTTGGTAAGATGTTAGTTTTTAATTTTTTTCAAATGAAGCCATTTTTCTGGTCTAACTGATACCTGAAGGAAAGATCTATTTGTGAAATTGAAATAGGGAGTATCTAGAACTATCTATACCCTAGCCAGAACAAGTTTCATTTTTATAATGGACTGCTGAATTAGGCCATTTTTCTGGGTGGCATAGAGCATTTCGCATGGAATATTCTTCGGAACCTCACCCCCAACCTCGTTGTACAATATAGAAATTATTCTCCCTTCTTCATAACATGGAGGAAAAAACTGGAAATCAGGAGAATGGAAGAATCTAGCCTATATCTGTGTGTAGTATCCAGTAATAGTAACTAAGACAGAGTACTGATGAGAAAATGTCAGGCCAGGCATGGTAACTCACACTTTGGGAGGCTGAGGAGGGCAGAATACTTGAGCCCAGGAGTCCAACACTATCTTGGGCAATATGGCGAAACCCCATCTCTACCAAAAATACAAAAATTAGCTGGGTGTGGTGGCACAGGCTTGTAATCCCAGCTACTTGGGAGGCTGAGGTGGGAGGGTGGTTTGAACCCGGGAGGTGGAGGTTGCAGTGAGCTGAGATCACGCCACCGCACTCCAGTCTGGGCGACAGAGCCAGACCCTGTCTCAAAAAAGAAAATGTCATCTCAAAAAGAAATCAATCTATTTAATTTAATTTTCTTTTTTTGGGTGCTCTTACCAATGCCTGGGTGATAAAATTGAATTATTTCCACCCACATTTCTATGTATACTTTATTTCAAAGCTATTCCTTTGTTTCTAACCAGCTACCTACCTCACTATCATGTGTAGCTGCAGAAAATGTTTTCCTTTATTGAAACAGATTTTCATGAAAAAATTAGGTGGAAAGTGGTTTCATAGTGAATAAAACTTTTGTAAACTCTTTGCATGTATTTATAATATTTATAACCATGGCCTGCTATAGGTTAGCAACACTGGAATTAACATAAGTGTATGACAAGTGGGCTTTGGAATTCAGTGATTAGGACTGGATTAATATGCATAATTTAGACTGAGGCTACAAATTCTGATAAATGATACACTTGTGGGTAATAAGTGACTTTAAGGATCCCTAAAGGAAGTTTTGTTCTTTTATTTTCACCATTATACATCTAACCTCAAAGTTGAATTGACCGTAAACATAATTTAACCTCTGAGTAAAACGTTCTTCTGTTTTGGCTTCTGTTTAGTGTGAAATCCAGGGAAATTGTTACTGTATTTCAAGCTAATCACCTGAAATAAATGCTAAGAGAAGCCCAGGATTAGAAACTATTTGTATATATGTGTGTATTCGCGTATGTTGTGGGGAGTTAAGTGGGTGGTGTAATCTATGAAAGGAGACTATATCTTATTAGCAACATATGGTTTATCCTATTAGTGGAACATTTCTAATTTTTTTCTTGATTACCACAGCAGACAGAAGAATGTGAATAAACAATGCAACTTTGTTTCAACTGGTTATTGGTAGAGAGAAGATTTTTATCACTCGAGTGATAATTTAAGAAGTACATTTTGAGGGCTAGAGTTTAATTTGTGTGTTTTATTTTCAGAACATGCTTCCATTTCTAAAGGACTACAGGATCAGATAGTGTCTCTGGGTGCCACAGTACACTTTACCTGCGACGTTCATGGGAACCCAGCCCCCAACTGTACCTGGTTTCACAATGCACAGCCTATTCATCCTTCTGCACGACATCTAACTGCAGGAAACGGACTGAAAATCAGTGGGGTTACTGTGGAAGATGTTGGGATGTATCAGTGTGTAGCAGATAATGGGATTGGATTTATGCACTCTACTGGAAGACTTGAAATTGAAAATGGTAGGCTTTTAGGTCGTGCCAGTCATAAGAACTTTTATTTTACAGATGGGCTTTTGTTGTGGTCAAAAATGAAATTATTTTTACTAAAAGAAAATAACCCTAGCACCGTACAAGAACGGTGTTCATTTTCCATGGTCCTGGCTAGTGACAGGTAGGCATTTCCATGAAGAAGTAATCTTATTAATCAAGCTCATTAAAAAAAGTTTTTAAAAAATTTTCAACAGATTCTGCCTACTTTAAAAATCTATATGGTACAATCTCTCTCTTACTCTTATTCCCTAGACAGTCAGTTCCTCTCTTTAGAAATAATTAGTTTTATCAGTTTCTTGAGCAGCCTTGTATGTAGTGCACATATGAGTGGTTTCACACAACATGAGAGAGTGTGTGTGCATTTTATAACAATACCTTTTTTTGTTTTTTTTACCTAAATAGTGGTAGCATTCTTTACCATAAATTTTTTACTTAACATCTTGGGATATCTTCTCATATGGTACATAAAAAGTATTTTCATTCCTTTTTAAAAAGTTGCTGCTTAGTGGTCCATTGTGTAGTTGTAACAATTTGACTAGTACCTTATTGATGGTTGTTTTTAATCTTTTGCTATTACAAATAGTTCTATAATGAATGCCCTTCTACAAAGATTATTTTGCGCCTGTGTGAGTATTTGTAAAAGAAATTCCTAGAAATGAACTTGCAGAATAAAACCATATCTGTGTTGGTAATTTTGGTAGAGATTACTGAATCACTCTCCATAGTCGTTATCAGTGTACACTCCCACCAGCAATACTTAACTCTCCTTGTTTCCTCAAACCCTCACCAACATGGGGCATTGTCAATTTTTAAAGTCTTTGCCAATCTGATAGGTAAAAAAGAGAACCATTTAATCTATATTTCTTTTATTACAAGTAAAGTTGGGCCTCTTTTCATGTTTTTGAGCCCTTTAAATTTGCATTTCTGTGTATTGACTGTTCTTTGTCTTTCGCTCATTGAAAAAATTAGGTCGTTGGTCTTTTTTCTTCTTGATTTATAAGAGTTCTTTATCTGTTAGGGAAATCAATTGTTTATGATATGAGTTATAAATATTTTAAATTTCAGAAAATCAATATAATATGGACCAAATGTTCTGACATTAGTGTAAGTTATTTAGAAGTTAATAATGAAAACAATTTTTAAAAATTGGCATGTATTTGGACATTTAAAATTATACTTCTCAATAGTTGGATCAAAAAAAGAAATCATAATGGAAATTTAAAATACTTTGAACTGGATGATAATGAAAATGCTACAGATCAGTTTTGTAAGAGACAGTCAAATGGAATTTAAAAGGAAATTTATAGCCTTCTGTGGCTGTAAAAGAAAATTAGTAAGACTAAAAACTACTGAGTGAAGTAAAAGGATAACAGAATAGATTCAAAGAAAGAAAAAAAGATCATAAAAATAAGGGCAGAAATCAATTAAATAGAAAACAAAGATAAAATACAGAGGATCAATAAAGATAGAGGTTGGCCCTTTGTAAAGTCTAAGAAAATGGACACATCTTTGGGGAAAATGATCCAAAGAAAAGAAAGAAGGTACAAATAATATTAGGAACAAAAGAGGGCTATAAATACAAGTCTTACAGCAATTAAAGATAATAAGATTAAGCTAAATTTTGTGACAAAAAATTATAATAAAGACAGAAATGGACAAATTCTGAGGAAAAAATGTAACTTAGCAATGCTGACTGAAAAGAAATAAGCTTGAATAGTCCTACACCTATGAAAGAAGTTGAATTAGGAGTTAAAAATCTCACAAAGAAAATAAGGGGCCAGATGATTTTATGGAGGTTCTACCAAACTTCGAAGTGATAGACCATTTCAGATATTGTACAAAGTGTTCCAGAGAAGAGGAAAAGATGGAAACTCTCCAGTCTTGATTCCAGAACCACAATAAGATGGTGCAAGAAAGGAAAATCAAAGCCCAATCTCATTTATGAACATAGGTGTAAATATCCTAAATAATATATCAGCAAGCCAGGACAGTGTAAAAAAGAAAATACGTCATTTCTGAACAGTTATCCCAGGAATCCACTTGAAAATGTAGAGTGTCATTCACCCTATTTATTGAATAAAGGAGAAAAACAGTATGATTATCTCACTAGAGATGGAAAAACATTGGACGTAATTAAGTATCCATGTTAGACACTTAGAAAAGTAGAAATAGAGTTGAACTTTCTTAATAAGGAGTGTCTAACAAGGACTTACAGGAAACATTGCATTTAATGGTGAAATATAAGAAGCACTCCCTTTGAAAATCTCTTCTGGCCATCATTATACTGGAAATCCTAACCAGCACAGAAAGACATGAAAAAGAAGGAAAGAACCCAGATCATTGTTAATTTACAGCTGGATATGATTGTCAACATGGGCTATCCCAAATAGTTTGCTGGCCATTATGATGGCTGTTGTATGTCCTATTATAACCTATTATGATAAATAATAATATTTAGCAAGGTGGATGGATGAAGACCAATGAACAAAAATCAGTTGCCTTGGCCAGGTGCGGTGGCTCACGCCTGTAATCCTAGCACTTTGGGAGGTGGAGGTGGGTGGATTGCCTGAGCTCAGGAGTTCGAGGCCAGCCTGGGCAACACAGTGAAACCCCGTCTCTACTAAAATACAAAAAAAAAAAAAAAAGCCAGGCATGGCAGCGTGAACCTGTAGTCCCAGCTACTCAGGAGGCTGAGGCAGGAGAATTTCTAGAACCCGGGAGGTGGAGGTTGCAGTGAGCTGAGATCGCACTACTGCACTCCGGCCTGGGCGACAGAGCGAGATTATGTCTCTTAAAAAAAAAAAATCAGTTGCCTTTCTGCATACCAGCAACAAACAGAAAGTATAATTTAAAAACCACCTTTTTTATATCACAGCAGTAAAGCACAGCCAGTTATATAGGAAGAGATATCAGTTCCTCAATATTATATATTGTATTCAGTATTATATAGTTATCTGGTCTAAAAATTTTCTGTGGATTTATGCAATTCAAATTAAAATCCCATCATAATATTTTAAGGACCTTGACAAACTGATTCTAAAATTTATATGCATAACCCAATGCCCAAGAATGGCAAAGACACTCGAAGGAGAAAAAGAACATGGGAGACTTGCCTTAAACATCTAAAATATCTGTAGTAATTAAGAAAATATTATATTGGTACAGAAACAGATAGACTCTTGGAACAAGATAGAGACTTTCAGAAAGACATTTGCATGTAAGGGCTTGACTGAGCCGGCATTGCAGATCAGCAGGGAGGAGACCCATTTCGCATTTTGATGTGGGATAATTGTTATCAGCATGGAGGTAAAAGTGAAACTCAGGGTCTTACTCACATTGTATAAAAGATACATTCTCAGTGGATTAAAGATCTAAATATGAAAGACGAGATGAAAAAGGTTTTCAAGAAAACATTGAAGAATGTATGATCTGTGGGTAAAACTTTTTAATAAGACATTTTAAAAGGCTCATTTTAAAGGATGACCACATTGAAATGAAAACATCTTCCTAATAGATACTGTTAAAAGCTGAAAAGAAAAGCAGTACATTAGGAAGGAGATACTAGTCACATGCATACCTAAACAAAAGAACAGAATCTAGTATATACAGAGAACTCCGAATCACTGCAGAAAAGATTCATGACCCAATAGAAAAACTGACAAAGGCATTTCACAGAGGAGGAAAATTAATAATGTCGCATAATCACATGCAAAGATGTTCAGCCTCATTAGTCCTCAGGAAAATGCATGTTCTGACCAGTGAGATAGCATTTTACACTCAGTAGCTTGGCAAAAATCCAGAAATCCGGTATCAGTTGTTGGTTGGTTTTGTCAGACATGGGAAGGAGGACTGGAGAAAAAGACAGACATGCTAGAGAAAATGTCATTTACTTTGATCAATATTCCATTGTAAGCTCTCTTCAAAATACCTCCAGAGAATACCAGGACCAAAAGGAAAGATTTGGTGCCACTTTAATTTAGAAACAAAAATTCTGTTCATGCCTATGGGAAAAAACATACAGGTATCATCAGTATCAGCTTTTATTGAGAACAGGTTTTTTTCTCCCACGCTTTTTATAATCAGATTCCTGCCTCCCTTCCCACCCTACCCCACAAAATTGACCATTTTCTTGAAGGAAAATTATCTACTTTTATACTTATTTACACATTTTTCCTGTTAAGGTCTGAGGTTTCAACCTTATATGTTCTATATTTGCAGTGGTCAGATATGTGTAGTGTACCTTCAGAAAACTCTCAAAAGATTTCTTTATATATATTCCTTTCTTTCTGAAGGACAGGAAATTTACGTAGGAAATGTTTAGGAGCCCACAGCTATGAAACAACTCTACCATTTATTGACAGTCTTACTTGGTGAAAGTTGAGAAGGGAACTAATAAGGAGGTAGCTATCTTGGTTTTAATCATTACTCCCACATTTACGTGATAGGATGAAGTTGTTTTGCATCGTAGGTACTACAATGTTCTTCATTTTTCATATGTGAATTACTTTTTTAATAGACGGTGGATTCAAGCCAGTTATAATTACGGCACCAGTAAGTGCAAAGGTTGCAGACGGAGACTTTGTTACTCTGTCCTGCAATGCCAGTGGGCTGCCGGTTCCGGTCATTCGTTGGTATGACAGCCATGGATTGATAACCAGCCATCCATCTCAAGTCCTGAGATCGAAATCCCGAAAATCACAGTTATCAAGACCTGAGGGCTTGAACCTGGAGCCTGTGTACTTCGTCCTGTCCCAAGCTGGTGCAAGCTCTCTCCATATTCAGGCTGTGACTCAGGAACATGCGGGGAAATACATCTGCGAAGCTGCAAATGAACATGGTACCACACAGGCAGAAGCATCTCTCATGGTTGGTGAGTTGCCATTATTATTTATTTTTAGTTGAGTAATTTCCTTTTATAATAGAAGATAAAGTGATTTGAAATATGTTATTTTAATGAATCCAGCAATCTCTCTATATTTTTTCCTGATGACAGTGAAATGTAGAACTGTATTTCTTGGTATTTCACTTTATGTGAATCACATGAATTTTGGTCTCTGTTTCTGATGTGTTTGTTAAGATTGTAGGTGCAATACAGAAAGCTCTCATTTGGGAGCAGGCCCAGAATATAACCTGTCTTTGAGATGAATGCTTTTGGTTTTCTAAGCTACCGAAAATGATATTGCAGACATTTTTTATGCCCTTGATAACTACAGTATTGGGTCTAAAGGACTGGCCTTCATTGAGAATGTAGAGTTGTGGTACTATTAAGTAATACCTGTATGTATATATTCCCTGTGTCTTATCCAAAGTTATTTTCTAATGGGATGTATAATATTAATTCTTCATATTTTACTGATTTTTTGTGATGATGACTTAAAAACTATATATGATTTTTGATGTACTGGTATATAGACTATTAATATTCATGGAAATGGACTCAAACTTGACTTAATTCAAATTCAGACCTTCCATCAGTAGGCATTTAGGGCAGCTTTCCCCAACAGCTAGTCAGTTGGGTGTAGATTGTCATCTTATTTGTCTTGTGAGAGGCCCAACATCAAAGGCAGTACTGCCTTTAGTTTTGGGTAACTGAGGTCTCTGACCCTGGCCTCTGCTTTAAGGGGCTTAGCGTGGCTCTCTTCTGCCTGGGGCCATGGTCCCACAGGTTAAAGAGCCCATAGGGTCGAGGAGCAGTGCTTATGCTGAGCTCAGAGCCCACATTCCTCCTTCTAGACAGGTCTGGGGCTCCAGCATTTCCTGCTTCAGTGAGTTCACAGTCTGGTCCCCACAGTTCCTCTCCCCTGGCCCATCCGCCACAGTCTGGACCACACGACCAGTGTGTGGGCACCCTTAGCCAGAGCAGTGGTCAACGGGGGGTCCTTGGCAGAGGAGTGATGGTTGAAATAAAAAAGAGTTCGTATGTGCACATACGATTTCCCTTCACGTGCAAACAAGGACGCCCTTGCTCTGAATGAAGCTGGAGGCGGAGGAGAAGTGGTGGAGACCAGGGACTTCCCCTTATCCTCTTGTGCATGTTAGAGGTGGGAGAGATGTGGAGGCTGAGCACGTGGGCTGTGTCAGAATCCTGGCTCTGCCACTTAGCAGCTTTGTAACCCAAGGGCAAATCACTGCACTTCTCTGTTCTGTTTCCTCATCTGTGTAACAGGTATAGTGAAGGTGCCCCACTCATAGGGTTGATGTGAGAATCCAAGGAGTTAATGCGTAGTAAGTGCTTAGAATGGTGTCTGGCAATAGAAAGCCCTCCATTGATACTAAGTATAAAGTTATGATTGTTACTGTCTAATTATTATTAAATTACAGTGATCTCTTGTGGCAGTGTTAAGGGAAGGAAGAAATAGTTACTGATTTTAGAAACATTAAGAATCCTTAAATGAAGAAAGTAGTTCAGTGTTACATAAATTTGCACCTATAAATGAATGTGCGTGTGTGTTTATATTTCTATTCCTCTAGGCAAAAATAAGAGTGGCTCTGCTCGAAATTGTTAACTGCATGACAGGTGTAGTTGCAGGAGCTCCTTGGGTAGAATTTAGCTGAAGCGATTATGTGAATACAGGGTGTAGAGAGACAGATGTCATAGTTTTATGGCTGATGAAACTAGATATTTTGTCGAACTTCCTCACCTTAAATATGAGAAATCGGAAGCCCTTTGAAGTTATGTGAACTAACTTTAGAAGATCTTTAAGATTCCCCTGTGCTCCAGGATTTTATGTCTCGATAAATACTACTTTTATGTATGGTAACCCCATCAGCTGTATTCTACCAAAGAGGTCCTACGTTGTCTTTTTTTAATTTTCTAGTATAATTATTAAGATCCAACCGAGTTTATTAAAACTCAAAACAATACATGACAACTCACTTCTTTGCATAGGAATCTGAGCCTTATGAAATTCTAGCATCCTGACAAGTCATTTGACTACTGTACTGTAAAGGGGAGAGCAAGCTAGGTTAGAGAGAGAGATAACTCTCTCCCCAGCCTTTTGTTTTTTCCAGAGACTTTGGGTTTTTGAGGTCCTGGATGTACAAATATTTGTAGAGTGTGTGGTACTCTTTAAAACTATAATGAGAGTTGGTGCGGGTTTCCTAAATAGTTTGGGTTGTGAGTTGCTGGCAGCAGTGGTCACAGTGGGAGCATCTTTGACAGATATGGTTGTACTCCCTCCCTGTTTAATTAGTTTCCACTTAGAGTCATTAAATTTATTTACATTGCCGTAGTTGCATCAATCTCTTTTCCGATTCAAAAAACATTCTACCTTAAAAGATGCTAGATGCCTGTTCTACCCATTTCATAGAGTTCTGAAGATAAGTTGAGATAATACATGCAAAAACACCGGGGAAGTACTGGTAAGGTCTTTTCAGTTGTATTGAGTGTATCTCCCAAGTGCCCAGATTATATCATTGAAACAGAAGAAGAAAGTTAATTGAATCCCCCTTTTAATAAAAGTTCTGGAGAGGTCTCATTGCATCTTAAGTCTTACAGAAATGGAATTTTGATACTCAGACAGTGGAGAAGCTGCAGCATTAACGTTTTTCTCATGCTTCTGTATGAGGCATGTGGCATTTAAACTCTTTTACAGCCAGATCCCACTTCCCAGTGGAAAACTGCCCGGAGGATCCACTAAACTTCTAATGATAAAAAGGTCCTTCTCCACTACCTCAAGCCACAGTTAATTATCTCCACTTGCCGAGTCCTTCTGTCTGCATTAGCAGGCACCAGATCACACCCTGAACATCAGTCCGCAGTCTGACTCACTAGATAAACACTGCTGTTCCAGGAGCAATATTTTGAAGTTGTCTCAGTGAACTTAATTAGTTTTCTTCTACATTATTTCCTCACTAGCTTCTTGTTTTCTCTGATGGAGGATGCTTCTGGGACACCCTTTCTCTCTTTTAAACTAACAGAGAACTAACCTTACACTGTCAGTCCTGTTTTCTGTTGGTTCTCTACTGCAGTGCAGCCCTTCTCCCAAAAACACACCCATCTTTTACCAGGAATCTGACTTCATTTTGGACATAAAAGTAGTACGTTGTTTGCTCTGCACTCTTCCTCCACAAAAGGAGTGAAAAATAGAATTTTCTGTTGCCAGTATTAATAGCACTTTAGAGAAACCAAGCCGTCACTCCTTAGGTTTTATTGTGCTGGCAGTATATTTGTTTTCATAAATTGTTCTTTCTTATTATTTTTTTTTTCACAGCAGCACCATGAACATTCTTCTGGCAGCCTTCACTTAGTCTCTCTGAACCTTAATTTCTTCAACTGTAACATGGGAGTATTACCATCTACCTAAGAATGTTTGGAGAATTAAATGAGATTATGTTTATAAGATAGTACAATGCTTGGCACATAATATGTGCTCAGTAATTATCTTTGACTGTATGCAACCTATTTTTTTTTTCAGTGCAAAGAAATTATTTTTATCTTCCTCTGTATATTCTGTATGCTGTTAGTAGTAAGTGTTAAGGCTGCCTGCTTGTTTTATCTTTTTAAATTTTTTTGAGAGGTGTAGTTGCAGGATCCCCTTGGGTAGAAGTTAGCTGGCCTGTTGCCCAGGCTGGAGTGCAGTGGCACGATCATGGCTCACTGCAGCCTCAACCTTCCCAGGCTCAGGTGATCCTCCCACCTCAGCCTCCCAAGTAGCTGGGACTACAGGTATGCGCCACCACGCCTGGGTAATTTTGGTGTTTTTTGTAGAGATGGGGTTTCACCATGTTGCCCAGGCTGGTCTTGAACTGCTGGGCTCAAGTGATTCCCCTGCCTCGGCCTCCCAAAGTTCTGGGATTACAGGTGTCAGCCACCATGCCTGGCCAACTTGAAATCTTCTGAGGTTAAACTGGCAAATGATTATTACTAAAAAGAATACTCTTAGAGAACAAGGAAAAAATAAGAACGTTTAACTGCTACACTATTGCATCATATAATTGGTTTTTCAAGTAATTCATTTGCTCCACCATGAGAAAAGATTGCAATTAGAGGTTAAACATTTCCATGAATTATAAATGGCAGTGTTACCCGTTTTAACTTCTGGGGCTCAAATTGTGCTAACAATACAAGTGAGGGCAGTCACGTCACAAACTGGGTAGAAGACAATGAAATGAGGAGTATCTTCAAGCTGTCTCCTCTCTCTCTCCCTGCAGTTCCTTTTGAAACAAATACAAAAGCAGAGACAGTCACACTTCCTGATGCTGCTCAGAATGATGACAGAAGTAAGAGAGATGGTTCAGAAACTGGGTTACTGAGCTCATTTCCGGTGAAGGTCCATCCCAGTGCAGTGGAATCAGCACCAGAGAAAAACGCCAGCGGCATCTCTGTTCCTGATGCCCCCATCATACTGAGCCCCCCACAGACCCACACACCAGACACGTACAACCTGGTGTGGAGGGCAGGCAAGGATGGTGGGCTGCCCATCAATGCTTACTTTGTGAAGTATCGAAAGGTAATGTCTTGTCGTTTATCATCTTTCTCGGCTCACACCTGAACGTTCTTTGTATAACATATACTGTTGCCTTTTCATTTGTAGAATGGCAGGAAACAGAACAAGAGTCTTCCAGACTGATGAGTTTGTCAGAGAGATCCCAGTCATGCTGGATTTACCAATCCTAGGAAAGCACTGAGAATGAAGTATAATTTCCCCCCAAATTGGAATTCTAGGAACCCAATGATGTCTTTACATGTGTATTCAAATGTTTTAGCCCTTCAACATAAAGCTCTATAACCACTTTTAAAACACAAATTCCTTCCCTCTCTAAGGTAGTAGAATACCATTTATGTAGCAAATAAAGCAGTTTCTTATTAAAAACAACTGTTTGAACAGAGTTTCTGGCATAATTTATGCCAATTGTTTGCATTTCAAGTTTTTTTTTGTTTGTTTGTTTGTTTTTTTTTTTTTTTTTGAGACAGGGTTTTGCTCTGTTACTCAGGCCACAGTGCAGTGGTGTGATCTCGTCTCACTGCAACTGCTGCCTCCCGGGTTCCAGCAGTTCTCGTGCCTTAGCCTCCCAAGTAGCTGGGATTGCAGGCATGCACTACCACACCTGGCTAATTTTTTTGTATTTTTAGTAGAGATGGGGTTTTGCCATATTAGCCAGACTGGTCTTGAACTCCTGACCTCAAGTGATCCACCACCTAATCCTCCCAAAGTGCTGGGATTACAGGCATGAGCCACTGTGCCCAGCTTCAAGTTGCCTTTTTAATTGTATTAAAGTCATACATTGTTAGGTCATTTTTGGTGGTAAACCTTGGGCCTCTCTCAGTTAACTCTTCAAATATCATTTTCCCCATGGGCTTGTGTTGGAGCAGAATGGAAAAGCTCCTCTCTGTTTAATGAGACCAGTACATGAATGAAATGGGAGGGATGCATTCCATATTTAAAATCATTTTCTTTGTCCAAGAAATTTTAGTATACATTGTTGAATGGTAATGTTTTTAATGACTAGGAAAAATAACATGATGATATTTTAATATGATGATATTTTAAGGTTTATGTACTATTTCCAACCTGATGAATGATTCTAGATAAAGAAGTTTTGCTAGTAATCTCATCTACCCTAATACCTCCATGCAATATTGTTTCTTGGTTCCATTAATCAAGAAACAACTGATTAGATCTTTTTATTTCCTCTAACACATATTGAACAGTGTCAAGACATGAAGCAAGAATGCTGGAAATATACATAATTATATAATTCATATACATATAACATAATATAATATTGTCTTAATTTACCATGTATCTATTATGTGTATTATATAATTACCAATGATACCTATTATTTTATACTTATTTTATTCTTCATTAGCCCAGGAAGAAAGAAGGCATTGTTTCCATTACAAGTAAAGGAAACAGAGTCTGGGAGGGCAGTAACTTGCTTGAGGCCACACATTAGTGGTCAGATGCAGAGCCAGGAGTCTTTCTACAGTGAGAATTGCAGCGTTCTTGCAGCAGATCTTCTATTTCTTAATATGAAGAAGTATTGTGTCTTTTTTACTTACCATGCTGTATTACTTCTTAAAACTCTTCTAGAATTAAATGAATCCTAGTTTTGATCAAATGTGACCGAAAGATTTCCTATCCTCCATCTCCTGCTTTTCTTTTCTGGTGTGTTTTCTCTTGGGCAGCTGGATGATGGGGTTGGCATGCTGGGAAGCTGGCACACGGTTCGAGTCCCAGGAAGTGAAAATGAGCTCCATTTAGCTGAGCTGGAGCCATCTAGTCTTTATGAAGTCTTGATGGTAGCAAGAAGCGCAGCAGGTGAAGGCCAACCTGCCATGCTTACCTTCCGAACCAGCAAAGGTGAGTGAGGGCTTCCTTTGGAGGAATGAGCTGGCTGCCCTGATGTCAATTTATTAGTGAGAATTATTAATTTATTTTTTTTGAGATGGAGTCTTGCTCTGTCACGCAGGCTGGAGTGCAGTAGCACAATCTCAGCTCACTGCAACCTCCGCCTCCCCGGTTCAAGCAGTTCTCCGGCCTCAGCCTCCCGAGTAGCTGTGACTACAGGTGCGTGCCACCATGCCCGGCTAATTTTTTGTATTTTTGGTAGAGACGGGGCTTCACAGTGTTAGCCAGGATGGTCTCGATCTCCTGACCTCGTGATCCGCCCACCTCAGCCTCCCAAAGTGCTGGGATTATAGGCGTGAGCCACTGTGCCCAACCAGAATTCTTTTGGATAGTAGAAATTCCTATATGTAAATTCACTAAACGACCCTATTATAGCCTCCCCCTTCCATTTTGGGGTCACATTTACGTGATTGTATTGTCCTATTCTATAGAATATTCCACAGATGTTTTTGAAAGCTTATGTTATACAAGGCAATGAGGATAGATGATATAGGGAAAATGAAGATGGTCAAAATGAGATCCATCCCGACAGAGCTTATACTTTGATAAGAAAGCTAAGATGTGTAACTTAATACCAACTACAAGACAGTATTCAGTTCAGCTAATATTTATTGAATGCCTTTTACATGTTAGGCAAGAAGCAAAACAGACAAAACTTGTGGCCTTGTAGAGCTTACATTCTAGTTGAGAGAGACTTACACGTAAGTTATAAGTACATTAGAAGGTGTTAACAGAGATATAAGTTAGGGGGTGGATACAGGAAGTATATGGGGTAGGAGTTGTTAACAGTTTAAGCAGGTGGCCAGAAAAGTCCTCAATGAGCGGTCGACATCGGAGCAGAGACATGAAGGAGGGGAAGTAGAAAGCCACGTGTCTCCCTAGAGAAAGAACATTCCCAGCAGAGATGGCAAGTGCCAGGGCCCAAGGTTGGGTGTACATGGTGTTCACTAGGAACACGATGGGGCTGCTGTGATGGGAGCAACGTGGGTGAGGAGGCTGTAGGGGAGAGATCCCAGGGAACAACGGGGTGTCCACATCACACAGCACACCATCCACCTTGGGACGACTTTGATTTTACCTCTGAGTGAGCTGAGAAGAGCTGGAACATTTGAGCTGGCTGGAGTCTGGATAGTGTGGAGGTGGGCAGGATTGTAGGCAAAGAGACCAGAATATGCCAAGTACCACAGGAGATTTCCAAGGACAGTGCTGGGGAAGCACAGAGGAAGGATATTCTTTCTGCAGGGCGGCTTGTGAGGGAAGGCTTGATAAAAAAGATGCCATCGTGGCTTGGCTGTAAATGAACAAAGAGACGTTAGTGGGTAGAGAAGGGAACTGGGTGGAAGAGTATTTTAGTATGGCACTGTAACGAAAAGGAGGTATGAAGATTGAGAAGAAACCAACTAGTGGCTTTTGAAAAAGACCCTTTCATCTAATTACTAAGTCTGGCCAGAAAAATAACGAGTACTTTCTATCTTAAATGTATCTTGAGTTCATTTTCATAATCAGTCATTAGGTGTTCATGGAGTCTGACCTATAAATACTGAGTAATCATGCATTTCAGTTTTTAACAAATCAATTTCACTTTTTGCCTCTTGAAATATTAAAACAATGTGAGGCTTTTCCTTAGAAAACTTAGCAGAAGCTCTTTAATGGTGAGTTTTATAGCTTAGAATTAAGAAATATATACAGTAAAAAGAAAAATGGACTAATAGTTTGAACACTTAGTCATTTGGCTTTTTCACCTATTTTTTTGCATACGTAAAGTTAGAATGAAGAAAGACATTTTAGCTTTATTTTAAAGATACTAGAAAAAAACAAAGTAATTTTTGGTCAGTTCCTCAGATCAGCTAAGTATTTATGAAGTAGGTCTTACATTTAGATGCTGTGTCTGATAAGTTCATAAATTTATAACCACATACCAGGTAAGTTTCACAGTACTCTTTTTTTTCCACTTTACATACATATATGCTTATGTTACTGTATATGTTTATTTACCTTTCTAGAAAAAACAGCGTCATCAAAAAACACCCAGGCATCCTCTCCACCCGTGGGCATCCCTAAGTATCCCGTTGTTTCAGAGGCTGCAAACAACAATTTTGGAGTGGTACTTACAGATTCCTCTAGGCACAGTGGAGGTAAAAAGAAGAATATTTTATTGTTTCTTTACAAATATAACTGACCTGCTTCAGATTTTGGGAGGTGGGGTGGAATAGGGTGTTTGTTTATTTTCATATCTTACCATACAGTTCTTTTAGGTTCTATTTCAACAATTTTAATGTCCTATATTTAAACTTTAGCATCTCAGTATCATGATTAGTACTTAACTTCATTAACTCTGACTCAAAATGTTCTGGTACTAAGTTTTTAGAACTCAAGAAAGGAGTTTTGTGGCTAGGCACTGTGGGAGGCTGAGGTGGGCAGATCACTTGAGACTAGGAGTTTGAGACTAGCCTGGGCAACAGAGGGGGAGACCCTGTCTCTACTAAAAATTCAAAAAAATTAGCTGGGTGTGGTGGCACACACCTGTAGTCTCAGCTACTCAGGAGGCCAAGGTGGGAGGATCGCTTGAGTCTGAGAGGAAGATGTTGTAGTGAGCTGAGATCACACCACCGCACTCCAGCCTGGATGACAGAGTGAGACCTCAAAAAAAAAAAAAAAGAAAAAGGAAGGAGTTTTCTGTTTCTTCTCTGGTAAGAGAAGGACATTTATATTTTGAACTCTGAAAATCTCACTTTTCATGTGTGTGACTCATCAAAATGTATAGTGGTACCTGTGGTAAGTTATTTTACTGAAGGATTACATGTTACTTTTTATTTTTATTTTTTGCTATATCTAGTTAATCTTATGGTTTTTAAAGGTCTTAGCTGTATAATTTTCAAAAGACTTTTTTAGTATTTCAATTTCACACTTATATGAGCACTACACTTATAGCCAGGTGTGCTTTTTGTGATTGTCCTAAAACATCAGGCAGGACATCTAGGGAAGACTTAAAATTTCATTGCTAAGCTCTGAGAATTTTCAGACTTCTCTTCCATATTTTTACAGTTTTCCATGAATTGATGTCAGACAAAAGCAGGTTATAACACTTTGAACTCCCTCCGAAGCACCTCTGTATCTTCAATATCATGAATCTCTTTTACTTGAGTGCTCTTATCTTTGAGGCACGTTTCAGCTACCTTAAGCAGATTACGTATATGAGTATTAATTTCATGTGAATAAAAGTAATGTCTGAAAAAAACCTTACCATTTATTTTATACACCCTCTGGCAGATACTGTATAAAATGCTGGAACAGCAAAGATAAAATAATCCTTGCCTTTAAGAAGTTTACAATATAGGCCTAGCATGGTGGTGCACAGTGGCTCACGCCTGTAATGCTAGTGCTTTGGGAGGCTGAGACAGGAGGATCGCTTGAGTCCAGGAGTTTGAGAACTGCTTGAGCAACGTAGTGAGACCCAGTATCTACAAAAAATTTTAAAAGTAGCCATGTGTGGTGGGGTACACCTGTAGTCCTAGCTACTCAGGAGGCTGAGGCAGGCAGATCTCTTGAGCCCAGGAATTTGAGGCTGCAGTGAGCTATGATTGTTCCACTGCACTCCAGCCTGGGTGACAGAGTGAGATCCTGTTTCTATTTTTTTAAAAAAATTACAGTATAGTGGATGATATAAATACCTAAACCCATTAACAATATGTGGATAATATAGACAAACTGATAACAATTTTGATTGCTTATGCTCGAGATTATACCCTTGGTGTTATGGGTTCACGAGAAATATCTAAGTCAGTCACTCAGTGTAGACAAGGGTGAGTAGATAAGAGAGGCTTCTCTGCATCATAAGCTAAACTTCAAAGGAGAACGACGATACAGACAGATGAAACAGCAAAAGAGTTTCTAGCAAAGACATCTCGACAAGTGGCTGATATGTTCTATTATGTTTAGAGATTGAGAGGTTAGAGATTTTATTTAGTGTGACTGGTTACTGTGGGGAATGCCTTGTGTGATATGCTTCAAAGTTGAATCTTTCCTTGAAAGCTATAGTGAACCCCAAAGGATGTTAGAGAAGGAGAAGGGAGGAATAGCAAAAGAAAAGGCTAGAGAAATAAGGGGAGTGACAGTGTGGATGGAGGAAGGGGAGGACCTGTATGAGAGATTAAGGGAATGGAGTCCACACTGAATGAGAAGGAGAAAGATGATGGATTGGGTGTGGGCACCAGAAGACCATTTACCAAGATAAGTAGTAAGAGTTTTTAGGTGAAGATTATGGATTCAGTTTTGGAAATGATGAGTTTGGAGTTGTCCAAGAAGAAATAACCACAAGAAAAGATTTATTTAATATTCAAAACAACCTAATGAGGAACAGATTTCCACATCTGTTTTACAGATTAGGAAACTGACACATGAGGAGGTTAACCATGCACGATGCCTCAGATCGTCCAGAAAGTGGAGAAACGGCTTGCTACCCAAGTCCGCTTCTAACTCCAGTGCCGTCTTTCTTTTCTACCTTGTTAACAGTCACATGCTATTTCTTTTAGATATGGAAGGTATTATTTTCCGTGCAGACATTTTCCCCAATAACTTTCTTTTTCCTATTTGAACTGTGGTGTTTGGTGAGTTTTGATTTCAGACGAATCAACATAAGGAAGTTGTTTGGTTTTTCTAGTATTAAAAAAGATTCACTAACCATACTATTCATTCTGTTTTCATTGCTTTCTAACTTGAAAGGAATACAGTAAGTATCACTCAGCATTGCCTGCTTTGAATACATTCCTCTTTTATCCCTTAAGCAATTTATTTTTTTTAAATGCTACAGTTTTCTCCATACAAATACCACATTCAACTTTATTTTCTTCTTTCGTATGTATTTGTATGGTGGGTTGAAGACATGTTGAGGTGGAAGGGTGTTGCTCAATTGAGGAGCATGGCATGGGCTAGAGATGGGGCTCCCTAGTGGCTTTCTCAAAGTAACTAGCGTCACCATGGCCCAGAGTTGGCCCTCCACATTCCAGCTCTAGAAACTTGATTGTCAGCATGCCAAAAGATCACTGGTCTCTCAAAAACCGGCTCATGTCTATCCAGTTCACAGATGATCAAGGCAAAGCAGAATGGCAATTACAAATTTGCAATGTCACTGTCATACAGACCGGATTATTTCTGTCAGCATTCTTTCCTTGTAGGAACCAAGTGGGAAGCCAGTTACAACCACAAGATTGCTTGTTGTGTTAGCCTGTTTGTGTTGCTATAAAGGAATACGTGAGGCTGGGTAATTTATAAAGAAAAGAGGTTTATTTGGCTCATGGTTCTAAAGGCTATGCAGGCATGGCACCAGCATCACTTGGCTTCCAGTGAGGCCTCAGGTTACAGTCATGGTGGGAGGTGAAGCGAGAGCAGGCACATCACATGGTGGGAAAGGAAGCAAGAGAGACGCCACATGCTTTTAAATCACCAGCTCTCGTGTGAATCAACAGAGCGAGAACTTGCTTACTACCATGGGGAGGGCACCAGGCCATCATGAGGGAACCACCCCCATGACACAGACACCTCTCACCAGGCCCCACCTCCAACATTGGGGATCACTTTTCAACATGAGATTTGGAGGGAATAAGTATCCAAGCCATATCACTTGGTCATCAAGAAGAGTTAGATACATGGTTTCAATGGCTGATGAGCTTACTCCTCATGTTTTCACCTCCTGCAGAGTCTAGACCATCTACCTGGTGTGTTAGGGCATTCCCTTTCCTTGGCAGTGCTAAGTGAAAACTGCTAGACCCTAGCTCCCTGACCCCCTTTTCTACATGTTCACGTGGATCATGTTTTCTGCTAGCACTTTTGTTTAATGACATATCCTGTCTTCCCGTATTCATCCTGAGCAGCATTCTCTCTCCCCTTTATTAACAGTATTGATTTTATCAGTCAGATTTTATCTCTCTTTGCCACTTATAGTCTGTATTTTGGAGTAACCTTCCTATAGCCTTGAGGTGTATTAAGATAATATGGAATAGTAATAGTATAAGAATTAGTAGATTGCTGAGTGCATTTTGTGTAGCTTGGATAGATGAAGAAAAACATTTAAATAAGATAACACATAATTATGAAGATTTATTATAAATTTTAACCACAATCAAACTTGAAGCACCAAATAATACTTACATTTTATTTCAGCCATGAATCTGAATAGCATGGTCAAAATGATCATACTTGTTAGCTTTCAGTTTTTCAGAGCTAATTATCAAATTTATAGATCATTTTACTTTCTCTTTATTTCCTGTATTCCCATTAGATTTTCACAGAGGACAGGAAGACTGCTGTAAATGTTATAAACTCTGGCAAAAAGTTTGGTGAAGAACCTTTAATAACATGAAGTTTGGGACTTATCCCTTTAATTTAACTATGTTATTCTTGTCTCTGACATGGTGGGTTATTGAAATGAACGTTTCCGTGTTTAGTTCCAGAGGCACCAGATCGGCCTACCATCTCCACTGCATCAGAGACATCAGTCTATGTCACTTGGATTCCTCGGGCAAACGGGGGTTCTCCAATCACTGCCTTCAAAGTCGAATATAAACGGATGAGGACCAGCAATTGGCTGGTGGCAGCTGAAGACATCCCTCCTTCCAAACTTTCAGTGGAAGTTCGTAGTTTAGAACCAGGTAGTAATATTCAAACGTTTCCTTTTACCATCGATGTGAACTTTAGATCCATATATTTATATATTTTGAGACAGGGTCTCACTCTGTTGGCCCAGGCTGGAGTGCAGTGGCATAATCATGGCTTACCTCAGCCTCCCAAGTAGCTGAGACTACAGGCACTCACCACCGTGCCTGGCTAATTTTTGTGTTTTTTGTACAGACAGGGTTTTGCCATGTTGCCCAGGCTGGTCTTGAACTCCTGGGCTCATGCAATTTGCCGCCCTCGGTCTCCTACTAAAGTGCTGGGATTACAGGCGTGAGCCATAGCACCTGGCAGATGCATATTTTTAGTAGTCTTATATTTTTTTTCGAATTGTTAAAGTATTCACGCTTATTGTATAAAAATGTGAAAATAAAGAAAATATAAAGAAGAGAATAAGTCACCTAAAATTCACCCATTCAGAGATAATCATTGTTTATATTTCGTTGTATTTTTTCTTAGCCTTTTTTTTTTTTTTTTTTTTTTTTGAGATGGAGTCTCCCTCTGTCGCCTAGGCCGGAGTGCAGTGGCGAAATCTCGGCTCACTGCAACCTCCACCTCCCATGTTCAAGCGATTCTCCTGCCTCAGCCTCCCGAGTAGCTGGGATTACAGGTGCCTGCCACTACGCCCAGCTAATTTTTGTATTTTTTAGTAGAGATGGGGTTTCACCATGCTAGTCAGGCTGGTCTCAAACTCCTGACCTCAGGTGATCTGCCTGCCTCAGCCTCCCAAAGTGCTGGGATTACAGGCGTGAGCCACCGCAGGATCGTGCCATAAATATTGTTTTATTATCCAATATTCCCCATATTTTATCGTATATGTTTTCCAGTATCATTAAAAATTCTTCACAAACTCAACTTTTAGTAGAGATTTACCTTTCATATAAATAAATATACCATAATCCACTTACCTATTCTTTATTTCTGGGCTTTAGATTATTTCTGTTTATTTACAGTTAGAAATACTGTGGTGTACATCTTTGTGTGTGTGTGTGTGTGTGTGTGTGTGTGTGTGTGTGTGTGTGTTTTGCTGTGACTGAATAAGAGGAAAATTGCTTGTTATTTGACAAAAATTATTTGATCTGATGCTGAATTTCAGCACGGTTGTAATACTCAGTGCTTAGTGTTGTGGACATGAGTCAGTGATGAACACGCGTTTGTTCTTTAAGTTTTGTTTCAGCAGAGGAACCCTCCCCTCCCCACAAGAATCTTGAGGCTATATGAGAGAAATTAAACCATAAAAGACAAAAAGCATAAATAAACTTTCTGTACTTTCATTCGTTTAGGTTTCATGGCAATTTTTTTCAGGACTTTTAAATGTACGTTAGTAGCAAATGCCTGTGGCTGTCAAAACAAGCAACATGCGCAGCATAGGATCATGTAGGTATAGTTGGGAGAAGCATCAGTTTTAAATGTGGTTGAAGCTAAGAAACATTCCATAGATTGAAAACACTGTCTTCAGAAGCTCAGTAATTATTTTTGAGCTATCAGGAAACTTGCTTTAGGATTTTAATTTATTCTTTAGGTTCCGATTTTCAGAAATTCACAGTCCTCTACATTTTTTAAAGTTCCTAATATCTAATTCAAACAATTCCTTCCACAGTAGTTAAATCTGCTCCCTCTTACTCTTACACTGTTAGCAGTGAAACCAGAGTGACATCTGCGGCCGCCCACACAGTGCCTCTTTATGAGTGTATTCACCGTATTAAACCGTGCTTCAGTTGTTTCTTTTAAAGTGAAAAGAACCTAGTTTTGGGGACAGATAGTTCAACTAATACTGTCATTGATGGGTATGACTTAGAACAGGATGGTGAAAAGAGCAAATGTCCTCTTTCCTATTCTCTACCTGCTTCTTCCCTGAGATGTCATTAATCTTTTGCAGTGCTCTTTCTTGGTGACTCCTAAGAAGGTCTTGGGATCTTGAACACCATGCACGGAGCAGCCACTCCCAGTTGATTGAGATTGTCAATTGGGTTGAAATCTATTTACCATACAGGCTTTAGATACTTTAGTATAGATAGGTACTTCAGCACAATTGCCATATTTTGACTATTCTGCCTTTAGTTGTCTTATTATAGCTTTTCTTAGT
Organism: Homo sapiens; assembly: GCF_000001405.40. Taxonomy (NCBI): domain Eukaryota; kingdom Metazoa; phylum Chordata; class Mammalia; order Primates; family Hominidae; genus Homo; species Homo sapiens. Next base: position 125,995,098 of record NC_000011.10, on the reverse strand, counting down.
TATGTTTTTGTTGTTGTTGTTTGTTTGTTTTTGTTTTCCCTCAAAGGTTCAACATACAAATTTAGGGTCATTGCCATCAACCATTATGGTGAGAGTTTTCGGAGTTCAGCATCTCGTCCTTATCAAGTGGTTGGGTTCCCCAATCGCTTTTCCAGCCGTCCAATAACTGGACCTCACATTGCATACACAGAGGCTGTCAGCGATACTCAGATCATGCTAAAGTGGACGGTCAGTACACATCTTCTGGAATGAGATTTTGTGGTTTGGTCATGTTAACAATCAATTTAATATTCTCATGACACAATACAGTAAACAGCAAATTTTGAACTTTTAATTGAGGGGAAGTGCAAGGGCACCAATATTTGTCTAAATAAGAGCACATATTTTGAGGAGGGGCAGGGTTAAAAGGAAAATTATTGTTTCCTCGGCTCTTATCCAAATGTTGTTAACTTAATTGCCATCATGATTCATTTTGAACCAAATGTGCTTTTATGCTTTTGAACCCAGGGAAACGTACTGCCTTATTTCTGTTTAACCTCGCAATAAGCTAAATGCTTTTAATACCTTTGAAGTAAATTAAAAATGGCCATTATTAGTATGTTTGCAAAATGAACCTAGAAAAATGTGACCAAGTAGATAAAGAAACCTTAATGAATGAGAAGGTTACATTAATTTTTCTCTTTGACAAGTCTTTGCTTCTGTTTTTTAGTACATTCCATCAAGTAACAATAACACTCCCATTCAAGGATTTTATATCTATTACCGACCAACAGATAGTGACAATGACAGTGATTACAAGAGGGATGTTGTAGAAGGTAAGTCCCCTGGCACACTGGAGTCCCTGTAAAGGCGCTTTGGAGAAAGAAGGTTTATGAATATAAAATGCATCATCCCAAATTAAGACAGTACAAAATGGAATGGTGTATGTGTTATTGCTGTTGAATTTGTCCCAAAGAAAGCCACCTTTTCCCGCTTAATATATGCAGCACCTTATATTCTGGTTGCAGAAACTTGTACAAACATTTGGGGGAAATATGATTAATCAGTAGTAGTTCATCTGAAAGAAAATTTTGATTTCTGTTTCATTTAAATGAACAGTGACCTGAGTATAAAAATCCATTATAATGTCTAGCTACTTTAAAAAAATATTATCTCACTCATTTTCACTGGAGTCTGTCCTAGAAAGATGATGTCTTAAGCATCTTGCTCACTTGTAGAGATGCTGAGAAATTGGAATGCATGTAGAAAAGAAAGAAAACAGCTAAAATGGTGAAGAGTGTTGAAACTGCTTTTTTTTACTGCATTTAAATAGAATCCACAATTTTGCCTATGGCCTGAAGGCCCCACCTGACCTGGCTGGCCCCTGCCTACACCACGTCTCTTGCATCTCTCCCTTTCTGGCACTTCCTTCAGTTTCCTTGTGTGCACTGAGACGTTTTTGCCTCAGGACCTTGGCACAGGGTAGTTCCTGTTGCCTTTACCTAGTTGTGTGCACAGAAAAATTGTCCCACTTTTCAAAATGTTTGACAGTCAAGTTACAGGGAGTGAACTCTTCCCCATAACTTCCCCTCGGGTGACTTCCTCTCATTTGCATGAGAGGGTACCTTGCTGTAGTTTCTAACCATACCCTTTATGTTTATTTCATAGCAGTTATCAAAGTTTAAGCACGTGGTTGTGTGTGTGTGTGTGTGTGTGTGTGTGTGCACGCACGCGCGCATGTGTGTGTGAGAGACAGAGACTGTGTGTGTGTTTGAAACTATTTGCTTAAAGTCTGTCTCCTCTACTAGATGTTAACTCCCTTGTGAGCATAGGACCTTTTCTCCCACTGCTATGTCCAGCCCCTACAGTGGTGAGGTGGCCAGTATTGAATTCATGTATGAATGGAGTCCACAAAGAACAAGGGAATCTCTAACGATATTCAGGTTGAAAAAGACTAGCAGAAGCAACACGATAGCTACCTTCAGGTATTTACGGACTGTTATGTGGAAGAGGAGCTGAGTCAATTGGGGGAGGGGAAGTTGCAAGAAAGCAGCGTAAGAAAGAACTTTCTGACGTAGCATTTCTAGCATAGGTTCCCCCACAAAGTCGTAAACTCCCTAATGTTGGAAGTGCTCAATTGAAGCTGAATGCCCGCTTCTCAGTGACATCTTGGAAGGGATTCTTGCTTTGGGAGGAAGGCTTTTTCCAAGGTCTTTTTTGCACTCCAAGATTCTGATTCTTTGAAATAAGAAATGTCCTAGTGAATTATGTCAGAAAATTGCCATAGGCCAAGGTTATTTTCCATATGACTTCTTGACATGAAATACTGCATATAGTTTGTGTTATAATAAATTACATTATGCTGTATCACATTTCTTAAAATACTGTAGCAGTCCTTTTCATATTTATCCAGTGGAATGACTTTTGTAATATAATGAGAAATTTATGATCCAATTTTTAATGCTCAGCACATAGTAGGTGCTCAATAAATATTTTTTGAATGAGGGAATGATTGTTTCTTTTCTGCCATAACTTTTAGTGCCAAAACTATTCTGTGCTCTTAGGACTCACGATAGTAGCTGTCTCATGGGAAAGCAGAGCCTGGAAGGGGCATAAGGGGATGTTTGAGGTGGGGGGCTTTCCTGTGTTCTCTTTGTTGACTTAGATATGGGTACCATGAGCATGTCCAGCTTGTGAACATTCATTGAGCTGTACAGTTATGTAGACTTTTCTGTATGCATACTTTATGCCAGTAAAAAGCCTATTTTTAAAAAGAAATGGAAGGATAATATTTAGGTTGGTGCAAAAGTAAAAAGTAATTGCGGTCTTTGCCATTACTTTTAATGACAAAGACCGCAGTTACTTTTGCACCAACCTAATAGTGATTGTCCTCCATTTGGGGCCTGTCTAGGTCTTCCTTTTATTTCACTGGGTTTAGGGCAGTGGGGACGTCAGAATTTTATTTTAAGAATTTTTTGACAGAGGCTAAATATTTGCCATAAAATGGTTCTAAACAAGACATGTAAATAAAATGAGTATCTGTCTTTGTCTCTCTGTTTTTCTCTCTCTCATCATCATCACCCTTCTTGGTTCTATGTTCTAGAAATATCCACTAATAAACAGTTTTCCAACTATATTCTCTAGTCAAATCTTTGAGCTTTTACAAAATTCTGTAATATGCATATTGAGCATGGAAGTTGGAAATTAAGAAGCTTTTATATCTAGTAGTAGTGTCTGCAAATGTGAGTTTTGCCTTAGGTTCACAGAGCACTTGTTTATAAATGTAACATACTGAGCAGTTAGATGTTTAAGTGGACTTCACTATGCTGTGTAATTTGCTTATTCTATATTTTCAAGTTTATGCATTTGAAATTCTTTTTGTAGCAGTTGGAAACTATTGGTCTGTTCTCCAAATCACAGGAACAGAAGTATTCATCCTTTGTACTTAAAGTTTTTTTTTTTTAAGTTTTAGATGACTTGTGAATTGACCCAAAATTTAAACTTTTGAAAATAAAATTAAAAGTCAAATTGTAAAAGAGTACAGTAAGAGAAGGACAATTAAGCTATCCTATTTTCTGAATTAGGTTCCACATTTAGATAAACTATAAATGTTTCCAGCACACCTGTGTTTTGGTGTTGAATATTTTTATCTTCTAAAGTTAAGTCAATTCCAAGTAAAATATCAGTCATTCTGATCTTTAAGTCTGTGTTTTGGTTTCTCTCTGAGGTAAAGCCTTACCTTTTCTAAAATATCCTTTGGGAAAATAATTGCCTATTAATCAAAGGATACATGCTGGTTGGTCAGTTTTAAACCTAATGATGTACTTAGTTGTCTTATTCATCAATGATCAGTAAAATTATTTCTCTTTGCTGATATTTCCTATAATTTTAGCCAGTGGAAGAATAACTATAACAATGGAATATTAATCTAACAAGATATGTATCATTTTAACTATTTTTCTCTTCTTAGTAACATATCAGAAGCCTAGTTTAATGCCATTTTTATGAACGCTATGAAAGGAAAACTTCAAATCTAGTGTAGTAATTATTCAAGAGAATATTTATAGTGTAGGTGAGTGTAGGGCTGGGTTGGGAAAGACCCAAGACTACAAAAAAAGAAGTTTTTTGGAAAGCCTTTGGATTTCAGAGACAGATCTATTCCATTTTCAACCAGTTTTGGAGTCAACATCTTTTGGGGGGTCCTTTTTACATTTATAAATGGGGCGTAGAACTCCTCACTTTTGAGCCTTTCAGAGACGATCCTAAAACAAGCAGATTTTCTTCCTTAAAAAACGCGGGTCTGTACAAGTGAAGGGTTTTGTACTGTTGACCTGAAAAGAGGCTTGTACTTTCAGATTGAAATATTTTTGTCTGTGTTCAGTTAGAAAGGAGTCTGGCGATATTGGTCCTGTTCAGCCAAGTAGATTTAACTTGCATGTGTGGTTTTGTTTTGCTTTTTTTCTCCCCCTTTAATTAATTCTTAAATCAGTTGGGGGTATACTTGAGTTCCTAAGAAACAGTGGAGACAGTCTGAAGAGATGTTTCCACAAGGGATTAAGGGTGCTTGAAGAGTTAATTTAATCTGGCAAAAGTGTCCCTGCTTATGAAAGATTGTCACAGGTCCATGGAAGTCAACATGAAGAGTGATTTCTACTGGAGTGTTCAGTTTAGGAGTGTTTCTAAATGAAATGTTGGCTGTGTGCCACGGATAACAGAATCATTCTGCTAGAGATACTTGTGTGGTTTGGAGATCTTGACTCAAAAGAAAAGCAGGAGTGGGGGTGGTGGCCAAGAGTTTCCCAGAGTAGATTTTGCTTTTTGGTGATCCTCAGCAGTTTATTCAGGCATTCGGTCATATGTCAGTTCACGTTGCATCCATGACAGTGGAATTGGGAGCTTTGCTAAGGCCATTCTTGTAACTGGTCAGTTGCTCTGGGTAGTGTACCTTTTGCTGGTCCCAAATGTCCTGTTGCTTTTTGGTGGGGGAACATGGATTGACTTGCTGGGTTAAGATAGGGATGAAAGGACTTGGGCTTTCTTTCCTATGCATGAAATTAACATGTATTTTATGAAAGACTCCCACTAATTATTTTTAGTGAAACAAGTATTATTGCCAACACACAGATATAGTTTTAGGTCAGTTTATCTCCTCTCTTTACCTTTTTTTCATGCCGTGTAATAGAAATGCTGTTTATCTGTGGTGCATTAGTCAAATACTTACTATTAAGTACATTTTTATTGCACAAACTACTGGATGGTAGTGGATGCTGCTCCAGCCTCATCCTGAAAACATTAACTAATTATATTGACATTATCATTTAGGCTGTATGATGTGTAAAGCCTTTTATTTTTCCTTTTAGGTTCAAAGCAGTGGCACATGATTGGCCACCTGCAGCCAGAAACCTCCTATGACATTAAAATGCAATGCTTCAATGAAGGAGGAGAAAGTGAATTTAGCAATGTGATGATCTGCGAGACTAAAGGTAGGAGAATTTTTGCTTTTCCCTGGACAGTGATAGAATTCCAACCCTGGATTACTGCTTCTGACTACTGATATATTCTGGGTTTTGTTTTGTCTTGTTTTGAGACACGGTCTCACTCTGTCACCCAGGCTGGAGTGCAGTGGTACAATCTCAACTCGCTGCAACCTCCACCTCCTGGGTTCAAGTGATTCTCATGACTCAGCCTCCCAAGTAGCTGGGGCTGCAGGTGCGCACCACCACGCCTGGCTAATTTTTGTAATTTTAGTAGAGATGGGGTTTCACCATGTTGGCCAAGCTGGTCTCGAACTCCTGGCCTCAGGTGATGTACCCACCTGGGCTTCCCAAAGTGCTAGGATTACAGGCGTGAGCCACCGTGCCTGGACATGACTATTGATGTATTTGCCTAAGGAAGTTTCTGCTTTGGACCATTTTCTAGGTGCATACACTTAGACTGTCCCAACAAATGTATAATATGTGGGCTAGAATGCTTGTTTAAAAAATAGTTTACATAATCATTAATCCTGTTCATTAGTTTCTGTGTGACTCTAAGTAAATCACCTCCCTTCCCTTTTCTTTATTTTTATTTTATTTTATTTTTTTTAGAGACGGCATCTCACTGTGTTGCCCAGGCTGGTCATGAACCCTTCCGTTTTTCTTTACAAAGATATTAGAAATATTTGTTGACTACTTTCTAGATTGCTGTGAGAATGAGAATACTAACAAAAGTTTAAGAATATTAAGGAGAAGTGCAACATATGTTAAAGGTGGTTTCTTGAATGACAGATATGTAACTTCTATCTACTTGTTTAATTAAGTGTAGTAAAGTTTAGAATTAGCAGTTGCTGATTCTAAATTGAACATTCTCAACTCTGCCTACATAGGTAGATTCACTGTCAAATGTTGCCGTCTTTAAGAAGAGAAGACACCACAGGGGAACAATAGAAATAGCTCATTAGATGTTTACGAGCAAAACCACTCGTCCACAGTCTCAGTTAATCTTCACAACAACTTTGAGAATACTGTCAACTGCAAGGAACACGACAATCTCCTCTCAGTAGGCTTCAACAGTGAGGAAATGTGTTATCCCCAAAATAAGCAGCCCAGAAGTAGGTAACTAACTCCAACGTTGTTAGTTCAGGAGGCTGAGACAGGAGAATCGCTTGAGCCTGGAAGGTAGAGGTTGCAGTGAGCCAAGATCGGGCCACTGCACTCCAGTCTGGGCGAGAGAGTGAGACCTTGTCTCAAAAGAAAAAAAAATTCATTTTTTTCTGTCTTTCCTGTTCGTCATGTTCCCATTGCCACCTTGGCTCTAAGACTAGCACTGCTGATAGCTCGCCACAGTTCTGGGCATCACCTTTAAAGTGTTATCATATCTGACCGTGTCTATTTTCAGGAACAAGGAAAATTTCCCCCAACGTCCTCTACTAGATCTTCCCACCAGTCTCATTAGCCACAATTCAGCCCCACACAGCCCCTAAACCATTGACCAGATTTATCCCAGAGTTCTGTGGGGTTGAGGTAGACACCCAAACAAAATTGGAGCTCTCGTAACATGATAAAGAAGGCTGTTGAGTGAGCTGGGCAGCCATCAGGGTCTCTACAGGTGATCTTATTATTCCTTTTTAAAAATGAGGACATGAAAAAGTACGTTTTTAAAAAATGAGGAAATGGAGGCTCCAAAAGATTGAATGATAAGCCAAGGCTTAGTTCCAGCTTTTAAACTCTAAACCATGTGTGTTTCTGCTGCAATACTCACATCTTAAGCCCATATTTAAACATATATCCATATACCTTTAGACTTACCTTGAATTTCATTTGTTTAGCATATATTTGAGTGCCTTTTTGGACCAGACGCTGTGATGTGTTCATGGGATACTTGGAGTAAAGTTAAATAAAAATGAAATTTATCATCTCTGTCCCCAGGACATTTAAGAATCTAGCCAGACAAAACATAAAACATTATAACTGTTATTTATAATAGTATAATAGTATAGCTGTGATTACAATAGTATACCTCATTTTCTGACATCAGTAGGGAATGAAAAGGTTCTACCTACAGACTTTCAGGTCAGTGGAAAACAAAAAACATCTTTGAAATGTTAACTATTCATATTGAATGACTTTTACGTAATTACATATTACATAATTCCCAGCCTGTTTACATGGAAGATCTCATGTGTACTTCAACCTTTAAAAAATGACTGTAGGTTCTTGTGAACAATGACGGTTTTATCTTGAGTAATTGAGGAAGGTTTTCAGGGATGACAGAGGCGCTGAAGCCTGGCCGTTTTCCCTTCCCACCGAAGATCAGAGACTGCTGTGATGTTTCTTTTAGTTCTTTGGCTTCTCTTTATGTTTTTCATCTCACCTTTCTTTTTTCAGGCTGTTAGCTGTCTCTTCCTATCAGTGTTAATGGATCTCACTCACCCTTCAGTGCAAGCCATCTGTCCTCAGTTTTTAACTTTAGCAAGGGGTTGGAAACCAGATCATGAAGCTTGGTAGAATTACAAATGAATTAAGAATAAAGAAAGAGTGATTAAACCTGATGGACTTCCCTAGGAGTAATCATGATCTTTAATATATGATACGGAATATCCATTGTGCCTCAGAAACTCTTTTGTTTTCTTTAGGGTTGACCAGGACATAGAATTGTATAATCTAACATACCACCTCAAGTAGAAATTTCCTTTAGCATCTCTGCCAAGTGTTCATCCAGCTTTCAATAAGAGAAAACACCTTCTCTTGAAAGATGACTTCTTTTCTCTTGAAAGATGACTTCTTTTCTCATTCCCAGCTCTGTTTTGTGTGGTTGATGCTGCTAGAAAATTGAACCCCAAGTTAATGTTTGTTGAATAGATTTTTTTTTTTTTTGAGATGGAGTCTCACTCTGTCGCCCAGGGCTGGAGTGCAGTGGTGTGATCTTGGCTCACTGCAATCTCTGCCTCCCAGGTTCAAGTTATTCTCCTGCCTCAGCCTCCCAAGTAGCTGGGACTACAGGCACATGCCACCAAGCCTGGCTAATTTTTTGTATTTTTAGTAGAGATGGGGTTTCACCGTGTTAGCCAGGATGGTCTCGATCTCCTGACCTCGTTATCCGCCCAGCTCCGCCTCCCAAAGTGCTGGGACTACAGGCGTGAGCCACTGCACCCAGCCAAGTAGATTTTTATTTTTAATTTTCTTTCCTGGTTTTTCCTCTTTTTTTTAAATTATACTTTTAAGTTCTAGGGTACATGTGCACAACGTGCAGGTTTGTTACATACATATACATGTGCCGTGTTGGTTTGCTATACCCATTAACTCATCATTCCTAATGCTACCCCTCCCACATCCCCTCCCCCCATGACAGGCCCCAGTGTGTGATGTTCCCCGCCCTGTGTCCGAGGGTTCTCATTGTTCAATTCCCACCTATGAGTGAGAACATGCAGTGTTTGGTTTTGCTCAGAATGATGGTTTCCAGCTTCATCCATGTCGCTACGAAGGACATGAACTCATCCTTTTCATGGCTGCATAGTATTCCATGGTGTATATGTGCCACATTTTCTTAATCCAGTCTATCATTAGTGGACATTTGGGTCAGTTCCAAGTCTTTGCTATTGTGAATAGTGCCGCACTAAACATACGTGTGCATGTGTCTTTATAGTAGAATGATTTATAATCCTTTGGGTATATACCCAGTAATGGGATTGCTGGGTCAAATGGTATTTCTATTTCTAGATCCTTGAGTAATCGCCACACTGTCTTCCAGAATGGTTGAACTAGTTTACACTTCCACCAACAGTGTAAAAGCATTCCTATTTCTCCACATCCTCTCCAGCACCTGTTGTTTGCTGACTTTTTAATGATCGCCATTCTAACTGGTGTGAGATGGTATCTCATTGTGGTTTTGATTTGCATTTCTTTGATGACCAGAGATGATGAGCATTTTTTCATGTGTCTGTTCAACTGAGTAGATTTTTAAAAAGCTGCTTTGCTTCTGTGGTTTGTTGGCACCATAACAGGAGATTCGGTATAATAAGCAATAATAACAGCAGAATTGATTGACCACCACTCTGAGCCAGGCTCTAAGTGCTTTCCATGGCTTAACTCATTTACCCTTCATTACCACTAGATAATTGACAGAGCTCTTACTAATATCCCCATTTCAAAATGTAAAAACTAGCTAGGCACGGTGGCTTACGCCTGTAATCCTAGCACTTTGAGAGGCCAAGGCGGGCGGATCACTTGAGGTCATCAGGAGTTTGAGACCAGCCTGGCCAATATGTTGAGACCCTGTCTGTACTAAAAATATCAAAAAAATTATCCGTGCGTGGGGGCACATGTGTGTAATCCCAGCTACCTGGGAGGCTGAGGCAGGAGAATCGCTGGAACCTGGGAGACGGGGCTGCAATGAGCTGAGATCACACCATTGCACTCCAGCCTGGGCGACAGGGTGAGACTTTGTCTCAAAAAATAAAAAATAAATAAAAACTGAGGTTTTGGAGGTAAAAATCATACAGCTAATGATAAGTGGAGGTGAGGTGTAAACATAGGCTGTGTGCTTCCAGAGACTGGCACCAACCACTTTGCTCTACTGCTTTTCTGTGACATTTAGAGACTTAAGAACATATGATTTGGGAATGAGAGAATGAGGTTTGAGTCCCACCTGTTACTAGCTTTCGTTATCGCTATTACCCAGAACACCGATGAACCGGGTAAAAGTACTGCACCTACACGGGCTCCAAAGTCTTTGTTTTTGGAATGCTTAATACTATGTGTGAGGTTTTGGAATGTCATTTTTCTAGTAGTCCAAAGCTATAACTTCTAATATTGGTAGTGAATTTTATATACATGGTAGAAGCATAAAATATGTAATCCTGAGTCTTGTTTAGCTCAAAGTGTATCTGACAGAAAGGAGTTTTTGTTCCATCCATAAGTAGAAATACTTTTTTTTTTTTTTTTTTGAGACAGAATCTCACTCTGTCTTCCAGGTTGAAGTGCAGTGGCGTGATCTGGGCTCACTGCAACCTCCTTCTCCCGGCTTCAAGCAATTCTCCTGCCTCAGCCTCCCCAGTAGCTGGGATTACAGGCACCCACCGCCACGCCCAGCTAATTTTTGTATTTTTAGTAGACACGGGGTTTCCCTGTGTTGCTCAGGCCGTTCGCAAACTCCTGAGCTCAGACAGTCTGCTCACCTCGGCCTCCCAAAGTGCTGGGATTACAGGCGTGAGCCACCACGCCCGGCCTAAGTGGAAACACTTTTATTTCAACTCTGGGAGTTTTCTCCAAGTACAGTTAAGCAGATAATCATATAGCAGTTTGGATTAGACCAAGTGCATATGTTCCTTTGCCTTTAGGATTTCTCTAAAGTTTGTGGACTAAAACTTTGGCACATCAAGTTTTTAAACTTTGGAGCCCTCTTTGTGACTCATTGGTGGTCAGGTCATCTCAGTAACAAGAGTAAACAGACTGGCTTGCATTCCTAACCAGACCTCCTTCAGAGAGTAAACCATTTCATGGAGTCTGTATTCACTCTGACATCATGTTTTCCTTTATATTTCAACTAGTGAAACGTGTTCCTGGAGCTTCTGAATATCCTGTCAAAGACTTGAGTACCCCTCCAAATTCTTTGGGAAGTGGAGGAAATGTGGGGCCTGCAACCAGCCCTGCCAGAAGCAGTGACATGTTATATCTGATCGTTGGCTGTGTGCTGGGCGTCATGGTCCTCATTCTGATGGTTTTCATTGCAATGTGCCTGTGGAAGAATCGCCAGCAGAATACCATACAAAGTAAGTCACTCATAAATATCTCCTTCTCTTTTTCTAAAGGTGGGTAGACAAATATTGTCAGAATAAATATTGATTTCTAACACTGTTGTATATTAGTGTCATGGTATGAAACACATTAGATACTCTTCATTCAGAGGAGATGACTTTAAAACTGTTCTAGCTGTCAGCCAGAGTAAGTGGAGCATCAAATTAAATTGCCCAGCAGACATAAACACCAAAGCCAAAACTAAGCAGGTCTCTAAGTAAATAGCTGACTTATTGCTGGGAAACTCCGGCTTTGTTGGACCACCAAAGAGGACGCATATTTGAAGCCTGAGCTCTGGAATTGCTGTAGGAACACCTTTACACTGGTACAGAGCTTGTCAACAGGGAATAGAAAAGCCATGATGGAAAGCAGGTAGTGAAAACTTGTCTAAGTCACTGTCACTGAATGACACTTCACCGATGAGGATAACGCAGCCCTGTTTCTGTACCTGATGGACTCAAGACTGCTCCAGCATGGCGTCCTCTCCCTGGAGTGTGTCTAGGAATACGTGTGCTTGAACATCGATGATGGCCCTGCTTTGAAATAACAGTGAAGTAACCTAGAACCCCCTTTCTCTTTTCTCTTCCTTCAGTTCTCTTCACCTCACTGTCCTACTTTTCCTGTTATCTCAGCTATTATAAAATAGGGTAATCAAATCAAGCAGAGAGTTTAGTCTTTGGTGGGAGGAAGTTTTTTGGTTTCCCCTTTGGCTCCAGAATAAGGAAATGAAAGAAAAGTGAGGGAGGACCCCAGCAGGCACTTCCAGTGGCTGTTAGCCAGTTCTCACGCATGCTCCCCTTTTAGTTACCAGTTCTGGGGGAAGAAAGTACTCTGTTTGTATTGAATGATGCCTTCCAAGAGATAGGGGGAGAGATGGTGGCTGCATCAGGCTGAAATGGATGGTGATCATTTGATTTTCTAAGTGGTTTTAATGCCATCGCCTTTAATTGTGTGAGTGCGTGTTGAATCATGAAAAGAGAAGTATTAATCTGAAAGGGATGGTGATCATTTGATTTTCTAAATGGTTTTAATGCCATTGCCTTTAATTGTGTGAGTGCGTGTTGAATCATTAAAAGAGAACATTAATCTGGTCGTCCCAGCCATATTAATCAGATTAAAGTCATCCTACTTTGTGACCTGATAATGTTTAAAAATGGAAAATTCTCATGGTGGTGTTCATTCAGTCATTTATTCAAAAGATAATCATCGTCTTCTGTATACCAGGCACTGTTCTGGACAGTGGAGATGTAATGGTAAATAAAATAAACACCACCTCTGCCCTCTCAAAGTGTGTAGCTTAGTGAGACCACAAGCAGGTGTACTGAGACTACACACCTGGGCGAGAGCACACAGTAATGTGGGCAGCTAAGGAAAGGAGGGACACCTAATCCAGCCTTGGCAAGCTCTCCTACCTTCGAAGAATTTATCCAGACTCCAACAACAAATCCTGTACAGTTTGGACACTCTAGTTTCTAAGAGATACTTTACTTTTTCTAAATATATCTGGTAGATGTGCCTCTGGAAATCAGTTTTGAGGCAGTCATTTGTATGCTTTTAATAGAAGAAAATAGAAGGCTGGGCGGAGTGGCTCACGCCTGTAATCATAGCACTTTGGGAAGCCGAGGTGGGCGGATCACGAGGTCAGGAGATCGAAACCAACCTGGCTAGCACGGTGAAACCCTGTCTCTACTAAAAATACAAAGAATTAGCCGGATGTGGTGGCACGCACAAGCTACTTGGGAGGTTGAAGCAGGAGAATTGCTTGAACCCGGGAGGCAGAGGTTGCAGTGAGCCAAGATCACGCCATTGCACTCCAGCCTGGGCAACAAGAGCGAAACTCCATCTCAAAAAAAAAAAAAAAAAAAAAAAAAAAAAAGAAAATAGAATCACTTTTTGCCTTTGGTACTCCACACCTTCCAAATTGGCTGTAATGACTAAGGAGCTATATGAATGATCAGTGACTGTATATACAACTCCATCCTTTTACTTAACAGAGTTGTTTATTGCTACTTGAAATACCCCACCTAAAGCTAGTCTTTTGTTGTCATTTTATGCAGTTTTTTTCAGCACTTAGAAGTATAATATATAGGAGTTTAAGCACTTTTTCCTAGTATTGCCAGTACTCTGATAGTTTCAGCTTGCCCAATATATTCATTCTCTTTTGAGTAATTTCTCCCTAGGTGATTTTTCTTCCCGTTAACAGAATCATAATTAACTCAGAGTTCACAGCTATCTCTACACTCTATGGAAAATAATAGCAGTAACTTTATTAAAGCATGTCTTACAAGTAGGCTTTAAGTGAACATTTTAAAAATGTTTTTATTTTAGTCTATTTGTAGTTTCGTAGGGGTTTTATCTGTAAGACCTTCTCAGCAAGAAGATTGTCCTTTTTAGTGTCTTACTGTGTGCGTGTGTGCGTGTGTGCGTATGTGCATGTGTGCATGCGTGTGTGCGTATGTGCATGTGTGCGTGCGTGTGTGTGTGTGCGTGTGTGTCTTTTTTGTTCTCTTTTAACAGAATATGACCCACCAGGATATCTCTACCAAGGATCAGATATGAACGGGCAGATGGTGGACTACACCACTCTCTCAGGAGCAAGTCAGATAAATGGAAATGTTCACGGAGGCTTCCTAACCAATGGCGGTCTCAGCAGTGGCTATTCCCACCTTCACCATAAGGTCCCCAATGCAGTCAATGGAATTGTGAATGGGAGCCTAAATGGAGGGCTTTACTCCGGGCACAGCAACTCTCTAACCAGGACACACGTGGATTTTGAACATCCTCATCATCTAGTGAATGTAAGAGACCTAACTATAAATAAAAGCCCCTCTGTCCCTCAGGGTGCCAAGTACTAGAACAGGGACAGCATGCTTGGCTTTGTTCAGTATAGAAACCTCACAAGTTTCCTCGAATGGAAACAGCATGGATCACTGGCAGCCCTTTGATCCAGAGTAGTCTTTGTAAGTTGTTTTCTATTGCCAGGTAATAGTTATGTTCATCAGTTTAGTTTCATTTTAAAATTATTTAACACTGAAAGTGGAATACCAGCAGTGAACAGACTGGAAGTTGTTCTTTAGATGAAATGGAAATACCAAATACTTTAAATTTGATTTATCGAGAGCAGGGTCTTGAAAATGCAAATGCCGAAAAGAGTCAGGCAGATCAGGAAATTGTGGGAGTGAGATGGTAGCACTGGAGGCGATGGCCACCTGGAGAGCACAGACAGTGTCTTCAGGAAGCAGCCGCGGTTTGACACTTACAGTCGTCATGGACTGAGGGCGCAGTGTTGCCAAATTTTCTGATTTTTCAAAACCTCTGTAAATCCAAGTGAAATTGACAGATTTTTACATGCTGGCACCTAATTCAAATTTTTGAAAACATACGTAGGCCATGCCAAACATCTCTGCAGGCCACCGGGTTGTGACTTCTGACCTTTCATGGGCTTCTTTTGTTTGTTTTGCCCAATATGTTTTGTTGTTGTGGCTGGTAAGCTTTTTACATTTTACAATGTTAGTATTCTTTAGCCACACAAAGAGTGATAAACCCTTAAGACAACCTTATTTCAGAGATAACTAGTTGATAGCGTTTAATTTTTGAAATGGTAGTAGAATGACTAGCATATTTTAGACTTACGTGGGGTTCTCTGCACTAGAAAGTTTGATTTATGACATTGTTTGGATGCACATCTATATTACTTTTGATCAAATAGATAATTTGTTTAATTGATGGAATTAAGCATTCAGTTTTTGTCATTGTTCTGATTACAAATAAATTTACCATGACCCACAATGTGCTACAATTTGAAGAAGCTTAGAGTTTTTTTTCCCCCCATCTTCAGTTTATTAAAGATTTATTAAAATCTATTTGGAGAACAAAACTAATATATACTCATATTTTAAAGCTAGAAATTGAATAGCTTTTATGTGACCTAGCTTTTGTATGTTGTGGAAGAAATATTAATTTGCTTTAATGCATCTCATTACTAAAAGAGAATCATGATTTCACTATTTTGTGTGGAAAGATACAGCATGTATTCAGACTTTCTAAGCTTTTTTGGTCACCATTCCTAGTCCAAACTACTACCATTGTCCAAGAAAACTGAAGGAGAGAGCATTAACATTTGAATAGCACACACTGTTTCCATAAGAAGAAAACATAAGGCCCATGTTCGCTTTAGTGTTTGAACACGGAACCTTGGGTTTTTTGAACAATGAATTTCTATTTAAATAATAGGTGCCCCATTTGGTGTACAATGTCAGAAGTTATCTGTGATTCTAAATTATTCGTTTTCTTACTTTTCTGGGTGGGGGAAATAGAGAAATTTTAACAGTGTTAGTGACCCTAAAAATCATTGCACTAACTTCAACGTGTTGAGGGATTCAGAGAATCCGTAAGTCACAACGTTACCCTGCAGGTTGTGAACTTCATTTTCTGAGCCTTTCAGGTTTTCCCTCAGATGGAATATAGTATAGGAGAGTTCTTTCTCTCGATATGTTCTTAATAATTCCTGTTGCTGGTTGGATCAGAAACACTGAAGGAAATTTTCAGGACTTTTGGTTTGCTTAGATTCTGGCTACTGTTATGAAATGAATGGAAATGGAAAGTATTCTAGGAAAAACAATTGCCTGAACTTTTCCTAACCTTGAAGGCCTGCTTTGGGTTTGGGTGCAGTGTGACAGCCTCTCCCACCTTTTATCAAATTCAGTTCTGCTGTTTTTCTTCTGAAAGCAGAATTCTGCCTCTGACTATCAGGCTAGTTTAATTTTTAACTTCATTTTTGAAGAACCTTGCTGTCTGTCAAGTGAACATTTTACAATGAGGTATGTGTTAATCTGGGCATTTTTCTTAATTGCTGGGCAGTTTCCGCCAAAAGCAACATCCAAATATTAACACACCCCCTCCAAGTCATTGCTGGCTGAAGATCTACTCCATCTGGAAAAATATAGCATGCTTTAAAACTTAGCGTTGTCAAGTGAACAGACCTAATTGAAATAATTACAGGAAAATGAAGATGAGTTTATCATGTGACATCATCTACACAGGTTTTACACCCTGTTTCTCCAACTGGTATCACATGAAATTCTTCCCTGACTGCCAAGAAAGGGAAAATGAATGGAGGCTATAACATATAATGTATTTTGAGCCCACTAGATTTGAAGGGAAGTGACTAAACTTTTCCCTTCATTTATTTACCTTTGTCTAGTACAGAAATACGTAGGAAAACATGGCAGTGAAGTTTTTGGAATACAGTTAAATCTAATGCAGAACTCTCATTCACTCCTTTGTGAATATGGGTCAGTGATATTCACAATGACGTTGCTCTGGGAGTTGGTTAGAATATACTGTGTGCCCATTTATGGTTGACATGGCTCATGTGTATTTGTGATTATTTGGCTACTGGTCTGTGAGTACCTTCAGCATTCCTTCTTCTTTTCTTTTTCTCTGACACTCCTTCCTGTCCAGGGTGGTGGAATGTACACGGCCGTGCCTCAGATTGACCCTCTGGAGTGTGTTAACTGCCGAAATTGTCGAAACAACAATAGGTATGTTAATAATGTGTCTGCACAAGCTGTTGTGAATAAGGCATATGCATCCTTTTATTTTTCCCTTCAGCAAAGAAAGTTCTTGGAATTTTACCTAGGATATAAAGTTCAGGATTTGCAATCTTAAATTTAAAGCTGTTACTAATTTTTTGCCTCTGCTTTCCAATTTTTGTCTTTTTGTGCCTCGGTTTCTTCAGCTATATAGAAACCATCTTAAAGGCTCTATTTGTCACTGAAATATTATTATAAGGCTTAATGTTTTTGAAAATTTTAAATTAGAGTCATTCTCTGTTATAAAGACTTTATCTTTTCTCACCTTTTATTTTCTACTCTATGTTATGGGATGTTATGAGGATGAATGACAGTGTTTCTGAGTGTTGGGGGGAGGGGGGAACCCTCTGTATATAGTAATTTTTTTCACAGTAATGTTACTGAAATTTTCCTACCAGATTATCCAGTGTTTTTTTTTAATTCTTAAAATCTTAAGAAAATTAAGCAGCAAACCCTTGCTTTGAATTTTGTGTTTTAATTTTAAAAGTGGTATGTACTCACAATATTTCAAACAAGATAGAAATATGGAGAGCAATGTGCATTTAACACATAGGATACTCGGCACACTTTCCTACGACCTCTCTCTATGGTAATCCCAAGGATTACCAAGCTTTTTGTTGTATTAAAGTTGTTTCAGAAATCTTAGTTCTTTCTTTTACATAATGATGTTATTGAATTACATGGTGTCAAAAGTCCTTCCTTCTCAGTCCTAAAACTCTACAACCAAAAAGATTATGTCATAGTTAGTACATAAAATAACTGGAGTATGGGTGGGAGTTTAGATATTTTATTATTGAAATGATGTTTGACCTATATATTTAAAATGGATTAACAGGTTAAGAGTTGTCTCTGGGAGTTATTGAAACCAGAACTTGAAGAAGGATCAGGCCAACCATCAAATTAAAAATACGTTGTTCCAGCCTGTGTTTTGAGAGTTGCAGAACAAAAGCAACAGAGCTTCTTGGAGATTGTTTGTTATCATTTACTTAACCCATTTCAGGGTGTCTATAAAAGAGCCATCTGCTTCTTTTATGTACTAAGGTTTGCTTGTTACGTATTTAAATTCTATATGACCCTGGTTTTGCAAATGTTCATAACATTGAAACCACATTTTTGTCTTGAGCTTTTCATGGACTTTACCGTAGTTTGTTAGGCAACGTGCTAAAGACCTGGTAAAGGTGGTTCATGTACCTGGCGAGTAATCAGACGGATTTAGTTACAAGTGGTCTTGCTTAAAATTTTAACGTGTTTTCTTTTGTGGTTCTTGGTCATCAGCAGATCTTGGTTCTCCTGGACAATAGAATGGTATAACGACAGGATCTCTGGTCTAAGAATAAGTAGACCTGGGCTGTGACATAGCTTAAACCTGTGATCTTGCGAAAGTAACGTAATGTTTCTGAAGCTATTTCCTTAACTAAAAAGGGGAAAATTGTCCTAGGTAATGTAAGATTGCTCCCAACATAATCTGACGGTAGTCTCTGGCAATTTCCTGCCAATCATGTCTTTTTGATGAAGTATCATCTTAATATCAAGAATGCATCCCATTTCCTTAGAAGGACTTATATGACCTCTGCCATTTAAATGACCTTGGCTTTGTGGCTATTTGTATGTGTAGTGTGTGTGTGTGTGTGTGTTTGTGTGTGTGTGTGCATGTGTGTGTATGTAGTATTTTAGTATTTTCAAGTTTTTATTATACAGTTTTTTTTTCCTTTAAGACAATGAACAATTGTATTTCTATTAATTTTCAAGTTAATGACTTACTACATTTCATGTGTGTGGGTTTTACTGTTATCTGGGAATTTAGGTGAATTCTCTTCAGCTTGGAACACCAGATTCTTTTTCTTCCTGGTTTCAATTTTCTTCCTCATGAGAATCTGCCTGTTTAGTGCAAGTCTTTACTTGCCTGCATTGCCTTCAAGGTTAGCCAGTGTCTCACCTGGCTCCCAGGAGCAACTGTATGATTTTGACACTCAATAATTGGACAGATAAGTATCAATAAGTACCTACCTTCAGCTCTAGAAAATTTGAATTATTAAATTTAAAGATTTTAAGTCTTTTCACTTTGGAATTGAGAACAGGTATCTCCTCTTAAGATCTTACAAATGACAAAATTTGTAAAAAGCTGTGAATGCCGAAAGGTAGATGATACGTGGTTTACTCTCAAAATATAGAAAATTATAGTCAATTTATGCTTTTAGAATATCGACATTGTTACTATGAATGAGTTTGCATTTCTGAATATCAGCTGAAATAGTGTAAACATAAAAAGAAGCGTGATTTCAGTTAAGTTATATGAGGGCTATCAAGTGGGCCTCATATGATTTTTGGCTGTTCAGTCAAACAAAACAAAACAAACATTTACTGAGCACTACCCAGGCTCTGGACTAGGTTCTGAGGTGTTTCCCCGTAGAAGGAATGTAAGAACAGTCATGGACGTAGAAAGGATAATGTTTACATAAGAATGAATAGGCGACTTCAGTGGTTCTCAAACTTTAGCGTGCATCACTTGAAACACTTAATAAAAACGCACATTACTAGGCTCTACTCCCACTCCTATTCTTAGACCAGAGTTTCCCATTCAGCAGGTCTAGGGTGGGGCCTGAGAATTTGCATTTCTAATGAGTTCGCAGATGGTACTGATGCCCATGGTCCTGGGACCATGCTTTGAGAACCGCTGGAATAATTTGATCGGCTGTGAAGTGCAACTAGAGAATAGTAGGATATTGAAATTGGACAACTGGACTGAGTTTATATAGTGGATAACCCTGAATGTGAAGGTTTAGTAGTTTATTTAATAAACAAGTCCTATTACTTAATAATAGTCCTATTAAATATTATTTATTAAATAAGCAAGTTTATTTAATAAACAAGGCCTTTTATTGAGTGCCTGTCATGTACTGGGTACTGGCCTAGGCCCTGCCTTCAGAGAGTCCATAGTCTAACAATAGTGATTCTCAGACAGAGGTAGGGATATAGTGAGTAGAGTTTGAAGAAGCACGTTGAGTTTTATAATTTTATATTTAAAGAATAGAAAAAAATCTCTATGTCTGTAATGTCTATGTATACAAGGGTATGCAATTTTTATATTAATCAAAAGGGGATATGCGTTAAATGTTGAGAAACACTGGGGTAGCAGCATCATAATTGTTGCAAAGCTTATTGAGAACAGGAATGATCTGTTCAGAGATATGCTCAGGCTGGATGAAAGATGGCAGTGCACAGGAGGGAAGGGAGGGAGGGGATCAGTGAGACATGGGGAATGGGGATGAAGAGGAAGGGATGAGTGAGACTGCAGACATGGAGTCTTCAGGACTTGGCCATTGACTGACAGGGATCTAGAAAAACAGAAGATTCCAGATGTGTAAGAAGTTTCAAACATGGATGATCTGGGTGGTAGTCATAGTAATAAGAAACTTAATAAAATGATACATCATAAAAAGGTGATAAATTTGGTTTTAGAGTTGAAGTATGAGTTGATATCTTAAGGAGAAAGATGAAAATGCTGGTCTTGGCTTCAGGGGGTAGAATGGAACTGTGATACAGATTTAGGACCATTTTAAGTTCTATCCAAGTAATAGAACTTAAAAACAGATGAGACACCAAAGGAGACAATATCCTTGGCAGATTGATTATTTTTATATATTTAATTATTTGATGCATTTATTTGCTTTTATTATGTATTTAAAGTGATTAGACATTCTTTTTATAAGACATCATATCTTTTGTTATTTTTTCTTACTGCCTTAATACATCTTCAGAGAATAACAGAGATGGGAAAAGGAGAATGATAAAATAAGGAGAGTAAAAAAGAAAAAAAGAATTCCCTCCCTCCCTCCCTCCCTCCCTCCCTCCCTCCCTCCCTTCCTTCCTTCCTTCCTTCCTTCCTACCTACCTACCTACCTACCTACCTACAAATGTTTGCTGCAGGTCTCTAGTGAGCCAAGCACCAAACTAGGTACTGGGGATATGGCAGTGAGCATAACAGGCATTGCTCCTGCCTGCGTGGAGCTTAGAGTTTAATAGGGGAGACATATCTTTTAAGAAAATGACATAAATCGGCGGGGTGCAGTGGCTCACGCCTGTAATCCCAGCACTTTGGGAGGCTATGGCGGGCGGATCACCTGAGGTCAGGAGTTTGAGACCAACCTGGCCAATGTGGTGAAACCCCATCTCTACTAAAAATACAAAAATTAGCTGGGCATGGTGGCAAGTGTCTGTAATCCCAGCTACACCGGAGGATGAAGCAGAAGAATCACTTGAACCCGGGAGGCAGAGGTTGCAATGAGCCAAGATCACGCCACTGCACTCCAGGCTGGGCAACAAGAGCGAAACTCTGTCTCAAAAGAAAAAAAAAATGACATAAATAATAAAAATGAATATGTAATTAAATCTGGATGCTTTAAAGGAAAAGTAAAGAATGTGGGAGAGAGGAAAGCCCTCTGTAAGCAAGTGGCATTTTGCTGAGCTCTGAAGATTTATAAAATTAGGTCTAAGGGAAGGAAATAAGTTTAGAGCTTTCCAGGCAAAGGGGACCATTTATACACAATCTCTAAAACAGAATGCCTGAATCCTCAAAGAACTTAAAGAAGGCCAACATAGCAGAAACCTAGTAACTGGAGGAGTCAGAATTAAAAGGCGAGTGAAATCAGATCACACAGAGCCATGGCACATCTGTGGATGGTTTTAAGCAGGAATTCGTTTTTGTTTTTGTTTTTGTTTTCTGAGATGGAGTCTCACTCTGTTGCCCAGGCTGGAGTGCAGTGGCACGATCTTGGCTCACTGCAACCTCCACCTCCCGGGTTCAAGCAATTCTCTGCCTCAGCCTCCCAAGTAGCTGGGATTACAGGTGCCCGCCACCACGCCCGGCTAATTTTTTGCATTTTTAGTAGAGACGGGGTTTCACCATGTCAGTCAGGCTGATCTTGAACTCCTAACCTCATGATCCACCCGTCTTGGCCTCCCAAAGTGCTGGGATTACAGGCATGAGCCACCATGCCCAGCTGAATTTGGGTTTTTAAAGAACACTCTGGATGCAGTTTGGAGACTAAATTGGATGGGGCAGGAGAGGATACCTGGAGACCAGTTAGATGGCAGTTGCAGTAGTCCAGATGAGAAACAGTAGACTAGCATAGTTGTAGGGAGAGAAAGAGAAGAATTTTGAGAGAATTAGGATTTAGAAGGAGATGAGTCTGAATGAGTCTGAGGGATTTAAAAAAAAAAAAAAAAAAAAAAAAGACCAAGTAATTGGTTGAAGAGGCCAGTGGAGGAAGCAGTTGAAGATGATGTCTAGGTGTCTGGGCGCAGTCACTGAGGCAGAGAACACTGCAGGAGATGAAGAGGAGCTGCCCCACAGTATACTTCTGGAGAGTTGTCCTCTGAGATCTGGTGGTGCCTCTGCAATTCGCCTTCTTTATTCCACAGATACTGAGAACTGGAGAAGTCTTGCATGGGGCCTTTTCCGTACGGACTCTTACCTGCTCTGTGCCCTGCCACTCCAGGTTCTTTTTTCTCTGCCTTCTCAGTTGTAAACTTAAGCATATTTCTTGGAGTGAGCTTTTAAGAAACATTGCCAACCCTTGACCCCTTTTATCACCCATCTATTTTAGTAATAACCATCTGGAGGGAAAACGTTGCCTCTATTATGTAAATGAGAGTATGATGTGAAAAGTTGAGAGCAGGTGAGGGGAGGGTGCACTGTATAGATCTGTGGGGAAGTTGTAGTTGATTCTGGGGCTCTTGTGACATGCTGTAAATGACCGCTTGCCTCACTGGGTTCCATGACCTTGAATCCTTTTTAGTTTCTTTTGATTTTCTTTTGTTTTTTTTGAGACAGAGTCTCACTCCAGTACCCAGGCTGGAGTGCAGTGGTGTAGTCTTGGCTCACTGCAACGCCGCTTCCTGGGTTCAAGCGATTCTCATGCCTCAGCCTCCTTAGTAGCTGGAATTACAGGCGTGTGGCACCATGGCTGGCTAATTTTTTTGTATTTTTAGTAGAGACGGAGTTTTGCCATGTTGGCTAGGCTGGTCTCGCACTCCTGGCCTCATGTGATCTGCCCGCCTCGGCCTCCCAATGTTCTGAGATTACAGGCGCGAGCTACCGCGCCTGACCCCTTTGCAGTTTTTAAGAGTAATATGTAAAGCTCACTATGAATGCCTAGAAAGAAGCATATTTAAGGCAGCTTTGCAGAGAGCCAGTTCCTTACACCAGAGACCTAATCAAGAAATCCTTGTGCCATTTGGGCATTTCAAGAGTTAAATGGATTTTAATCAAAAAACATCGAAAGCTTTCTACCCTTCTCTTCTCTTCTCCTGAATTCAAAAGGCAGTAATGCAGTTCTGGATATGTAATTAAATGTGGCTTATCAGTTGCTTGGCTAGTTTAATGGAAAGGGATTGGCATTAAATCTGGTCTTTTTTAGCATCAGCCTTGATAATTTGTAAGAGAGAGTAGAGAGGACACTGATGAAATTCACAGATGAACGGACCGAGAGACCCCATCAGGAAGGAATGAGAAATTAACTCGAAGGGTCGTAGAGAGACTGGAGATGGACAGGAAGTCTCCCAGCGAAAATCAGCTTGGAAAAATTATATAATTCATCTGGGAAAAAAAGTACAAATTACATGGCTGATAGTCAAGAGAAGTAGTAAAACTACTGGGAACGGTGCTTTAGAGAACAGAGATACTACAAATGACTTCAGAGTTTTGTATAATGACAACCTTAAAAGTCTGTGTGTTGGATTTGGGAATGCTCTTTCACCAACTTGAAACCCTCCGTGGATGTCAGATGTCCTCCGATGACAACAACATGTAGAGATGAATATGAGAACATTAATTATTATTATTTATTTATTTATTTATTTATTTATTTAGAGACAGAGTCTCGCTGTGTCGCCCAGGCTGGAGTGCAGTGGTGCGATCTCGGCTCACTGCAAGCTCCACCTCCCAGGTTCACGCCATTCTCCTGCCTCAGCCTCCTGAGTTGCTGGGACTACAAGTGCCCGCCACCACACCCAGCTAATTTTTTATGTTTTTAGTAGAGATGGGGTTTCACTGTGTTAGCCAGGATGGTCTTGGTCTCCTGACCTCGTGATCCGCCCGCCTTGGCCCCCCAAAGTACTGGGATTACAGGCGTGAGCCACCGGAGAACGTTAATTATCATAGCAGTTCTTTCAGGCCTAAGGTTTGATCTACCCAGTTGGTTTGCTAAGTATTAAAACAACAAGTTGTCCAGTTCACCTGAGCTTTTTCTTCCAGCAGAAAACAGGCATTCAGCTTCTCTTCCATCTATGGTAATCTCCCTATTTCCCTAAGAAATTCAGAGTGCTGTGTTGAATTTTAAAAATTGATCAGTGCTTTCCTTTTGGGGAAGTTATATATCTCCCCAAGTCTGTCTCGTACTTCTAAGATGGAGACCTAGCGCCTGTTGTCAGGGAGTCCAGCTTTTTGTCTTTCTTTATAAGCTCGTGTGTGTCTGTCAACTTGCCATGTTCAGGAATACACTCAGTCATTTGTTGTCACTCAACATTTACTGTCATGTTTTATGTGACAGCTGCTGATAGATTAATTCCCAAAAGGAAACTCCCACTCTAATGCTGCGGTCATCGCAGCATCCAACAGAGCAGATATCGAGAAGGGAAGACGGCCATGGCCCTGGAGCGGTGCCATCAGGGTTCTTTAGGTAGTAACTGATAAGCTCCCGAAAATAAGAGCTGGGTCAGCAAAATGACACAGTGACTAGTGGAAACAGCAGAGGTGAGTGGAATTTTAACATAAACTACTGGCCGGGTGCGGTGGCTCACGTCTGTAATCCCAGCACTTTGGGAGACTGAAGCAGGCAGATCACGAGGTCAGAAGTTCGAGACCAGCCTGACCAACATGGTGAAACCCCATCTCTACTAAAAAAACAAAAATCAGCCAGGCGTGGTGGCGCGCGCCTGTAATCTCAGCTACTCTGGAGCCTGAGGCAGGAGAATTGCTTGAATCCGGGAGGCAGAGGTTGCGGTGAGTCGAGATCGCGCCACTGCACTCCAGCCTGGCGACAGAGCAAGACTCTGTCTCAAAAAAAAAAAAAAAAAAAAACATAAACTACCACCAAGATGTAACTATTTCCGAAGTCTCAAGAATATATGCATGAGAACAAGTATCACACATCCAAGAAATTCACGGATAGTTCTTTCCCTCTAGGCATAATCAAAAGAGGAAACTTAATGCAAAAATTATATAGTCATCTAATCAGAGTAATTCTGTACATAATCATGCTTAACAAATATTCAACTGTGTAATCAGAAGTGGAATACTTCGAATACATTCTAGAAAATATTTCAGAGGTGCTGTATAGTTTTACAAGAATATTCTTCCAAGCACAATCCTACACTACTCTTCCAATCTTCTATTTCCTAGTCTGCTATTCAGAGTGTTGCTTAAAGAATATTTTATTATTTTTTGTGATACCACAATAGTCATTTTCCTATCTTTCAGATTGGTCAGACAGGCCTTTCCTGTGTTACTAAAAGGTATCTTAGTAAACTAACAGGTCCCAGACCACCTGAGGTTTTACAAAACAGCTTAGATTTTTGTATGTAGCAAGATGCATAGAGCTCCATTTACTCAATGTTTTTAAACTTAAGATTAAACAAAGTAGTTTCATTGAGCTAGAGAAAACTCAGTAAAAACTTTTATTCCACCTTAAGCCAGTAATAACTGCATTTGAAAGACCATTTGAGAAGCCTAAGATAGTGAAGTTACAAACTATTTGCATTATATAAACTGTAAAATGTGCATTGTGAGAGCATTTTATTGAATGTCATATGTTTGCAGACATTTGTCCTGTTTTCTTATTTACTACCTTAGATTTGTCTCTTAAGTTTACATATGTACAGATATGATTTTTGTGATCATCTAATTGCTTTGGAAATTTTAACTAAAGCATTATTAGTAAAATATTTGTTTTCACGGTCCAGGCGTGGTGGCTCACGCCTGTAATCCCAGCACTTTGGGAGACTAAGGCAGGCGGATCACCTGAGGTCGGGAGTTCAAGACCAGCCTGACCAACATGGAGAAACCCTGTCTCTACTAAAAATACAAAATTAGCTGGGCATGGTGGCGCATGCCTGTAATCCCAGCTACTCGGGAGGCTGAGGCAGGAGAATCACTTGAACCTGGGAGGCGGAGGTTGCAGTGAGCTGAGATCACGCCATTGCACTCCAGCCTGGGCAATGAGAGCAAAACTTCATCGCAATGATAATAATAATAATAGTTTTCATATATCATGTCTGGTTATATTCAGAACAGACTATGTTCCTTTTTAGCAGATGATGTTCTTTATGCCTGTATCTCAACATGTAACCCCTAAGTTAAAGCCATTTTTATGCTGACACATGTAGACATCTGGAATTGAACTAAAAGTAATTTAACTGAATCATTTACATTTGGTTAGCTAATTGGTTAATTACTGATGATTATGAGTTAAGATTCAGTGTACTAGAAAATTTTAAATCAATGTGGTTGATGCTGAAATTCAGGTCACAGTTGCTTTACAGATCTAACTCCCAAGTATGTTACCGTCAACACCACTCTAGTGACTGAGGATCATAGTTCAGAATAAAGTAAACACTGCTATGATTTCCTGTTTTACTTATCTGAAAAACAGATGCTAAAGAGTAGGTAATAGGAAATTGTACTTCTCTCTTGCTAAATATCTGGAATTTCTTTAAGAAGTGTGTGTATTTCATACGCCTGTTAGCTCCCCATAAAACCTGTGTCGACACGCTGATAACCACACTTGTGGTTGGCCCTTGCGCCTCTGTCTCGCCCGCTCCTCCAGTCCTGCCCCATGTGTAAAACTTCACTGTCACTCTGACAGAAGTACTTTACAAACTATTAGTCTGCCTTTAGACTTCATTAAAAAATCTCATTCTGTAACTTGGCTTTAAATTAAAGACAAGAGCAGAAAAAAAGAAATTAAACAGAAGGAAGCAGAAGGCTTTGAGGGCATCTCATTGTCTGGCGAGTCATCATTGTTTTGTTATATCAACATTATGAGTTCATTCAAGTTCAATCTGTATAAACAGGTTATTAATTTCTAATATTTTGTAGGGAACTGTCCTAGGTTTTCAAATTCTGGCAAATATGTGTATATGCATTTTTTTTCCTGTATCTTAATTTTATTTCTTTTAAATGAAAACTTTTCTTTCTGATCTGATACTTCTCCATCTTTAAAATATAGGTTTTAGCCAGGCGTGGTGGCCCACACCTATAATTCTAGCACTTTAGGAGGCTGAGGTAGGAAGATTGCCTGAGCCTAGGAGTTCAAGACCAGACTGGGCAACATAATGAGACCCCCTTCTCTACAAAAAAAATTTAAAAATTTTTCAGGAATGGTAGCACGTGCCTGTAGTCTGATTGAGTCTGATGCAATATGGAAGAATATACTGGGACTAGTCTCTACCTAGAATGTGGGAAGTGCCCTATTCTCATAGCCTCAGCTGCTCTGGAGGCTAAGGTGGGAGGATCACATGAGCCAGGGAGGTCAACGGTGCAGTGAGCCATGATCGTACCCAGCCTGGGCAACAGAGTGAGACCCATAAAGAAAATACAGGTTTCTAGTAGCTTTTTATTACCTCCAGATTCTTGCAGAGCAATGCGACATCAAGGCAGAAGATCACTTAGTGTATTTTAGGCCATCACTGTTGAGGGATTTCATTAAGTACCTGACTGTGCTGTGTGTCCTAAGGTATCTGACACTGAGAACTGTCATTGCGTTTGCTCCAGGAGATTGAAGTGTAAGTCAGACAACTTTGAAGCAGACAGATAATAGAAGGACCTTACAGATCACAGAATCAATATTGAACTAGGACAGAAATAACTATCATTAAAAAAGCAAAAAGTCTGATGTTCTAATGTTTATCATTTTTAAAAAACATTTTTGAGGTCCTATTGTGTGTCATTTTCTATGTGCTTGGTGCTAGCCATTATGACATTAGTTAGAGTTTAATGTGAATTAGGACTTTTACGACTTTCCAGACAATACAAATACTTTAGAACATTTTTAACTCCATTTCCCCCTCCAGTGTTTTGTGTTGTTTTCTTCATATGTTTGTATTCTAAAAATATTTAAAATCCTCTAAGATATTAACATTACTGCTTTTGCAATCCATATTTATTCAGAATTCCCTGCATTCTTTTTTTGTTGCTACTCATTCCTTTCTGTATTTCCTTTTTTTTTTTTAAATCTGTTGCTAGTCATTTTCCTTCAACTTGAAGAACTTCCCTTAATATTTCTTACAGTACAAGACTGAAGGTGACAGATTTTCCCAGCTTTGTTGTCTAAGAATATCTTTAATTTGTCTTCCTTTTTGAAGGTTTTTTCTTTTTTTTTTTAACCTCTAATTGACTTCTAGATTGGCAGTTACTGTCTTTCTGTACTTTAAAGACATTATTCTGTTACTTTATTGCTTCCATCATTTCTGTTGAAAAATCATCTGTACAGCTATTGTTGTTCCCTTTCAAGGTAATACATCTTTTTCTTCTGGCTGCTTTTTTTGATTTTGTCTTTGTATTTTGCTTCTACCCATTTAATTATTGGCATTGATCGGTGTAATTTTCTTTGTATTCTGCCTGGGGTCCACAGAGCTTCTTGGATCTGCGGCTTGAGCTTTCATCAGGTTTAGAAAACTCTTAGCTTCTGTGTCTCCAGTGCGGCTTCTGTTGCATTCTCTCCTTTCCCCCTGCAGAGAGACTCCAGTTAAATACAGAGTTTTTCGCCATACGGTGCCTCCTCTGTTCCTTCAGCTGCTTTCATATTTTCCATCCCTTGTCGTGGGAACTGATGTGCTTCGTGGTCAGCAATCCTCTGTTCGCCTGTGCCCAGCATGCTCTTATCCCCATGTCTTGAGTTCTTAAAGTTCGGTTACTTTACTGTTAATTTCAGAATTTCCAAGTGATTATTATTATTAGATTCTAGTTCTCTGTTAAAATTCTTGTCATCTACTTTATTGAATGTATTCATCCAGTTTTTAAAGTCTTTGCTCACTCACTATCTGCATCACTTGTTTTTCTCTTGTTCTTGTCTCCTGATGTGCCCAGTACTTTTTATCGAATTTTTTTTTTTTTTTTGAGATGGAATTTCGCGCTTCTTGCCCAGGCTGGCGTGCAATGGCATGATCTTGGCTCACCACAACCTCTGCCTCTCGGGTTCAAGCGGTTCTCCTGCCTCAGCCTCCTGAGTAGCTGGGATTACAGGCATGCGCCACCACGCCTGGCTAATTTTTTGTATTTTTTAGTAGAGACGCGGTTTCTCCATGTTGGTCAGGCTTGTCTCGAACTCCCGACGTCAGGTGATCCGTCTGCCTCGGCCTCCCAAAGTGCCGGGATTACAGGTGTGAGCCACAGTAACCAGGCTTTTTATTGAATTGTACACATCAGATATACAAACTTGCAGAGTTTCTGGAAGATGTTTTCCCCTCTAGAAAGGATTTACTTCTGCCTTTGGCAGGCAGTTGGACAAAGGCCAGATCACTTTAAGTCATTCTGGGATTGACATGATTTGCTCTTGAGTTGCAGTCTTTGTAAAAGCCCTCTCTGCTTTCTTCCTGCTTCACTCTTATTTTTAGGGTGTAGCCCTTCAAGGGTCCCACTTAAAAGCCTAGGGTGTTTACTGGGCCTTTTCTCCTTGGCAGACGCTGAACTCCAATTTTTGTCCTCCCAGTGCCATGAAACAGCCAAAAGTTCTGCTCAGCTTCTTATCTGTCTCTTTCTTCTTGACACCTTGTTTCCTCCTGCACTGAATCGAGCAGATGCCTCCAGAAGAAAAGTGGTGCTGATGCTCAGGGCCACTCGGACCTTTCCTGCAGAATCTCAGCCCCTCGAGTACTTTGGTAGCCCTCACATGCCTTTAACAGATTTAAGACAAAATTCCTCCATTTTTTTTAGTTGTTCTTAGCAGGAACAATCAGAATTGTTCTGATACAAGCTAATCAGCCATAGCCAGAAGTCAGGAATTTAATTTTTAAGAATTATTTTTGGCCAGGCGTGATGGCTTACGCCCGTAATCCTAGCACTTTGGGAGGCAGAGACGGGTGGATTGCCTGAACTCAGGAGTTTGAGACCAGCCTGGGCAACACGGTGAAACCCCGTCTCTACTAAAATACACACAAAAAATTAGCTGGGTGTGGTGGCATGCACCTATAATCCCAGTGACTTGGGAGGCTGAGGCAGGAGAATTGCTTGAACCCGAAAGGCGGAGGTTGCAGTGAACTGAGATCACTCCATTGCACTCCAGCCTGGGCAACGGAGCGAGACTCCTTCTCAAAAACAAACAAAAAAAGAATTATTTTCAACAAAACGTGGCAGCCATATAGGTTGCCCCGACGAAAGATATTTCTGATCTTTTGATATTAGAGTCCTTCTTCCTCTCTAATTCCATAATTGTTCTCTAATGTAATTTTCCTGATTATGAGATGATTGAGTCTGATGCAATATGGAAGAATACACTGGGACTGGTCTCTGGCTAGAACGTGCAAAGTGCCCTATTCTTGTCAGCCACACATGTATGACTTATCTCAAAGTTAATTGCTCCCCGTGTCTTTTATCTTTTCTTAGATAACCCTACATTATATTGATTATATTGTAACCTTTTTTTTTTTTGGTCTGTCTCCTTTGCTAGACTGGGAGCTGGAACTCTGCTTTACTTACCTTTGAATTTTAGACATCAGATACACAAACTTGCAGAGTTTCTGGAAGATGTTTTCCCCCTCTAGAAAGGATTTACTTCTGCCTTTGGCAGGCAGTTGGACAAAGGCCAGATCACTTTAAGTCATTCTGGGACTGACATGATTTGCTCCTGAGTTGCAGTCTTTGTAAAAGCCCTCTCTGCTCTCTTCCTGCTTCACTCTTCACTCTTTCAGTGCCTACCACGATGTCTGACCTAAGGAAGGTATTTAGCAAATGCTTTCTCAATAAAGGGTTCTTTCAGATAAGGTTAGTTATATAGATGTATAATCATTAAATTCTCAGCAGTAGTAGTTTGAACTCACAAAGGCTTTTCTCCCCACGACCTTGCCCCACATTTCACCCCGTTTAGAGTCTGTAGATTCCATGCATTGAATACATTCAGGGGGACTTGAGGGTTCCCTGAGTATTGGGAGACTAAGAACAAAATGCAGGAAAGGAAGACACTGATCACATGGACATTTTTAAGTGGGTTTCAGATTAGTGCTCACCTTCGCCAGCATCCAGAAAATTTTTCTATAAGTTCAGGGTTGAATAAAATAGACAAGAGAGTAAGTTGGGAATGCTGTACTCTTCTGTAGTCATGACACATCTAGACCAGTGCTCTGATTGTGGCTCCAGTTAACGTCCTTCTGCACCAGAGCTTTCTTCACTATTTATTCACTGAAGACATGTGTGGAAACACATAGGTTACATCTAAATCAGGCATTTTTTTGCTATAGAATTAAACATTAAAATCAGAGTCGTATTAGAAAATACCATACTCAAATTATTCTGCACAGATGAATACTTGTCACACTTTACTTACCAGGTGTCTGGTCTCTGAATTTAATTATCTATATAGTGAGTATATTTCTCTATTTGAAACTAAAGTTGGAGTTATTTAAATTAAAGATTTGGTTTGCTGACAGATATCTTATTCTCTTTCAGGTTCATGTCTGTCTTCATGCTTAAGATTTGGTATTTCCAGTAACTTGAACGAGTGTAACTGCTAGCAACAGTTGATTAGACTTTTACTGATTTTTCTTTGCCCCAGAAACATATCAGCCCATGTTTAAAGGATGCAAATCCAAATAATTCTTATCTTCATTGCCTAACGTTATCTAGCTCCAGGATACTACTGGTCAGTCCTATGTGTTTCCTACCTAACATGTCCAAATCAAAGCCCAGTGCAATGTCATCTCCAGACTTTTCTTACTCCCAATTATAGGGGGGAAAAAAAGTGTCACTAAGGCTCCAACTTCCAGTAATGGTAGAATAGCTTGATCATCAACAGATAATAATGATAAAATCTGGATAATTTGAAAGTATTGGAGAATAAGCAGAAGCAGGCAGAAACTGAATAAGAGTCTACCCTTGAAATAAAATGTGTGAGATTTATGAGTTTATGGGTTTCTGTCTGAAAGCATTCTCCAATCTTGGGGCAAGGATACAAGCAGAAGCTATCAGAGAACTGAGTGTGATGCTAACAGAGCAGCCAGAAAATTAAAAGGAAAATCTAGTTTAAAAAAAATTATTATATATGTGAAGAAACAGGAAAATGTGATAATTACTTAAGGGAAAAAAAGTCAATAGAAACAGACTCTGAGATGGACCCAGATGTCACAATTAGCAGATAATGACTTTAAGCAGCCATTATAAATATGTTCAAGGATTTAAAGGAAGGTATACACATAATAAATGAACATATAGGGAATTTCAGCCGATAAACAGAGCCGGTACAAAAGACCAAATGGAAATTCCAGAGCTAAAGAGCTCAGTAACTAAAATGGAAAATTTACTAGATGAGCTTAACAGCTGTTGGAGACCACAAGTTAATGGACAAGAAGATAGATCAGTAGAAATTGTCCAGTCTGAAGAACAGAAAGAAAAAAATTAAAGAAAACACACATTGTACGTAAAGGCAGGAAGTAAAAGTAGAACAGAATTGACGTGAAATACTCAGTGGTAATAAATTCCAGCAATTCTGTGAAGAAAAAAGTTGAAAAATTAAAAATTCCTAGATTTTGAATGTCTAATCCTTATAGCGTTTCCTCCAGGAATGAGGGGGAACATATAATCTGATTTCAAAGCAGTGTGTTTTTGGTTAACTTTCCTAAGGTTGTTTCTTTCGTGTGGCCATACATTTCTTAGCTTCCTGTCCTCCTCTTCCTCTTTTATTCTCTCATTCTTCCCAGTAGCTAATGGCCTTTTCCTTCTGGGTGCTACTTTTGGGAGCCAGTTAATAATGAAGTAGATGACTTCTGACAGTGGACTAAGACAAAGGAAGCCTGTGTGCTGGGACATTGAATAAGAATGCATTCTTAAGTATTCTTTTGGTGTATTCTCCTGTTGTATGGCACTTTCACTATCATTTTGAAATTCTCAGTATTTCAAATCATAGTGAATCATTTAGTTGTTTTTAAGCATCACTCTTTCTTAAGAGTCTGTGAATACAGAATACCAAATGATATTTCAGAATAGGCTTATTTTAATTATTGGTTCCTCTAGACACAATTCTGTTTCTTTTGGTTTAACCTCTGCAGGTGTTTCACCAAAACCAACAGCACTTTCAGCAGCAGCCCTCCTCCTGTGGTCCCTGTGGTAGCACCTTATCCTCAGGATGGTTTGGAAATGAAGCCCCTCAGTCACGTGAAGGTGCCTGTATGCCTGACTTCCGCAGTCCCTGATTGTGGCCAGTTGCCGGAGGAGAGCGTCAAGGACAATGTGGAACCAGTCCCTACTCAGCGTACCTGCTGTCAGGACATTGTAAATGACGTCAGCTCTGATGGCTCAGAAGATCCAGCAGAGTTCAGCAGAGGTCAGGAAGGCATGATCAACCTTAGGATTCCAGATCATCTTCAGTTAGCTAAGAGCTGTGTATGGGAAGGTGATGCTTTCAGAGTTTCCCCTCTATGATTAGTTTACATATTTCTTGGGAGACTGGGTGGGGTGCTGGGTCCTTCAGGAAAAGATAGGACTCAAGATAAAGGATTCTTTGAAATTCTGTTATTACTCATGTCCTTCATCTCAGGCTGTCAATCCCATCACACTTTGGAAAATCTATTTGGAAATAGGCTTTGATTTCATTCGTAGGGTAGCAGAAGACTTGCTGGAAGAATGCATTTTGTGAACATGAGCCCCTTTTTGATTTGAGTTGGTTCTGGAGTTGTAACCTTTCTTTCAGGTGGTTATTTTAGGGCTTTTAAGGGGTTGCTTTACTTCTCAGGTGAATTGTATAGCTTCTCATGAGAGCTCAACTTTATTTTAAACCTTTTAAACCTTCTGTCGCCCTCAAATTCAAACCACACACAAACCAGGTTCTATTTATGCTCGTTTTTCTTTCTTCTTGGCTCAAAGTGTGAAGAAGTTTTTAGACTGCTTTGTAAAAATCAGCCTTTATCATTTGATAATGCTCCCAAACCCTGCTGTGTTTCAGGAGACAGCTGTGCCCATTCAGAAACAGAGATCAACATTGTAAGTTGGAATGCTCTTATTTTGCCACCTGTCCCCGAGGGCTGTGCTGAGAAGACAATGTGGTCTCCACCTGGCATTCCTTTAGACAGCCCGACAGAGGTCCTTCAGCAGCCCCGGGAAACCTGAGGACATGCAAACAACCAGTCATGTTCCAACTTCAAGCCGGTAACTGCACACAACAGGCCTGGGAGCGAACTGTGTGAAGGACCTTAATTCAAATCAGAGAAAATCATTATTTATTTTTTTGTAGTAGTAATGTCATATGAATGTATCTTAAAACGTGTGCCCTTTTATATTATTTATGCCTTAAATGTTTTCTTCCCCATTCCTTCCTCCCCCTCGGTAGGAAACAACCTTGTTTTGCATAGTATTCAGTCACCTGGAGGGCAGAGGGGTCCTTCCATGTTTTCTAACAGCTATAGTGACAGCAAGAGCTCCTCATGCAAAGGATCCCATCTCTTGGCTGCTTCGGCTAGGAGGGAATGCAGGGGCCCGTTGAAGGTTGCCACCAGCTGGGTTTTCAGGTGGAAAATGGTCTTTCAATAGTGTATTCTCAGACTTTTTTTTGTTTGTTTTTTGAGATGGAGTCTTGCTGTCATCCAGGCTGGAGTGCAATGGCTCGATCTTGGCTCACTGCAACCTCCGCCTCCCAGGTTCAAGCAATTCTCCCGCCTCAGCCTCCTGAGTAGCTGGGACTACAGGCACCTGCCACCACGTCCAGCTAATTGTCTTGTATTTTTATTAGAGACAAGGTTTCAGGCTGG